>NC_000002.12:202944163-203247193 GCF_000001405.40 Homo sapiens | reverse complement strand
CGCCCCCGGGGTTCAAGAGATTCTCATGCCTCAGCTTCCCAAGTAGCTGGGATTACAGGTGTGTGCCACCACACCCGACTAGTGTTTGTATTTTTAGTAGAGAAGGGGTTTCACCATGTTGGCCAGGCTGGTCTCGAACTCCTGGCCTCATGTGATCCACCTGCCTCAGCCTCCCAAAGTGTTGGGATTACAGGTGTGAGCCACCGTGCCCAGCCTAAACATTCATTCTTAAAAGGTAAGGATCAGGTAATTAGAAAGAAAATTAAACTTACATGTCTTATTGGGATTGATATGCTGCTTCAGTACATCAACAGTGCCCAAACTAACCACGAGGCGCCTGCCAAACCAGAAGGAGACCACAGGCCCATATCTCTCATGCAAATTAACCAGGAACTCATGCAAACTTCCACTATTCACAATATCTGGAAGATTACCATCTCTGGCAAAAGAGCAACATTTGACAAAATAATCAATTTAATTTGGAAAAATGAGAAAAACAACAGTTGACTCTGAATTAACTGTATCAATAAATGAGAACAAAGGTTCATGAAATTCAAATTACTGCAAAATCCAAAACTCAATTATATTTGCCTTCTTGCTATATTTCTATAGTTATATTTAGATATGGATTTGTCTGATATTTTAAGAATTCTTAACACTTCAAACCAAATAAGAAAGCTCCATAGGAACATCCGACTTAGATACTGGAAAGCTATCCCACTTTCCCAGCACCTAATTCTGAGATGACAATGGACATCATCGGCTGGTGAAAATCATCAGATCAGCTATGGCAATCTTTTCCTTCTTTCCTTCTATCTTAATCCTCTTTTCAGCTTTCTCTGGCAAGGGGAAGTGAAAGCAATGAAATGTTTTGATTTACACGACCCTCCTTTCTGTTAACAAAGTTTAGGTTACATGCCAAGGTAAATTTAGGGCAATCAAAGGAATTGAATTGAATAAGATGAGTGATCTAAAAATATGGTTTATCATTTTGGTTTGTCTTCTGAACTACCTACTCTATTCCATCTGTCTGCCTAGTCCTACCACAAAATAACCTTAGTTTTCTTTTTACTTATTTATTTTTTTTAGAAACAGGGTCTGGCTCTGTCGCCTAGGCTGGAGTGCAGTGGCACAATCATAGCTCACTGAAGCATTAAACTCCTGGCCTCAAGCGATCTTCCACCTCAACCTCCTCAGTAGCTGGCAACAGCTACCATGATTGGCTAAAAATATGGTTTAGTCTTGATATCAATAATGAAGAATTAACTCTACTTAATTCCAAGAAAATAATTACTCACTTTTCTTCAGTTGGAGTAATCCCTGGAATTCCTGCAGCTTGTCTGGAAGCCTTACAAAAAAAAAGTTTATAATAATGAATTATCATATATCCCATAAGTCAGATGTGTTTCACCAACACATCTGCAGGACCTTAAATAATAGCTTTCCAATTAAGCTGAATCTAAGAAATTATTTCCATATTAAAATACAAAAAAAGGGGTTCTTTGCATGGAAAAGAATGATTTCCATGTCCTTTGCAGGGATACAGATGGAGCTGGAGGCCATTTTCTTTAGCAAACTAACACAGGTACAGAAAATCAAATACTACATGTTCTCACTTATAAGTGGGGGCTAAATGAAGAGAACACATGGACACATAGAGGGGAACAATACATGCTGGGGCCTTTCGGAGGGTGAGAGGATCAGGAAAAACAACTAATGGGTACTAGGCTTAATAATTACCTGGGTGATGAAATAATCTGTACAACAAACCCCCTTGATACAAGTTTACCTATGTAACAAATCTGCACTTGTACCCCTGAACTTAAAATGAAAAAAAAAAAAAAAATTTTTTTTTAAAGAATGATTTCAGCCGAGCGCAGTGGCTCAGGCCTGTAATCCCAGCACTTTGGGAGGCTGAGGAGGGCAGATCACGAGGTTAGGATATCAAGACCATCCTGGCTAACACGGTGAAACCCCTTCTCTACTAAAAATATAAAAAATTAGCCGGGCGTGGTGGCACACACCTGTAGTCCCAGCTACTCGGGAGGCTGAGGCAGAATTGTTTGAACCCGGGAGGCAGAGGTTGCACTGAGCCAACATCGTGCTACTGCACTACAGCCTGGGCAACAGAGCAAGACTCTATCTCAAAAAAAAAAAAAAAAGGCTGGGCGTGGTGGCTCACGCCTGTAATCCCAGCACTTTGGGAGGCCGAGGCAGGCGGATCACGAGGTCAGGAGATAGAGACCATCCTGGCTAACACGGTGAAACCCCGTCTCTACTAAAAATACAAAAAATTAGCAGGGCGTTGTGGCGGGCGCCTGTAGTCCCAGCTACTCGGGAGGCTGAGGCAGGAGAATGGCGTGAACCTGGGAGGCGGAGCTTGCAGTGAGCCTAGATCGCGCCACTGTACTCCAGCCTGGGCGACAGAGAAAGACTCCGTCTCAAAAAAAAAAAAAAAAAAGAATTATTTCATTCAGGATATTATTCTTCCTCTGTCAGTTAAACTAAGGTGTTTGAAAAATTTAATATACACTCTACATCAACTAACACATATCCAGTACATTTTTCGTCGTTTTCTTTGTTGTGAGTTTATATATGGTCCCAGCTGGTTTGGCTTTAAAAAAAAAAAAAATCAAGGTCCATTCTACCACTTTCATTATGATGATGCAAGAAACAGAAGAAAACTGCTGTGCTGGGCCGGGCGCAGTGGCTCCTGCCTGTAATCCCAGCACTTTTGGAGGCTGAGGTGGATGATCACTTGAGGTCAGGAGTTCAAGACCAGCCTGACAAACATGGCAACCCCATCTGTACTAAAAATACAAAAATTAGCTGGGCATGGTGGCACACTCCTGTAGTCCCAGCTACTCAGGAGGCTGAGGCATGAGAATCACTTGAACTTGGGAGGCGGAGGTTGCAGTGAGCTGTGATTGCACCACTGCACTTCAGCCTGGATGACAGAGTCAGACTCTGTCTCAAAAGAAAAATAAGGAAAAACTGCTGTGCCGGAGCCATTTTCTTGAGTGGGTGGGAAGGTAGGAGATCTAGTACAGGAGTGAAGAGACGGGGGGCGGGGGCATTTAATTGGGAGCATAGCCAGTTCACAGTAATAGGAGGTAACGTGGAATATAAGGGCACAAATTTAGGCAGATAGGCAGGGTGGTCTGGAAATTATCTCCAGATTGGTGTCATTTTTTCAATGAAATAGGCCAGGTGTGGTGGCTTGCATCGATAATCCCAGTACTTTGGGAGGCCAAGGCAGGACGATCATTTGAGTCCAGGAGTTTGAGACCAGCTTGTGCAACACGGGGAAACCCCGTCTCTTTAAAAAGTACAAAAAATTCGCCGGGTGCAGTGGCCAGCACTATAGTCCTAGTTACTCAGGAGGCTGAGGCAGGAGGATCACTTGAGCCTGGGAGGTCAAGGCTGCAG
This sequence comes from Homo sapiens, assembly GCF_000001405.40. Lineage (NCBI taxonomy): Eukaryota > Metazoa > Chordata > Mammalia > Primates > Hominidae > Homo > Homo sapiens. The sequence goes on along the minus strand of NC_000002.12, from coordinate 203,243,764 downwards.
TAAGCCAAGGTCACACCACTGCACTGCAGCCTGGGTGACAGAGTGAGACCCTGTCTCAAAAAAAAAAAAAAAAAAAAAAGAGGCCAGGCGCAGTGGCTCATACCTGTAATCCCAGTACTTTGGGAGGCCAAGGTGGGCGGATCACTTGAGGTCAGGAGTTCAAAATCAGCCTGGCATACATGTTGAAACCCCGTCTCTATTAAAAATACAAAAATTAACAGGGCGTGGTAGTGGGTGCTGTAATGCCAGCTACTCAGGAGGCTGAGGCGGGATTTGAGCCCGGGAGGCGGAGGTTGCAGTGAGCCGAGATCACGTCACTACACTCCAGCCTGGGAGACAGAGCGAGACTCTGTCTAAAAAAAAAAGAAAGAGGCGAGAGTGGATCACGAGGTCAGGAGTTCAAGACCAGCCTGGCCAACACAGTGAAACCCTGTCTCTACTAAAAATACAAAAATTAGCCAACTGTGGTGGCACACGCCTGTACTCTCAGCTTCTCGGGAGGATGAGGTGGGAGAATCGCTTGAACCCGGAAGGTGAAGGTTGCAGTGAGCCGAGACCACACCATTGCACTCCAGCCCCAGCCTGGGTGACACAGTAAGACTCCGTCTCAAAAAAACAAGAGATTATCAGTTATTGGTGAAGACAGAAGATTTGAAGACAGGGAAGGAATGAAAAGTTATCTAGAAGATTTGGAGAGTGAATGCACCAGGGGATTTCCAGACACCCCACTTAAGGTTTATGAATTAAAATGAGACTAGTCAGTATGGCTGTGTTCTTTTCTGCCTGTGTTTTGTTTGTTTGTTTGTTTTCCAGCTGTGTGGGTTCAGGGGCGGAATTGACAGAGCATTTGATTTAATCACAATTAGGGTTTGCTAGATGATTATGACAAATGGATACAGGGCAAAGGAATTGAAGGTATATGCAAAGGAGTGGTTATAGTAACAGACCATGCAACCTAAGCTTTTTTTTTTTTTGAGACATGGTCTCACTCTGTCACCCAGTCTGGAGTGCAATGGCGCCATCTTGGCTAACTGCAGCCTCGATCTCCCAGGCTCAAGCGATCCTCCTGCTTCAGCCTCCCAAGTAGCTGGGACCAGGGACCACGGACGCTCACCACCATGTCTTATTTATTTATTTATTTTAGAGACAAGGTCTTACTATAATGCTCAGTCTAGTCTCAAACTCCTGAGTTCAAGCAATCCTCCCACCTCAGCCTCCCGAAGTGCTGGGATTATAGGCTTGAGTCACCGTGCTGGCCATAAGCTTCTTACATCATCAGTTTCTCCTTTATGACTTGACAGCCCTCATCAGCATAATGTAATTTCTCCTACCTTAAGAGAAATTCACCTCACTTCCTTCTCTAGTTATCAGCCCCCTTTACTGCAAAACTCTAAAGAGCTATCTATACTTGATATCTCTGAATCCACACCATTTAGGTTTATCACCCCAATTACACTGAAACCGCTCTTCTTAAGATTACAAATGTTGCGGTGGCTCATGCCTGTAATCCCAGATCTTTGGAAGGCTGAGGCAGGAGGATCACTTCAGCCCAGAAGTTCGAGACCAGCCTGGGCAACAAAGCAGGACCCCATTTCTATAAAAAATTAAAAAATTAAAAAATTAGGTTGGGCACGGTGGCTCATGCCTGTAATCCCAGTGCTTTGGGAGGCCAAGGTGGGCAGATCACTTGAGGTCAGGAGTTCGAAACCAGCCTGGCCAACACGGTGAAATCTTGTCTCTACTAAAAATAAAAAAATTAGCTGTGTGTGGTGATGTGTGCCTGCAGTCCCAGCTACTTGGGAGGCTGAGGCAGAAGAATCGCTTGAACCTGGGAGGCAGAGGCTGCAGTGAGCAGAGATCATGCCACTGCACTCCAGCCTGGGCGACAGAGCGAGACTTTGTATCAAAAAATAAAAAATAAAAAATTTAAAAATTAGCCAGGTGTGGTGGCATGAGCATGTAGTCCCAGCAACTTGAGAGGCTAAGGTGCGAGGATCGCCTGGGGCCAGGAGTTTGAGGTTACAATGAGCTATGATGGTACCACTGCACTGTAGCCTGGGCAAGAGTGAGACTCTGTCTCTTAAATGAAACAAAACAAAAAATAAAGATTACCAATGTTATCAAATTATTAGGCCTTAACTTAAAATATCTGCAGCATTTGACTTAGCTGATTATCCTCTTCTGCTTAAAACATCTGGCTTCCTTCTATTTGTGTGGCTGCTCCTTCTCAGTCTCCTTTGCTGGCTCTTCTTTCTCTCCTCAACCATTAACATTGGAGAATCCAGGGAATGGTCCCTGGGACCTCTTCTCTCCTGTATCTAAATTGTCTGGGAGATAGCAACCAGTTCTCCTCGCTTTAAATACCATCTATACATTGATAGCTCCCAAATGTGTATCTTCAGCCTGGACTTTTCCCATAAACTCAAGACATATATTCAGTTACTCCTCAACATCTCCACTTGAATGTCTAACAGGCATCTCAAACCTAGCCCACCCAAAACCAACTCCTAATCTCTATAAATCCCCACTACCTCCCACCAAAACAAAACTAAAGAACAACCACCACCAGCAAAACCCCTGATCTTCCCTGGAATTAATCTATCCTTCCAGATACCAGGCTAAAAATAACTGGTGTTTTCCTTGATGCCTCTCTTTCACATTTCACATCCAATCCACTGGGAAATCCCATTGGCACTATCTTCACAATTGACTAGTTCTCATTATCTGTGCCACTACTACCATGATCCAAGCTGAAATGATAATATCCTCCTAATTACTTGGCTTGCTTCCATCCTTACCTGGAGACCCATGTCAATTCATGACTTAGCAACCACAATGATTCTTTTAAAATTTATCTAATAAAATTAAATTTGAATTCTATCCAATTTCAAATGGCATTCATCTGCTGAAATCCTCCAGTGGCACACAGCAAAAGTCCATTAAAAAAGCCTTACAAGTCATTTAAAATTTGTCCTTCACTCCCATCTTTCTGACTTTCTCTCCTCTGGTATCTTCCTCATTTACTACACTCTAACCACACTGGTCCCCTTGCTTTCCAGGAACACACCAGGCGTGTCTCCCTCTGAAGGTTTGCATTTGCTGCTCCCTCGACCCAGAATGCTCTTTCTCAGAATGGCTTGCACCTTCACCTTCTTCGCGTTTCTACTCAAATGTCTCCGTATCTCCTGGCCATCCTACTTTAAAATAACAATCTACCTATCCCCAACTTTATTTCTACCCACAATCCTATGTTATTTGTTTCTATTGTCTGTTCCCCTTCTCTAGGAAATAAATTCCAAGAGTCAGGAATTTTCTGTCCGGTTTGTTTCACGGCTGGATTCCCAGCACGTGGAACCATATCTGGCACATAGCTAGTGCTAAGAATAAACAGTGTGCTTCTATGAGCTGATCAAAGAAGAGTATCATTTTAAAATCACCAAAAATTCAAGAACCACTAAAATTGTTTAGTTTCTCAGAAAATAAGATTTCAGGAAGTCCCTGATTGTGTAGTTGCAAGATTCTAGTCTAATCCATTTACCTGCTCGGAAAAGAACATTTAAGAAGGTGTATGGTCAATTCCAGCAGTTCAGCTACTTTTCAACTTTCACTGTAAAACCACCACCTTGCTTTGTAGAACAGGTGTTTTTTGTTTGTTTGTTTGTTTGTTTTGAGATAAGAGTCTGGCTCTGTCGCCAGGCTGCAGTGCAGTGGTGCGATCTTGGCTCACTGCAAGCTCCGCCTCCCAGGTTCAAGCGATTCTCCTGCCTCAGCCTCCTGAGTAGCTGGGATTACAGGCGCCCGCCACCACAGCCAGCTAATGTTTGTATTTTTAGTAGAGACGGTGTGTCACCATGTTGGCCAGGATGGTCTCGATATCCTGACCTCGTGATCCGCCCGCCTCAGCCTCCCAAAGTGTGTAGAACAGGTTTTAAAGACGGTCCTCAGTCATCAACACTTTTGTTTTCAGACCCTCCCTCTCTCGCTGACGGAGGCAAGTGGAGAGAGGAGGACCGGAGGCTCGCAGAGGCGTCAGCGGCAGAGGAAACCTCGCACCCGAACCCGCAGCGCGGCGCTCTCCCCAAAGAAGCATTTGCCTGGAGCCCCTAAGAGGAGCAAGACCTGGACCTCGAGCACTTTGGATTCCAGTCAGGATAGATCGATGGACAGATGGAAAAGAGGAATACACAAGTGCTGGGAGAATCCTCAAGAAAGGAGAAAGGAGTGGCGCGCCCAGGAGTCTCGTCCTGACACACTGGGAAATGAAATTTGGGTTTGGCGAGTTATGGCCAAAAAGCTGCCCAAAGTACTTGAGAGCCGCCTTGGAGAGTGGCGCGGGGTGCCTGGCAAGGTGAGACCGGCCTGCGGGGGCGCGGGCTTTTCCTCAGCAGCTCTACGCCCGCCTGGCCCGGCGCCTGAGGGGTAGCGACGCAGCCCACGTCGCTCTCAGAGCTTGCCGGGAGGGGCGTCACGTGACTCCGGGTGCGGTCCCCGCGCTGAAGCTCTGGAGCGAACCCGAACCCTCCTCTCAGGCCCGCCCCCTGCGGCCCGCAGCGGGCAGGTTGGCCTGGATGCCGGCGACAGAGAGACTGGGGCGGCGCCCGGGGCCCCAGAGAGCCAAGACGGCGCTCACCGGATAGAGGTAGAGCACGGCTCCCACCAACGCCAGCAAGAAGGTAACGGCGAAGATCGCGAAGTCCAACATGGTTCTGCCGCCCAGGGAGCCACGTCTCGGATCGGCCGCTCCAGCAGCAGCGCCTCAGCCTGGCCCAATTTAAGGCATAGCGTGTGGGCGGGGGCACCCCGCGGGACCCGGAAACCAACGGGCCGCTGGGGGCGTGACCGAGGCCTGCGGCCGGCGCCAGAGGAAAGAGCAATGGATCGCCGAGGAGCCGGGGCGCGGGTTCCTGAGCGCAGCAGGCCGAGGCTGAGGCCGCCTAGCGCCAGCCTCCACCGCAAGGCGGGGATTTCGGTGCACACGATTTCAGACAGAATATGCCCGCGACTTCGGACCGGGTTGCTGGCGAAAGCAGAGCCCAGCTTTCTGAGAAAAGTTAGGAGTTAGTAGTGCTCTGTCCGCCCAACAGTTTTCGCAATGGATTCAGAATTAAAACCTCTAAACCGATGATTTTCGAAGAGTGGTCCCGGTACCAGCTGCATCAACGTCGCCCGGGAGCTCGTTAGAGATTCAGATTATCGATGCCGGGCGCGGTGGCTCCACCTGTAATCCCAGCACCTTGGGAGGCTGAAGCGGGAGGATCGCTTGAGCCCAGGAGTTTGAGACCAGCGTGGGCAACATAGTGAGACCCCAGTCTCTACAAAAAAAAAAAAAAAAAAAAAAAAAAAATTAGCCTACAGTGGTGGCGCTTGCCTGTGGCCCCAGCTGCTCCGGAGGCTGAGGCTGGAGGATCACTTTAGCCGGGGAGGCAGAGGCTACAGTGAGCCGAGATGGCACGACTGCACTCCAGCCTGGGCGACAGGGCGAGACCCTGTCTCAAAAACAAAACAAAACAAAACAAAAGGAAAACAAAATAAAAAGATTCTCGATCCCAAACTAGACCTACTGAATCAAACACTCGGGGTGGGCAGGGGTAGGGGGCGCGTACAACAATCTGTTTGAACAGAGCCCTCCCGGGGACACTGTTACACACTTAAATTTGAGTGAAAACCACCACTGATCTAAGCGGGACAGGGAAGTGTCTGGGAGTAAAACAAGAGTAGATACGCCTTGTTTCGCAGAATTTCTGTCTGAAGTACTAGTAAATGTGATTCTTTGACACTTTCTGGTGAGCGGAGGCTGCACACTGTTCAGGTTTCCTTGCTCTGTTAACTCTGACTTTCGGTAAATTGCTTCAGTTTTCTAAGCTTCCATTTCCTTCTATGTAAAAAAGTGAAAATAATACCACATGGAGTTGCCTGTAGGTTAAATTACATATTTTATGAAAATCACTTAGCACAGCTCCTGGCAAAACCGAATAAGTGCTATCTACGTCAGCATTTGGCGTTTGTTGCCCTGGGCATAAAATACCCTAGGACCCCTCTTTCTATTTCGCCTGGCTCAGAAGTTTTGACGTGGCTACTGAAATACAAGACAAGGCCTGCTACTTACTAGTGCTGCTTTTAGTGAAAGTGTGCTAAAAGTATTTATAGATTTTATAGCTTTAATAATATAAAATGTCAAGAACAGGCAGCAATTTGGCAAGAGAAATTCCAGATTGCATTTTACAGCTTCTATGATAAATGACTGTTACATAAGCAGGAAACATACCTCATTGAAAATGGCAACTCTTTTGGCATCTATAGCAAATATAATGAAACATGCTGTTTAATATTTCACTTGGCAGAAATTGTATTTTTAAGTCTTTCTCTGCATATAAATGTGCTTTAAACTGTCGTATGTTCAAAGTTCATTTTTAAGTCTCTTGTTCAGAATTTTAAAGATATTTCTTGTCAAACTGATGTTCCCAATAGGTTTTCAAAACAGTAAATGTAAGAGTTTTTTGTTTGTTTGTTTTGTTTGTTTGTTTTTGAGACGTAGTCTCCCTCTGTAGCCCAGGCTAGAGTGCAGTGACGGGATCTCGGCTCACTGCAACCTCCGCCTCCCAGGTTCAAGCAATTCTCCTGCCTCACCCTCCCGAGTAGCTGGGATTACAGGCACGCGCCACCATGCCCAGCTAATTTTTGTATTTTTAGTAGAGATGGGTTTCACCATGTTGGCCAGGCTGGTCTTTAACTCCTGACCTCGTGATTCGCCCCTCTGGGCCTCCCAAAGTGCTGAGATTACAAGCGTGAACCACCCCGCCCGGCCAAACATAAGAGTTTTAACTGCATAAGGTAGCCATATAACCGTAATCTTAGGTACCGTAATCTTAGGTACCAATCCTTCAAGATATCTAGAATTCTCTTTTAGTCCTAAATTGACCTACATCCTGAGACTCTCTGAACTTTGAGGGCTGTAAAAAAGAGACAAAAATTCCAGAAATTGTCAGGGCACCATATTTTATAGTGTGAGTCTCTAAACTAGACATCTACCTCCTCTTCCTGTGTTCCTAAAACGTTTTGCCCAGATACTCCCTAAAAGCATATATAAATAATATATATATAATATATATATACACATACACACATATATATCTTTTCACACATTTTTTGTATTGACATCTAAAATTTTTATCTTGACTTTAAAGGATTAAATTTCTGTCATATTATAAATATTCACGTTTTGAAATTGTTACAGCTCTCTTTTAAGTGTATGAAAAGGAATGTAAATATAATAGTGATGTGATAACTATAAGACTTTTTTTAAAAACACACAAACTTGGCCAGGTACGGTGGCTCCACCTGTATTCCCAGCACTTTGGGAGGCGGAGGCGGTCAGATCACTTGAGGTCAGGACTTCAAGATCAGCCTGGTCAACATGGGGAAACCCCGCCTCTACTAAAATTACAAAAATTAGCTGGGTGTGGTGGCATGCGCCTGTAATCCCAGCTTCTCAGGAGGCTGAGGCAGGAGAATCACTTGAACCCGGGAGGCAGAAGTTGCAGTGAGCCAAAATGGCGCCACTGCACTCCAGCCTGGACAAAAACAAAACCCAAAACAAAACAAAACAAAACAAAAAACCCATACACTTTTTGTGAACAACTGGAAATTTTCCATGGTTCCTTTTTCTGAACTTATTTTTATTGCACTTATCCGACAGAATTTTATTCTAATGAAATTATTTTTATCCTTGAAAGTAATTTTCTTCATCACCTGTCATACTTCTTCTCTTCAACATGTACTCATGTTGAATTAAAAAATAGTTTTTGGGGCCAGGCGTGGTGGCTCATGCCTGTAATCTCAGCACTTTGGGAGGCCGAGGCGGGCAGATCACGAGGTCAGGAGATCGAGACCATCCTGGCTAACATGGTGAAACCCTGTCTCTACTAAAAATACAAAAAAGAATTAGCTGGGCGTGGTGGTGGCGCCTGTAGTCCCAGCAACTCAGGAGGCTGAAGCAGGAGAATGGCATGAACCCGGGAGGTGGAGCTTGCAGTGAGCTGAGATCGTGCCACTGCACTCCAGGCTGGGCGACAGAGCGAGACTCCGTCTCTAAAAAAAAAAAATAGTTTTTGGGCCGCACACAATGGCTCACACCTATAATCCCAGGACTCTGGGAGACTCAGAAGTTCACTTGAGCCCAGGAGTTCAAGGTTATAGTGAGCTATGGTTGTGCTACTGCCCTCTGTCCTGGGTGACATAGTGAGACCTAGTCTCTAAAAAAAGTCTAAAAACCACAAAAGTTTTAAACTCTGTGGCTTTAAAAACTCCTACAAATGTATTTATTTTTTTTTTCTTTTTTTTTCTTTTTTTTTTTTTTTTGAGATGGAGTCTCCATCTGTCGTCCAGGGTGGAGTGCAGTGGCACAATCTCGGCCTACTGCAACCTCCGCCTCCCAGGTTCAAGTGATGTTCCTGCCTCAGCCTCCTGAGTAGCTCAGACCACAGGCACGCGACACCACGTCCGGCTAATTTTTGTATTTTTAGTAGAGACGGGGTTTCACCATATTGGCCAGGCTGGTCTCGAACTCCTGACCTCGTGATCCACCTGCCTTGGCCTCCCAAAGTGCTGGGATTACAGGCGTGAACCACCGCATCTGGCCTTAATTTTCTTTTTTGAGACGGAGTCTCACTTTGTGACCCAGGTTTGGAGTGCAGTGGTGAGTCCCAGCTTTGGAGTGCAGTTTGGAGTCCCAGCTGACAACAACCTCCAAATGAATCTCTGGTTGGCTACTACTAGATTCCTTAGATTGGAATTGTGAACACACAATCTTCTTAGAATATAGGGTCATTCTCAGGGTATGCTTACGTTATCACTGTCAGGTGTGTCTACCATGCAACTGTCACCACTGATGTTCATTCCTTCAGACTACGCCACCTGGGCTTCTTATGAGCTTGCTTCTAATTCCACCAAGAGGCATCAATAGGCTAAGGCTGAGAAGAGAGCAGCTTTAGAAGCCTCCTGTTTTGCTCCCTGTCAGCTCTGAGCCATATTTGCTGGCAGGAGCTACATCCCACTATATATATAGCTTTTGAGGTAGAACTTCCTCCTATGATCCTCCAACCCTCTCTGAGCAACAGTAATATTTTCTCTCCTTGCCCCTTCAGACCTAGGAGTGACAATGGTTTCCCCTGTTGGTAGTCTCTGGAGACTTCAGCATCCTTTATTGGTTCCCTTAATCCTCCCCACACTTTTGTATATAGTTTCTTCCTTAAAATCTTTTGAACCATTGGAGTGAGATACTGTTTACTGTCAGACCTGACTCTAGTTGGCACAAGGAGTGGCTCCCAGAAACAGTTCCTCAAGTTGGAATTCTAGGACCAGTTTAAACACATATTTGACAACCTCATGATGAGATTCATTCTTGATAGTGATAATGTGTAGCATGCAATGACAGCAAGATTATTCAAATTATTGCCAGTGGTGACATGGGATGGAATGTCAGTAGGGAAGAAATTTTACATGGTCAAGTGATTATTGGTAGCAACAATGGGTATTGCAAAAGATTGTGGAATAGGCCGGACGCAGTGGCTCATGCCTGTAATCCCAGCACTTTGGGAAGCCAGGGCAGACTGATCACTTGAGGCCAGGAGTTCAAGACCAACCTGGCCAACATGGCAGAAACCCTGTCTCTACTAAAAATACAAAAATTAGCTGGACATGGTGGCACATGCCTGTAATCCCAGGTTCTTAGGAGGCTAAGGCAGGAGAATCACCTGAACCCAGGAGGCAGAGGTTGCAGTGAACTGAGATGGCACCACTGTAATCCAACCTGGGCGACAGAGTAAGACTCTGTCTAAAAGAAGAAGAAGAAGAAAAAAAAAAAAAAGATGATGGGCTAGATGGCTATTTCTGACTGCATTATAGAGCTTATGAAAAGAAAAAAAAAACAAGTTTTAGGCCTTGACATTCCAACATAAGATGGTATAGATGAAGGACCAGAAGGCTTCCATTCTTCTCAAAAGAATATTTCATGGCCAGGCATGGTGGCTCATGCCTGTAATCCCAACACTTTGAGAGGCTGAGGTAGGCGGATCACCTGAGGTCAGGAGTTCGAGACCAGCCTGGTCAACATGGTGAAACCCCATCTCTACTAAAAATACAAAAATTAGCCAGGCATGGTGGCAGGTGCCTGTAATCCCAGCTACTTGGGAGGCTGAGGCAGGGAGAATTGCTTGAATCAAGGAGGCAGAGGTTGCAGTGAGCCGAGATCGCACCACTGCACTGTAGCCTGGGCGACAGAGCGAGACTCCATCTCAAAAAAAAAAAAAAAAACAAAAGAACATTTTGTGCAGCTGCAGGGCAGATACGGCTGGGTTACAGGCCCTAAAATCTAATTGTGCAGGTTGTAGAGTTATAATGCCAGCTAAAAGCAGAATCTTGCCAAGTCTTTTATTCTAAATCAGGGCACTGTTTGAGAAGGAATAGGACTCTTAGATGAGTACATTTGGTCAGAGAAAGACAAAGCTGAAACCCCCAAGTCCTGCTGAACCTTCCTTGTCAATGGGAGTGGGCCTATCTCCCCTGTCTGAGGAAACTAACTTCCCTCACATGAGTCTTTCAGAAACTTCTTTTGGGTCAGTTATATAACAAGGTGGTGCCCATTATCTCTGAGGAAGAATTCCCATTTCTTCTCATTTTTTCTAGGCAATAAAGCCTGAAAATAGTCCAGGCACGGTGGCTCACGCCTATAATCCCAGCACTTTGGGAGGCCAAGGCGGGCTGATCACGAGGTCAGGAGATGGAGACCATCCTGGCTAACACGGTGAAACCCCGTCTCTACTAAAAATACAAAAAATTAGCCGGGCATGGTGGCAGGTGCCTGTAGTCCCAGCTACTCGGGAGGCTGAGGCAGGAGAATGGCGTGAACCCGGGAGGCGGAGCTTGCAGTGAGCTGAGATCACACCACTGCACTCCAGCCTGGGTGACAGAGTGAGACTCCATATCAAAAAAAAAAAAAGACTGATAATAATAAACTAATAAAATAATAAAGGTAATAATGGACTGTCTGGGTAAAAACAGTCAAACCCATCATAGCCCAGGGAGATAATTACCAGTTTAGTTCTTAGAGAACAGAGGCACTGCAAGAGAAAGGGGACAGGTGATGGTACAGCAGGGTGGGTATTTTGTCACTCACAGTTTACTATTGCCAGCACATAGTGATCATAAAAAGTAGAACACATTTGGTTGGTTCTATTGTTGTTTTAAAATACTCTACTCATAATGCCTGGACCTGGAGCAGAACACTGGCTTATACATCAAAGGAGCAATGAGACCTTGCTAATTTGTATTAGAGGGATACTGAGAAGCATGTATGGAAATAGATATTTGTCTAAGGAAAAGAAAACATAAAGGATGGTAAGGGCTAAATTTATTTATATGGTTTCATTCACTCAGAATTTGGGAAGTCAATGTGTTAACTTGACATATTAGTCCATTTTCATGCTGCTGATAAAGACATACCTGAGACTGGGCAATCTGCAAAAGAAAGAGGTTTAATGGACTCACAGTTAGTTCCATGTGGCTGGGGAGGCCTCACAATCATGGTGGAAGGTGAAAGGCGTGTCTCACATGGTGGCAGACAAGAGAACTTGTGCAGGGAAACTCCCCTTTATAAAACCATCAGATCTTGTGAGACTCATCCACTGTCACGAGAATAGCATAGGAAAGAGCTGTCCCCCATGATTCAATTACCTCCCACCAGGTCCCTCCTACAACACATGGGAATTCTGGGAGCTACAATTCAAGATGAGATTTGGGTGGGGAAACAGCCAAACCATATCATTACACCCCAGCCTCTCCCAAATCTCCTGTCCTCCCATTTCAAAACTAATCATGCCTTGCTAACAGTCCCCCAAAGTCTTAACTCATTTCAGCATTAACCCAAAAGTCCACAGTCCAAAGTCTCATTTGAGACAAGGCAAGTCCCTTCTGCCTATGAGCCTGTAAAATCAAAAGCAAGTTAGTTACTTCTTAGATACAATGGGGGTGCAGGCAGTGGATAAATACACCCATTCCAAATGGGAGAAATTGGCCAAAACAAAGGTGCTAATGGCCCCATGCAAGTCCAAAATCCAGAGGGGCAGTCAAATCTTAAAGCTCCAAAATGATCTCCTTTGACTCCATGTCTCACATCCAGGTCGTGCTGATGCAAGAGGTGGGTTCCCATGGTCTTGGGCAGCTCTGCCCCTGTGGCTTTGCAGGGTACAGCCCCCCTCCCAGCTGCTTTCACGGGCTGGCATTGAGTGTCTGTGGCTTTTCCCGGTGTGCAGTGCAAGCTGTCAATGCATCTACCATTCTGGGGTCTGGAGGACAGTGGCCCTCTTCTCAGCTCTACTAGGCAGCGCCCCAGTGGGGACTGTGTGTCGGGGGCACTCACCCCACATTTCCCTTCTGCACTGCACTAGCAGAGATTCTCCATGAGCACGCTACCCCTGCAGCAAACTTCTGCCTGGACATTTAGGCATTTCCATACATCCCCTGAAATCTAGGCAGAGGTTCCCAAACCTCAATTATTGACTTCTGTGCACCTGCAGGGTCAACACCACATGGAAGCTGCCAAGGCTTGGGGCTTGCACCCTCTGAAGCCACAGCCTGAGCTGTACCTTGGCCCCTTTTAGTCACGGCTGAAGCAGGTGGGACTCAGGGCAACAAGTCCCTAGACTACACACAGCAGAGGGACCCTGGACCCAGCCCAGGAAACCATTTTTTCTTCCTCGGCTTCCAGGCCTGTGATGGGAGAGGCTGCTGCAAAAGTGGAGACATTTTCCCCATTGACTTGGAGATTAACATTCGGCTCCTCATTACTTATGCAAATTCCTGCAGCCTGCTTGAATTTCTCCTCAAAAAATGGGATTTTCTTTTCTATCACATTGTCAGGCTGCAAATTTTCTGAACTTTTATGCTGTTTTCCTTTTCAAGCTGAATGCCTTTAACAGCACCCAAGTCACCTCTTGAATGCTTCGCTGCTTAGAAATTTCTTCCACCAGATACCCTAAATCATCTCTCTCAAGTTCAAAGTTTCACAAATTTCTAGGGCAGGGGCAAAATGCCACCAGTCTCCTTGCTAAGACATAAAAAGAGTCACCTTTGCTCCAGTTCCCAACAAGTTTCTCATCTCCATCTAAGACCACCTCAGCCTGAATTTAATTGTCCATATGATTATTAGCATTTTTGGTCAAAGCCATTCAACAAGTCTCTAGGGAGTCCCAAACTTTCCCACATTTTCCTGTCTTCTTCTGAGCTCTCCAAACTGTTTCAACCTCTGCGTGTTAACCGGTTCCAAAGTCGGTTCCACATTTCTGAGTATCTTTTCAGCAACACCCCACTGTACTGATAACCAATTTACCATATTGGTCTGTTTTCACGCTCAGATAAAGACATACCCAAGACTGGGCAATTTACAAAAGAAAGAGTTTTAATGGACTCACAGTTCCACGTGGCTGAGGAGGCCTCATAATCATGGTGGAAGGTGAAAGGCACATCTCACATGGCAGCAGACAAGAGAACTTGTGCAGGGAAACTCCCCTTTATAAAACAATCAGATCTTGTGAGACTCATCCACTATCATGAGAATAGCATGGGAAAGACCTGCCCCTCGTGATTCAATTACATCCCACTGGATCCCTCCCACAACATGTGGGAATTGTGGGAGCTACAATTCAAGATGAGATTTGGGTGGGGACACAGCCAAACCATATCAGTTGAGCACTTGAGATTGAATCTGCATATGCTTGTTTGGTTAACTGAAGTCTGGATTCAATGTCGGCCTACAGTCATTCAAGTTGGGATGCCAGAAATTTCCTGGCTGGAGTGCAGTGGTGCAATCATAGCTCACTGCAGCCTTGACCTCCTGGGCTCAAGTGATCTTCCTGCCTCAGCCTCCTGGGTAGCTAGGACTACAGGCACGTGCCACCACACCTGGCTATTTTTTTGTTTTGTTTTGTTTTGTTTTGTTTTGTTGGTAGAGACAGGGTCTTTCTATGCTGCCCATGCTGGTTTCAAACTCCTGGCCACAAGCAATTCTTCTGTTTCAGCCTCCCAAAGTGCTGGGATTACAGGCATGAGTCAGCATGCTTGGCCTCACCTGTTTTTGTAAATAAAATTTTGTGGAAGACAGCTATGCTCATTTATGTTCTATATATGGCTACAACAGCAGAATTGAATAATTGCTACAGAGTTATGTGTAAAATATTTATTGCCTGTCCCTTTATAGAAAAAGTGGGTGAACTCCTGCTATAGAAGAAGTACAAAGGTTTAGGGAGATGGAAATATTGGTGTGGATTTGCTTGACACGTCAAAATACTCAACAGTCACCCATCAAGTTAACAATTAGTCAAATAAATGATATTCTATCCTCCTGCCCCAAATCTATCTTTGTAGAGCAGGAAAGATTTCTTTTCTTACCTATCACTAGGTTCATGGCTGAGCCCCCTACAACAAAGGACAGGTTACCAAGAAAAAGTGTACAAATTGGCCAGGCATGGTGGCTCACACCTGTAATCCCAGCACTTTGGGAGGCCGAGGCGGGCGGATCACGAGGTCAGGAGATTGAGACTATCCTGGCTAACACAGTGAAACCCCGTCTCTACTAAAAATACAAAAAATTAGCCGGGCGTGGTGGTGGGTGCCTGTAGTCCCAGCTACTCGGGAGGCTGAGGCAGGAGAACAGCGTGAACCCAGGAGGCAGAGCTTGCAGTGAGCTGAGACTGTGCCACTGCACTCCAGCCTGGGCGACAGAGCAAGACTCCATCTCAAAAAAAAAAAAAAAAAGGAAAACTGTACAAATTAATTTAAGTTTTATGGTCGGGTGCAGTGGCTCACGCCTATAATCCTAGCACTTTGGGGGGCTGAGGCGGGTGGATCACTTGAGGTCAGGAGTTCAGGACCAGCCTGGCCAACATGATGAAACCTCGTCTGTACTAAAAATACAAAAAAATTAGCTAGGCCTGGTGGCGGGCGCCTGTAATTCCAATTACTCGGGAGGCTGAGGCAGGAGAATTACTTGAATCCAGGAGGTAGAGGTTGCAGTGAGCCGAGATCGCGTCATTGCACTACAGCCTGGGCGACAGAGTGAGACTCTGTCTCAGAAAGAAAAAAAAAAGGAGACAGTGGTGCAGTTATAGCTCACTGCAGCCTTAAACTCCTGGGCTCAAGTGATCCTCCTGCCTTGGCCTCCCGAAATGCTGGGATTACAGGCATGAACCACCATGCCCAGCCTTAATTTTAAAATGTTAATCTAACTTTAAATTACTTGGGTAAACTGTACTTGGTTATTGTGTTAGGGTTCTCCAGACAAACAGAACCAATAGAATTGGCTTATGAGGTTAGGGAGGCTGAGAAGTCCTATGATATGCCATCTGTAGGCTGGAAAACCAGGACAGTAGATGGTGTGGTGTAGTTCAATCTAAGTCTGAAGGCCCAAGAAACTGAAGCTCTAACATACATCACAGGGTGGAAGATGATGTCCCAGCTCTAGAAGATAGAGGGGATTTGCCCTTCATCTTTTTGTTCTATCCTGGCCGTCAACAGATTGGATGATGCCTGCCCACACTGATGAGGGCACATCTCCTTTACTCAATCTACTGATTCAGATGCTAATCTCTTCTGGAAATACCCTCACAGACATACCCAGAAATAATGTTTTACCGCCTATCTGGGAATCCCTTAGCCCAATCATTTGACACACTATATTAACCATCACCGTAATAATGCATTATCCTTCTTACACATTGCTAGCATTGACCTGCTAATATTCCCTTAGGGATTTTTGAATCTTTGTTCATGAGACAATAGCTTAGTTTTAGTTTTTTTTTGGTGGGGGTGGGGGTGGGGGTGAGGGTGAGGGTGAGGGATGGGATTATACATATTCCAATTTTTTTCTTTCCTTTTTTGTTGAGATGGAGTCTTGTTCTGTCACCCAGACCCACGCAGTGGCATGATATCAGCTCACTGCAAACTCCGCTTCCTAGGTTCAAGCGATTCTTGTGCCTCAGCCTCCCAAGTAGCTGGGATTACAGGTGTGTGCCACCATGCCTGGCTAATTTTCATATTTTTAGTAGAGATGGGGTTTCGCCATGTTGGCCAAGCTGGTCCTGAACTCTTGACCTCAAGTGATCCACATGCCTTGGCCTCCCAAAGTGCTGGGATTACAGGCATGAGCCGCCGTGCCCAGCCCCAATTTATTTTTTATTGTCCGTAGGATCTTAAATCATAAATTTCTCCCACTCTTTTCCCCTTTCACTTCACTATTCAGTCTCCGGACATTTTTATACTCTTCTCAAGAGACAATGCCTTCCTGAGACTGCCACATCGAATCCTGCACACTAAGTCCATTTTTAATATACAGTACTCTGATCCACTCACATTCTTTCACTTTTCATTACTTTTGCACTTAGGATGGCCTTTCTCTTTCTGGGAGTCTCTTTTTAAAAAACTCAATGTTAGGCCCTCCATTTCCCTACTCCCTGCTTTCTTGGACCCACCTTCCTTTCTGCAGAGGTTTACTGTTGAAACTTGAGATAGCTCTGCTGGAATTTGGCTTTTTTGTATTTTTAATTTGAAGTCTGTACTGTTTGTCTTCTAGATATCTCGAAGGCATAGGGTTTTGAGGCTGTATTTATTCTTCTTGTTCATCTGTATGGTTTTTTAAGAGGACATGTGGAAAGATTTGAAGTTAGGTAACTGTCCTTATCTTAGGCTCCCTGTAAGTATTCATCCATCCATTTGGAATTTTTTTTTTTAACCATTCATCCATTGATTTTCCAATTCCCCAAATTGTATCATCTTCTCTCCTGTTTTCTTTGTCCTTATAGGTTTATGCCTTTAAAAAAATCCCTTCATTGGCCAGGCATGGTGGCTCATTCCTGTAATCCCAGCATTTTGGGAGGCCGAAGCAGGCAGATCACCTGAGGCCAGGAGTTCAAGACCAGCCTGGCCAACATGGTGAAACTCTGTCTCTGCTAAAAAAAAAAACCAAAAAACCCCCAAAAAAACAAAAAGTCTGTCCTGCATACACACGGGGTTCACAACCCATGAATACTGTATTTTCTTTTATTTTTGGGGGACAGGGTCTTGCTCTGTCACTTAGGCTGAGTGCAGTGGTGTGATCACACAGCTGGACTTCCTAGGCTTAAGCCTCTCAAGTAGCTGGGACTACAGCTATGCACCACTGTGCCTAGCTAATTTTTGACTTTTTTGTAGAGAAAGAGTCTATGTTTCCCAGGTCAAATACTGTATTTTAGATCTGTATTTGGTTGAAAAAAAATCTGCATATAAGTGGACCTGTACAGTTCAAACCCAAGTTGTTCAAGGATCAACTGTATATGGTAAGAAAATATAAGCTCCAGTATCATTGTGTGAAACAAACAGATTTATTTGATGCTTGGAATGGTGTTATGAACTTGTTTTACAAAAGCAAGGCAGTCTTAATGAAGCACGTAACTAACATGGCTTTGATTGTCCAGTGACTGAGAATCTTACCAGATGAATTAACGCAGGAAGTTTCCAATTCTAATGAAGTGTCTTCAATAAAGTGTAGTATAGTGAATGGATGGTGCTAGTAGGTAAAGGTTCATGTTCATCTCTGTTGTTTTGTTATTCTGGATCTAGAGACAAAAGTACAAACAAGAACCTGGAACAGAGTTTGGCTTCTGTCTTATTATGGATTAGATTCTATTAACCTTGACAAAACCAGAAGGATTAGGTCAACATTTAGATTGTCAAAGTTGACTGGATAAAAGGTTTATTTTATTTTTAGAGACAGAGTCTTGTTCTGTTGCCCAGACTGGAGTACAGTGGTGTGATCATTGTTCACTGCAGCCTCAAACTCCTGGCCTCAAGTGATCCTCCTGCCTTGGCCTCCCAAAGTGCTAGGATTAGAGGCGTGAGCCACCACGACTGGCCCTAGAGATTATAATTATGAAAGAATGTAGGTTTAAAAAATTCAACCTAATATATTATTTGGTTAACTACAAACAGAGATTTATGGCATATAATCATTTGCTAAGGGAAAAACTAAAACAATGTTTGTTTTGAGACAGGGTATTTCTCTGTTACCCAGGTTGGAGTGCAGTGGTGTGATCTTGGCTCAGTGTAGCCTCCACCTGCTGGGCTCAAGCTAGAACTACAGGTGCATGCCACAATGCCTGGCTAATTTTTAAATTTTTTTAGAGACAGGGTCTCTTTATATTGCCCAGACTGGTCTTGAACTCCTGGGCTCAAGCTATTCTCCAGCCTTGGTCTCCCAAAGTGCTATGATTACAGGCATGAGCCACTGTGCCTAGCCTGTAACAATGTTTTTGAGGTAGCTCTAAAGTGAAAGGCAGAATATCTGTTGTTACATATGACAAAAAATAGTCAATTGACATGTATCTTGTGCACACAGGACTACAGAAGAAATTCTGCTCATATGAGAAAGAAACATTGATCAATTTTCTAATTAACAAATACTGTATTCAATCTCTTGTCTACCCAAATAACTTAGCCAAGGATAAGTTCTAATCAGACTCTATGAACTGAGAATTACAAATCAACTGAAGAAAGTAACATCACTTTTTTTATTTGATTCAAACCCATTTTCATATACAAAGCTAATTTATTATGTACAAAATAAATGGACATTCTTAAAAAGTATTAGAATACAAATTTCCAAGGGCCTAAAATAAGTGCAAAATTTTCAATTATCTTTAATCATGCTATACAGAAACAAATCAAGTATTAGCTCATATACACACAATGAATTTTTTAAAAATAGCACTTAATGTAATAAAACAAAACATACATCTTATATATTTAATTTTAAAAGGATGAGGAAGGAAAGAATGTATTGCACCAAACTAACAGTAACTTAACTACAATGAGAATAATCAAAATTATTTATACATCTTTATTAAAAATTGCTCAGCTTTAAAATGTTTTTGGGGGGCATACAAATATCCACTGAGTCACAGTTTGCACAGTCAATAATTAGATATAAATAAGGCATAATATTTTCTTTTTCATGGTCAATTCCAGTAGAATAAGTGAGAAGGAACATTTTAAGATAAATACACAACTTTCTGAATTCCTTCAATATTTAAGTAGCAGCACAATTTCCAAGTACTTTCAAAAAACAAGTCATTCTGAATTTTTAGTTATTACGCTCTGAATTGACTATGTGCATATACATGCATTCAAGTCACTGTCACTCTCTATAACACTGAAATGCTATTGGAGTCCCAGAAAAACTGACAAAAGAGATGAATTAAATATGTTTCATATTTTTATGCCTCAGTAGATTCATTTTTATAGCAATGAATCTGAGAGAAATGGCTATCTAGCCAGATATGATTACTTTTTGCTATATTTTTTGCTCCAAGTCTATAAAAGCAAACAACTGGAGGAATGAAAGCCATACCTGTTAAGAGTTTCTAAATGGAACCAACCAGCCACATAGTTTTCTAAGAAGTTTTCTTATATAAAGCTACTTATAAAATAAGCAGTTTGCCACAAAAAAAGTTTGGTGATGTTCATCAATCACAGTCTTTGAGAGCAGCAAAAAGCAGAATAGGAAAAAAACAGTTTAAAATATAAAAGATCTTTAATAGTAAGATCTACTATAACATGCCATAGTTTTGGAAGAAAAATAGAAATTATTATCATTAAATTGCTAAAAAGTCATCTAAGAAAATCAAAATTCCAAAATTCCAAAAGAATTATTCTTTCCAAAGGAAAAAATAAAGTTATCCTCTTTAATCCCTATATACAAAACAGACGCTGACAGTTTTTCAATTAAGTCTGACTACTGATATCCTACCAGAACCACTTCTTAAAGTGTTTAGTGATTAATATAACTTTCACATTCTGAAGAGTAAAACAATTATGTCGTATACAGACAAGTATCTTTTTCCTTCAAAATAAAGAGAAGCATTTATGAATTTGTAGGTTCATCCCACTAAATTGTAAAACATGTTGCTTAGTGTCAGAATATGTTACCAAAAGAAGACAACCCAAAATAGCATTTTAATGTTGACTAGTACACTGATTACCACAGAATTGCTAGTTTTAATACATCTTAAGTTGAAATATTACCAAAATAAAAATTTTAAAGGTCCAATTGGAATAGGACTTCTTTTAAAAAGTAGCTGAATTGATAAATTTTTAAAAATCCCACCTAAATCCTAATTTTTCTTCATCTTACATTACAATGCTACATTGTAACAGCATTACAAGCCGCTAATCACTCTGTACACTGAAAAATAATTATAAATTAATTTAAATAATGAGACAGCCATTACATAAGTGGAAACACAGACACACATATACCCCTCCACTAACAGTCAAGTTTGAAAAATGAATGGGTAATTTTTTAAATGACAAAATTGTGTTATTACTATTATTGTTATATTTGCAAAATATGTTTCCAAGGAAACATGAAAACCGTACCATGAAAAACAAATATTGAATTAGTAGCTTTCTATTTGTTCTTTTCCTTCTGAATTTTCAGTTCATAAGATTATGGGCATTAAGACAAAGGTAAATATTGTTGAATGTGCCCTTTTACTTATCACTAAAGCCACTGGCTTTACAGGTCCAAATCCTGCAATGTGTTTAGAAATCACTCACGTGTGACAAAGATCAATGAGATAATCACCAAACGAAGGAGATGTGTCTGATGAATTACTATAATCAAATAAGTATCTGATAATACAGCCACTATTAAATGAGATTTTTATACAGAAGAAAATCACGTAACTCCTATAC
Source organism: Homo sapiens (assembly GCF_000001405.40). Classification (NCBI taxonomy): domain Eukaryota; kingdom Metazoa; phylum Chordata; class Mammalia; order Primates; family Hominidae; genus Homo; species Homo sapiens. The sequence continues at coordinate 203,222,986 of NC_000002.12, read as the reverse complement.
TCTAGGATGGCCTTACATTTCTTAACACAGAAAACTGAATTATTTCCTATTTGGAATTAAACATCTTAAATGTTAATGCGTTCTTCTCTGTTATACCTATAAAAAATTAAAGATTATTTCCATACAGAGGCTGTACCTGCAAAAGTCATTGGAAGTAGTAGATAATTTACCCAATGCTTTTTAATTAGGAAAATTCTATTGATTACAAGCTTCAAGGCTCTAAGAGATCTACTTTTATGTTTTAAATTTAGCATGTTAGTCATGTTTTTTTCTTCTTTAAAATGTTGCCTAATTCAAGTTTGCAAAACGTTCACTGAAAGTCACCAGGAACTAATATTAGCAAACAGATGTACTTTTCTGGAGGCAAATATTAGTTATAATTTTCAAATGTGAACAGTCTAAAGAGAGTTCATGATAAAAATAACTCAATTGAAAGGAGATTTTGTTGTTTTTGTGGCAGGCAAAACAAAGATAATAAAGCCATTCCAAGCAAATTTTAGACAAAATGTCCCTCAGGATAATGATTAAGCCTATTTTCAAATAAGTCTGAATATTGGATCTGGTATATAAAGATAAATGGACAAATTTCTATGCAGAAAAATTTTTAGGATATAACATAATAATCCTCAGACATAATTTTTTAATACCAAGAATATCAAGCAAAGAGATTCATGAAGTCCAAAGCAGTGCCTACATATCTGTATATTTATAAACTCCACAGAGAAGTCTGATCTGTAATATCCATTAAGAACCACTGGCCTAGAAACTGCCAGATTTAAATTTAAAAAAATGTATTTTTGGAGACAGGGTCTAACTCTGCCACCTAGGCTGAAGTGCAGTGGTGCAATCACAGCTTACTGCAGCCTTGATCTCTAGGCTCAAGCAAACCCCTTGCCTCAGCCTCCCGAGCAGCTAGGACTACAGGCGCTTGCCAGCACACAAGGCTAATTTTTTAATGTCTTGTAGAGGTGGAGCCCACTATGCTGCCCAGGCTGGTCTTGAGCTCCTAGGCTCCAGTGATCCTCCTGCCTCAGCCTCCTAAAGTGCTGAGATTATAGGCATGAGCCACCATGCTTGGCCTAGATTTAAACTAAAGAAGGCAGGCTGTGGTCCACATTTTAAATCATATTAAAATGATGACTGATAACACTATATTGTTGCCTAAGGTCATCAAGAAAAATACCACATGACTCTGATAAATACAGGAAAACTCTATAGAACAATGCTCTGGATGGAGTCAAGTTTAAAACAAATAATATGTTGAGCATATACAATATACGAATTCAGCAAAAAGAATATTGAGAATGGATTTTGTTAAAGAGTGATGAAAATGTTTAAGATTGCTCACTTATTGGGGAGAAACAGTTTCAGCTGATGAGAGGAACAATGCGTAGGATAAGCCATGAGTATGGCTGATGATGCAAACAAACAAACAAAAAGGAAACAAACAAACATGTTTCATTTCTTATATCCCAGTCAAAAACTGTATCCTAAAGATAGGTTCAAGAACCTGTTTCCAGAAGACAGGTTTAAATATACATATTTGAAAAGACCAATCTTTACACACACATAACCCCAACAGACACCCATATTACATATATTATTTAATAATATAATATTTATATTTAATATAGTCCTAGGACTTGCATCTTTTCAGTGGAAAGGTGGTAAAGATAATGCTACTCATTTTATAAATATATAAAAGGAGCTAACTTCCTTAAGTTCAATTACAAGATTTCCTCAGTGGTCTCTTTAGTAGTAACAATATAAAATATACATAAAGGCAAAGGTCATATCTCTATCATCATTAAATAAAAATCTGGTATCCAAGTTAACAGTTTCCCCTGACCACTCCTTTTCACACAAAATATAAAATGTCTTAAGATTCAACCGTCAAATCTGAATTCTAATTCTGAGAGCCCACTTATTCTTTTCAGAAGCATAAACTTGATTTTCAATACAAGTACTCTGAAGGATAATTTTAATATGCCCTAAATAGAGAAAAAAAAGAAACCTCATTGGTGTTCCTTGCTAATGACAGAATGAACACTTGGTATTTTTTCTTCTACAAAAGGATGCACTGCACTGTGACCTAAACAAAGTTAACAGATTTTAATTTTGTTATTAACTTAATAACAGACGTGAGCTTCACAGGCTAAAAAGAAAGACTAAACCAACTTGCCAAACTTCATTTTTATATACTTTCCTGATTTTTATGCCCTGATCTATTTTTCTTTCTCTCTTACAATTTTATCTGAGTAATGCCAGAATACTGATTGCAAACAGTTGTAAAAAAATTTTATAAAGGTTCTTTATTCTCTAAGCGTGCACAGCTATTACATGTTTTAATACTTGATCTCATTTTCCAAAAGTAAAATAATTATCTTGGTATAAATCTCTTCCTATCACCAGGATGCTGAGATTTTTATTTTTGTCATCACCAGTATCAAGAAACAAAAGCATACAAAAAGTTTTGCAAAGATAACAGACTTTTTTTTTTTTTGAGATGGAGTCTTGCCCTGTTGCCCAGGCTGGAGTGCAGTGGTGCGATTTTGGCTCACTGCAACCTCTGCCTCCTGGGTTCAAGCGATTCTCCTGCCTCAGCCTCCTGAGTAGCTGGGACTACAGGCACCTGCCACCATGCCCAGCAAATTTTTGTATTTTTAGTAGAGACAGGGTTTCACCATGTTGGCCAGGCTGGTCTTGAACTCCTGACCTTGTGATCCGCCCACCTCGGCCTCCCAAAGAGCTGGGATTATAGGCGTGAGCCACCACAATTGGCCAGGTAACAGACTTTGTAAGAGCCAACTTGAGATACTATATTCACCAATTGAAATGTCCACCTGTTATTTCATTCCAATGATACTGTTCATTTCTCCCATTATATAATATATAACTAATTTCTATGGGTAACATCTAAATATACCAGAATTCTCAAAAGTACTTCTTTCCAATTATTTTATCTAGTGATTTTTAATTCAGTAGGCTATACTCTTTAAATGAGTAATATATTATTCACTAATAGTTGTTTGCTTCTTTTAACAGATAAAATTTAAGTTCCATTCTCTAGACTGTTGCTAGTATTCTCAAAGATTTTTCTCTAAATTCCATATTTTTTTTCTTTTCTTTGAGACAAAGTCTCACTCTGTTGCCCAAGCTGGAGTGCAGTAGCGTGATCTCAGGTCACTGCAACCTCCACCTCCCGGGTTTAAGTGATTCTCCTGCGCTGCTCAGCCTCTCAAGTAGCTGGGACTATAGGCATGTGCCACCATGCCCGGCTAATTTTTGTATTTTTAGTAGAGAAAGGGTTTCACTGTGTTGGCCAGGCTGGTCTTGAACTCCTGACCTTGTGATTCGCCTGCCTCAGCCTCCCAAAGTGCTGGGATTACAGGCATGAGCCACCACACCCGGCCCACATTTTTGGTTTTTACTTTTTGGAAAAAGCAATATAAGAAATAATTCCACTACCTTGTACATCTAGTATTAGTCCAGGTAGGATATCTATTTTATTGTGAACAAAACTTATTTGTACTATAAAGTAAAAACTGCTTATTTCTTCCATCTAAAAAGCAGCATAGTAAAACATCATAAACTTAGGCATTTTTTCTAATTATCTAAGTTTTAGAAAACTTATAAGCATCCAAAATAATTTTCAAATCCAGTATTAAGTAATCTTAAAAATGAAGGCATTTTTACATCAAAATCTCTGGATAAATAACAAAATAAAACTTAGTAGGTTTTGATTTAGAAAAAGTTTCTAAAAAAATCAGTATTTTAAAAACTAAAAATCAATCATGTTAGTTCTGCCGACTTGAAATCTCCTAAAAAACTGTAAGATAAAAAAAAAGATAGCCACGGTGGCACCACGGGTGAAGCACTGGATTGAAACCTCCCATCACCCCAAAAAAGAATAAAATAAATGAATAGATGCCAGTCTCATTTATGCATCATAATTATTGCTACTTAACTTGAGACTTTGTTCAATACAAATTCCTGAAGTCTTAAGAAAAGACACCTTGACATTTAAATATGTTCTATTTTACAATTGTTGTACCAGTTTATTTCAGAGTTATTTACCTAAAACATAGCTATTTTTTCCTTAATAAAACAGAGGATTTTTACTTATTGGAAAGAAAATTCTTCTATAGCTTTTTATTAGCCCTGACTCACATCAAATCAAATCTATTCAAAAGTTTCCCTAAACAGAATCCTTTATTTCTTAAAATTTTTTTACTCACTCAAAAGATTATAAAGAAAAGGGCACTGGATACTGTGGTCAACAGGAAAGCGAAATTGCAAAAGAAAAATTTCTCTAAGATTCAACTGAGAAGACAATTGGATTTAAGGACATCTATGATTTGTGGAACAAAAAAGAATACTATTACTGGAAACAGATCCCTTTAAAGAAAGCCATGTAACCATTCCTTCCTGAAAATGCATTTAACATACAAAGTCTCTGCACAATTTCAGAGGGATTCACAAGTTCTCCCAAACACATGAAATCTCAGATTAATAACACTGGTAGTTGTAAAAGCTCTCTGACCTAACTCAAAAGATAATCTTACAAAAAAATCTAAGTTTAACAATGTCTTTGAATTCCAAATTAAATAAATCAGACTTTTACTTTAAGATCTTAATAATCAACCACAACATTTAACACTATATAATAAAATTAGCTATAATCCTAAAACATGAAATAGAAATTTTTAAATTACTATATATAAATGATTATTTTAAGTTATACATATCTTTTCAATTCATTCATCAATCACACAGATATCCTAAGTAAAAATTCAACATATTTGGGTACTACTAACTCTTAATTATTAGAGTAAAACAGTATTTGCTTAGTGAAGAAAGAGTCAAGAAATTCGGAACTTTGCAAATGCAAATTGTGCTGCAAATGCTACTTAAAAGGCCCAACTGTCAAAATCACAATTAGCACTTTTGCTTAATTATATTATTAAGGAAATACATCTGTAAAATGTATCTCTAGTTCCACTTTTTTCTACTCAATTTTTATTAAGGACAGTAATAGATTTCAGTAACTTCTCATTAGAAACACGCTAAGTAGTAATAGAATTAGCTAATGTACCAGTTTCAATATTCTTATTTTATTCTTACCATGCAAACTTGTAACTTTCACCGAGTTTTGAAAATCCAAGTGTGCAACAGATACCTTTAAAATATTATCCCCAATCAGGAGTTCCATAAATAAATTGATATATTTTCATTACAGTGGTCAGTAAATAGGAAAATGATTACTTAAGAATGTATTTAAAGCCATCTCTCTCAACTGTCCCATTATCTGTACTCTTTTATTAGAAAAATCTTAAATTTTATCATTTGGAATAATAAGAAAATTGAACCTAATGTTCTCATTTTAGTTTGTTTTAAAAATGGATACAATGACCTTTAGGAATGGGCCACAAAATCAAATCAAATGTATTTTCTCAAATACATCTTAGTATAGACCAAGAATTAGTTTATATACCACAGCAAATTGTGGTTATCTGTAAATGATTTTCAGGGATAAAAGCCTTGCAACATTGCAGAGAGTTGAGAGATGTGGTTAAAGTGACAAAGCAATAAATCAGGTTTCAGTAATCATAACAGAAAATGGAAATAACAATCACTTGGAATCTTGAGTATTATATTCAGTTTCTCCAGCTGAAATCTGGCTGAGCCGCTTGCTCGATCCCCAAAATTTTCGAGAAAGCTGACCTGAACGCATCTGTGTAAAGTAATCCAAAGAAATGAAGAATAAATATTAAGAAAAAATTAAAAAAAAGATATGTAAGACACTGATTTTGCAGAGTGAAAAGAAACAAATTGTTAGCAGAATTATTAACACTTTAAAGGTTATCAATAATAGAGAAAGACGGCCAGGTGTGGTGACTCATGCCTGTAATCCCAGCACTTTGGTAGGCCGAGGCAGGTAGATCACTTGAGGCCAGGAGTTTGAGACCAGCCTGGCCAAAATGGCAAACTTCCGTCTCTACTGAAGATACAAAAATTAGCCCAACATGGTGGCGCACGCCTGTAATCCCAGCCACTTGGGAGGCTGAGGCATGAGAATTGCTTGAACCTGAGAGGCAGAGGTTGCAGTAAGCCAAGATCGTGCCACTGTCCTCCAGCCTGGGCATCATAGTGAAACTCTCTCTCTCTCATACACACACATATACACACATAATAATAACAATAATAATAATGAAAGACTTTTACACTTATTTTGTCTTTGAGAAAGCTCTAATGTCAGTGTGTACATTTAAACAATTAATGGCCTCGTTATGTCAAAGTTACCAGATTCCTTTATTTTATAAATTATCAAAAATATGTATTATTTCATCAAAATAAGCTTCTCAAAACTATTCTTTTTTAAAATTTTTAATTAATTTTTTATTTGTTTGTAGAGATGAGATCTCACTATATTGCCCAGGCTGGTGAAGTCCTGGGCTCAAGCAATCCTCCCACCTCAGCCTCCCAAAGTGCTGGGATTACAGGTGTGAGCCAACACACCTGGCTCAAAATTATTCTTAATTTTGCTAACAAGACATACAGGTTTGGAGATTTTCTTTTCTAGAATTTGCAGTACTGTTAATGCCAATCATAAGGATAAGAAGAAAGTAAAATAAAGTTTTGATGAAAAGAAAGTAATTTTAAAATATTTTAAGGCTTTCAAAAATAATATTTAACAACAGAATGATAAAAAGTAATGTAGAAAACAAGGAGAGCATAAGCCCCTTGAAGGCAGGAATTGCATTTTGTTCACCATTAAATTTGCATCACCTACCATCCTTCCCAGTGTATAATAAATATTAACCAAATAGTAATTAAATCAGTGAATGAATAAATGTCTTTTAAAAGTGTTTATACATCCAGATGGGGCAAAAATCCCCTATGGTTTGTTGCAATTACTTTCTCAAGTGCAACCTACTTTTTAATGGTGATTCCACCGTTTTTTTTTTTTTTTTTTTAGACAGGGTTTCACTCTGTTGCCCACACTGTAGTGCAGTGGTGCAACCTCAGCTCACTGCAACCTCTGCCTCCTGGGCTCAGGCAATCCTCCCACCGTAGCCTCCTAAGTAGCTGAGACTACAGGAACATACCATCATGCTTAGCTAATTTTTGTATTTTTAGTAGAGACAGGGTTTCGACATGTTGCCCAGGCTGGTCTCAAACTCCTGGCCTCAAGTACTCCACCCACCTCAGCCTCCCAAAGGGCTGAGATTACAGGAGTGAGTCACCATGCCCAGCTTGCCACCTTTTTTAATGGTCACTTTTCTTTTTTTTTTTTTTGAGATGGAGTCTCGCTCTGTTGCCAGGCTGGAAGTGCAGTGGCACGATCTTGGTTCACTGCAACCTGCGCCTCCTGGGTTCAAGCGATTCTCCTGCCTCAGCCTCCCAAGTAGCTGGGACTACAGGCATGCGCCACCACACCCAGCTAATTTGTTGTTCTTGTTGTTGTTGTTGTTTTCTGAGATGGAGTCTTGGTCTGTCACCAGACTGGAGTGCAGTGGCACAATCTCGGCTCACTGCAACCTCCACCTTCCTGGTTCAAGCAATTCTCCTGCCTCAGCCTCCACCTCCAGAGTAGCTGGGACTACAGGCACGTGCCACCAGGCCCAGCTAATTTTTTTTTGTATTTTTAGTAGAGACGAGGTTTCACCATGTTGGCCAGGATGGTCTTGATCTCTTGACCTCGTGATCCGCCCACCTCGGCCTCCCAAAGTGCTGGGACTACAGGTGTGAGCACTGCACCTGGCCCACACCCGGCTAATTTTTGTATTTTTAGTAGAGACGGGGTTTCACCATGTTGGCTGAGATGGCCTGGATGTCTTGACCTCATGATCCGCCCGCCTTGGCCTTCCAAAGTGCTGGGATTACAGGTGTGAGCCACCGCACCAGGCCTAATGGTTGCTTTTCCAGGGTATATTTATTGGAGTGATAAAAGATAAGCCTCATACAAAGTACTAGAGGCTTTGGCATGCTTCTTTTGCCAAATACATTTGCAGATGTATTTTCTGAAGCACTACTACCTTACCATCTGATTTTTACATATGATTTTCACTCTAATAGAATAATATATAAACTGGTACATGATTAAAAAATACATATTAATCAAGATTTTGATGTTTTAGATAAAAATAGATCTTGAAATAGAAATATCTTTTTGTAACTAAATATGGATCTAGTTCATATTCTAAACTGTAGTACAGAGTCTTGCTCTGTCACCCAGGCTGGAGTGCAGCAGCACGATATCCGCTCACTGCAACCTCCAATTCCCAGGTTCAAGTGATTCTTTTGCCTCAGCCTCCCGAGTAGCTGGGATTACTGGCATATGCCACCACACCCGGCTAATTTTTGTATTTTTAGTAGAGATGGGGTTTCACCACGTTGGCCAGGCTGGTCTCGAACTCCTGACCTCAAGTGATCCGCTCGTCTCGGTCCCCCAAAGTGCAGGGATTACAGGCGTGAGCCACCATGCCCAGCCATAATAACATTAATTTAATGACACTTTTTTTTTGGTAAAATAATATGCTGAAAAAAAGCATAAGGACTAAAGAAGTTTCAAATATTTATAAAACAGGTTTTTACGATCTTTAACAGGTTATTATAGCCACTGACTGTGTGACGGTAATTTCTTCCCTTGAAATAACCCCGACAGATCCCATATTGTTAGATTTCTCAGAAAATACCAACAGTGACTTAAAAAAATTTATAATGCTTAATTTAACTATGTAATAACACAAATTATTTGGAAGAATCAGTAAGTTACTGGAGTATAACTACAAAGTTTTCCTAAGAGTGAGAGTTAGATTTATGATATCTGAATATTCAATAATTGATAAATCATTAGCAAGTAAATTTAACTATAGGAAACTCACTGAGAATAAGCACACTAAATGGGGATATTTGTAGTTACAAATAAAAAATGATGCTTTTACAAAAGAACAACTGACAAATAGTTATGATGAGTATTTGTTAAAACTAAAGTAGTTTTATTGTTTGAGCCTATATTTTATTCTTTTGCAAAGGCTCTTATGTATTGAAAATCTAAGTTGTGGTCTTGAATCTAGATTTGGAAGAAATGAACTGTCTTATTCCTATAGAGTGGTAGATAGAATTGCCAAAGGTGGGCTTTCAATAATAACATAAACATGATTCTTGAATAACAGCTTTATCCTGTTTTTATTTACTGCCTTTTGAAAAATCAAATTTGGCTTTTAATTTGTTTATCCCTAATGGTGACTTCTCAATCAGTTGGAATGAAGGAGAACCAAAGTAATCCCCAACAGCATGAGAAATGAAATTACTGATGCTAGGTTTTACCTCAGCAGGCTTGCCAACACCCACTACAATCAATTTGCCATCTTCTAAACCTACAAGAATATGGCTGTATTCTTTGGTGACACAAACACAATGGATAGGCAGTCGCATGGCTAATGGGTTGATGCTGAGATTCAAGCTAGAAAAGAAATAAAAAATACAGACATAATTACACGGATTTATAATGAATTCACAGAATTTTATATCTGGAAAATAAATTAATGCTCATCTAGTTCTGCATTCTAATTTTACAGATGTGGGAACTTGTGTCCAGAAAGTCTAAGTGACTCACACAAGGGCCTGTATTTACAGCATTAGTTAAGATACTTGATAGATTTTTTTCTCTATTTTTGACATCTATTTTTCTTCTAACCATATATAATCAAACAAAATATTAATAAAGCAACCATGAAGCTAAAATATAAGAATTTTGACTTCCTAGAGAATCTTACTCTTTTTTCAATTTTCCAACCCATTCTATTATTACTTCAGTTTTTACATCTTATTATTACATTCATCATTTATCTAAGGTAAATAGTCTTTACGTTCCCTTTAGAGAGATTAGAGGGAAGGTGAGAGACAAAGTAAGGAACACAACAGTTAGACAGGATTCTATATGGATACTAACTAGATTTTTATCCTTAGTGTTCTTCCTAAAACAGATAGAAATAAAGTTCCTATACTAGTCACCGTTCTCTGAGCCTCAGACTCTCAGTGGGCATTTGTTCTAGTCTTGCTCTGATCTTATCCCTGAAATGCAGCACAGTACACACCATGTTCATTGCTGTTCCTACGTCTTTGTGCTTTATTTCCTCACATATTGCCTACCTCCATCTCCAAAAGAAGGCCCTCCCTGTCTTGTCATGTCCATTTAATTCCTACTAATCCTTCATCAAGACTCCTCTGACTACTCAGATCCGTGCTAATCCTTAATGTCTTTAAAACTCATCTTGCACATGTAACTGGAATCATATAATTTAGCTCTTAAACTGTTCACAACAGTACACAAATATTGATATTTCCCCAACTAGTCTTTTTTTTTTTTTTTTTGAGATGGAGTCTCGCTCTGTCACCCAGGCTGGAGTGCAGTGGTGCGATCTCAGTCACTGCAACCTCTGCCTCCTGAGTTCAAGTGATTCTCCTGCCTCAGGCTCCTGAGTATCTGGGGACTACAGGTGCCCGCCACCACACCCGGCTAATTTTTGTACTTTTAGTAGAGATGGGGTTTCACTATGTTGGCCAGGCTGGTCTTGAACTCCTGACCTCAAATGATCCAGCTACCTCAGCCTCCCAAAGTGCTGGGATTACAGGTGTGAGCCACCACACCCAGCTTCCAACTAGTCTTAAACCCCTTAAAAACCATTATTATGAGTAAGCATCACAGTATTGAGCACCTAGGCCCTCTCATTACATGCTTTTTGCCTTGTTGATTCATAAGTGAGTGGTGGGTAAGAAGCCCAGAAATCTCGGGCCAGGTGCAGTGGCTCATGCCTGTAATCCCAGCACTTTGGGAAGGCTGAGGTGGGTGGATCACTTGAGGTCAGAAATTTGAGACCAGCCTGGCCAACATGGTGGAACCTCATCTCTACTAAAAATACAAAAATTAGCTGGGCACGATGGCACGCACCTATATTCCCAGCTGACGTGGAGGGTGAGGCAGGAGAATCGCTTGAACCTGGAGGCAGAGGCTGCAGTGAGCCAATATCATGCCACTGCACTCCAGCCTGGGTGACAGAGCAAGACTAGGTCTCAAAAAAGAAAACAAAACAAAAACACGTATCCACTACTCCAGTATCTCTCTCCTTCACTAGATTAAATGACAACAGATCCCCATAACAATTTTATACACACACATGCTTAAATATGTTAAATATACTCTACTTTATTTTACCACAGTTAAGAAAAACTTTATAAAAATTCAAACCATCATTTGGACAAATTTCCAAATCCATAATACAGACTTGGTACTATGAACATTTTTTTCTAGCTCTACATATTTAAAACATTTCTTTTGAGACAGGGTCTTGCTGTGTTGTCCAGGCTACAGTGCAGTTGTATGATCATAGCTTACTGTAGCCTTGACCTGGGCTCAAGCAATCCTCCCACCTCAGCCTCCCAAGTAGCTGGGAACACAGGAACATGCTACCATGCTCAGCTAATTTTTAAAGTTTTTATTTTTAGTAGAGATGAGGTCTTGCTATGTGCCCAGGTTGGTCTTAAACTCCTGGGCTCAAGCATTCCTCCCTCTTTGACCTCCCAAAGTGCTGGGATTACAGGCAGGAGTGACTATGTCCAGCCTAAAAAATTTTTTAATTGCGGTAAAATATATATAATGTAAAATTTTCTACATATTAAAAAATGTATATATATATTTCCTTTATGAATCTAGGAATACTTTAGCTCCTCCAATTTTTTATACTTGCTAAAAGAGAAACTTTTATAATCAATGATAAACCAAAAGATTAAAAATCTTAGATTCCTGATTTTCACTCTAGACTAGAAGTACTGCCCCTTTTCTTAAGTGATACTTCATTAGTTTTTATTATTTACCTGTGGAGATCTCTTATAGACAGGAATCCTTGTATGCTGCCTGTGACAATGTGTTCTCCGATTATACATATATCTGATACTTGTTCCTTCAGGATTTGAGACCCTAGATACTTGCCATTTATAGAAAACAGATGTAATGCATTCTTATCCTGAAAAGAATTAAGGAAAATTCAACAATTTCAAATAAAAACTGAGTTTTTATATAACCAGTTAAAACTCTGACTATAACAGAATAATTATTTGGCTTAACATTTTAGGATAAAAATATGGCTATATTTAAAGACCAAGTGTGTAGACAATATTATTAAAGTGATTTCAAATCAGATTGCCAAGTAAATATTAAACGAGAAATCTCACTCTCTCCAAAGAAGAATTAAAATCTCATTCAGCCCTCCCCAAAACTCTACATTCTTAAAACAAAAGAAAAAAATTCTTTTTCTTTTGAGATGGAGCCTCGTTCTGTCACCCAGGCTGGAGTGCAGTGGCACAATCTTGGCTCACTGAAAGCTCTGCCTCCCAGGTTCACACCATTCTCCTGCCTCAGCCTCCCAAGTAGCTGGGACTACAGGTGCCCAACACCACGCCCAGCTAATCTTTTTTTGCATTTTTAGTAGAGACGGGGTTTCACTGTGTTAGTTAGGATGGTCTCGATCTCCTGACCTTGTGATCCGCCCACCTCGGCCTCCCAAAGTGCTGGCATTACAGGCGTGAGCCACTGCGCCCAGACTTTTTTTTTTTTTTTTTGAGGCCATGTCTCGCTCTATTGTCCAGGCTGGAGTGCAGTGGCATAATCTTGGCTCACTGCAACGTCTGCCTCCTGGGTTCAAGCAATTCTCCTGTCTCAGCCTCCCTAGTAGCTGGGACTACAGGCATGCACCACCATGCCCGGCTAATTTTTGTATTTTTAGTAGAGATGGGGTTTCACCATGTTGGCCAGGCTGGTCTGGAACTCCTGACCTCAGGTGATCCACCCACCTCAGCCTCCCAAAGTGCTGGGATTACAGGAGTGAGCCACCACTCGCGGCCCCCCAAAACTCTTAATATTGAAAAAGCTTAGGCTGGGCATGGTGGCTCATGTCTGTAATCCCAGTGCTTTGGGAGTCCAAAGCAGGAGGATCGCTTGAGCCCAGGGGTTTGAGACCAGCCTAGGCAACGTAGGGAGACCTCGTCTCTAACAAAAATTAAAAAAAACTAGCCAGGTGTGGTGGCACATGCCAGTAGTCCCAGCTACTGAGGGGGCTGAGGCAGAAGTATCACATAAGCCCAGGAGTTTGAGGCCAAAGTGAGCTATAATTGTATCACTGATTGCGCCACTGCACTCCAGCTTGGACAACAGAGTGAGACTGTCTCAGAAAAAAATACACACACACACACACACACACACACACACACATATTAATTAAATAAATAGTGATGTCACTGACAGGAAACAAACATAAAATTGAGGGCTTGTTTATTTATACCCTGCCTTATGCAAAAGGAATTTCAGTTGGCTATCATTTCCAGTTTCCACTTAAGCTTAAAAAATCCTACATAAGCAGAAATTATTTTGAAATCATATATTACACAAGTCAATAGAAATCTCAATAATAAAATACTAATGTGAGGCTACGATTGTGGTAGAAGGCCATCTAATGTTAAGAAACGAACAACTGAATGATGAAAGAAAAACATCATCTTTAAAATATGGTGTTCTTTCCTTCTTCAATAAACCTCATCTATAATGTGGGGAGGGAAAGATATGCTATTGGGAGTCTACCTCTATTGCATGAAAGGTCATATACCTTGAGGGTGGTCTTTTCTTCAGTGCTGGAGTAGACAACAATATGTCCTTCCCAAGATATAGCCAAATTAGGAATGGTCAGGAACAGAGAACTCTCACAAGGTGGTCGTAAAGTCCTCATGTACTGACCTTTCTGAATGGTATGTATAATCACCGTTCCATCCTACACACAGGATATATCAGAAAATGAAAAAGACAAAGGAAAAGAACAGCAAAAAAGAATAAAAGTAGAGTGGGCCAGATAAAGAAATGTGGGAAAGGAACCAAGAAAATGATTATTCCATCAAGGATACATGCACCTTAGGAAAAATTCCAACTTCGAAATTTCAAATAGTATTTTATTTCCTAGAATGTCCTCTTCCCTTAAATAATAAAACGAATAAAATCCCAAAATGGCATTCAGTGATTTCTTTATTTTGCAAAGTCTATTCTACTTTTGCAAAGTCCTATACAAGTATGGTATAACATTTCTATACTCTTATCAATTCCTCTGAAAAACTTTTTAGTTATAAGTGTTGGTAATAAATTTGTAGACAAAATAAATAGTATTTCTTAAAGGTGAAATCTTACCCTTGATCCTGACACTGCCATGTCTAGCTCAGTGCTGATGCCGACACTCAGTACCTCGTTGGTGTGTCCATAAAGAATCTGAAAAGGTTTAGATGCTAAGCCCACAGGAACACCTCCCTAATAATACAAGAGAAAAGCAAAGGTAAAGGTGGTTTCTTGTTTCCTGTTTTTCACAAGGTTTATATTGCATTTAAACCTTCTAATCACAAACTAACATTGCAACTAGTTACAACCACTGAGTCTATTCATAATAGTACTCATTCTTACATTTCTACTTGGATTTCTGAATTATTCTCCATCTCAAAAACTTAACTAAGCTCAAAACCTTAACATAAATTTTTGCAATGTTGACAGTCTTGGGTTAATTTTTCCAAGTATGTTATTTCCCCTTTTAATCTACAGATTTATTATTCCTTAACTTCAAATAAACTTTTTGTGTTATATTTCTGAATAACCTTATTTTTTTGAGACAGGGTCTCTCATTCTGTTGCCCAGGCTGGAGTGCGGTGGCATGAACATGGCTCACTGTAGCCTCGACCTCCTGGACTCACGTAATCCTCCCACCTTAGCCTCCCTGAGTAGCTGGGACCACAGGCATGTACCACCATGCCTGGCTAATTTTTAACATTTTTTTGTAGAGATGAGGGTCTTGCCATGTTGCCCAGGCTGGTCTTGAACTCTGGGACTCAGGTAATCCTTCCGCCTCAGCCTTCCAAAGTGCTGGGATTATAGGTATTGGCCACCATGTCCGGCTGAATAATTTTTCCATTTATTGGGATCGCTGCTTCAGGGACATCAATTATCTTTATGCTGACTGTCTTTGATTTTTAGTTATCATTCTTTCTCTAACTGCTTTAAAGTCACCTTTTTATTGGCATTCACTTTGATTACATCTTTTTTTCCAGGCCACTAATTTGATTTGCAGCCACATCAAATCTCTTTCTTGTAGTTTCTTTGCAGAGGACCCTGCGGCCTTCCGCAGTGTTTGTGTCCCTGGGTACTTGAGATTAGGGAGTGGTGATGACTCTTAACGAGCATGCTGCCTTCAAGCATCTGTTTAACAAAGCACATCTTGCACCGCCCTTAATCCATTTAACCCTGAGTGGACACAGCGCATGTTTCAGAGAGCACAGGGTTGGGGGTAAGGTCACAGATCAACAGGATCCCAAGGCAGAAGAATTTTTCTTAGTACAGAACAAAATGAAAAGTCTCCCATGTCTACCTCTTTCTAACACAGACACGGCAACCATCCGATTTCTCAATCTTTTCCCCACCTTTCCCCCCTTTCTATTCCACAAAACCGCCATTGTCATCATGGCCCGTTCTCAATGAGCTGTTGGGCACACCTCCCAGACGGGGTGGTGGCCGGGCAGAGGGGCTCCTCACTTCCCAGTAGGGGCGGCCGGGCAGAGGCGCCCCTCACCTCCCGGAGGGGGCGGCTGGCCGGGCGGGGGGCTGACCCCCCCACCTCCCTCCTGGACGGGGTGGCTGCCGGGCGGAGATGCTCTTCACTTCCCAGATGGGGTGGCTGCCAGGCGGAGGGGCTCCTCACTTCTCAGACGGGGCGGCTGCCGGGCGGAGGGGCTCCTCACTTCTCAGACAGGGCGGTTGCCAGGCAGAGGGTCTCCTCACTTCTCAGACGGGGCGGCCGGGCAGAGACGCTCCTCACATCCCGGACGGGGCGACAGGGCAGAGGCGCTCCCCACATCTCAGATGATGGGCGGCCGGACAGAGACGCTCCTCACTTCCTAGATGGGATGGCGGCCGGGAAGAGGCGCTCCTCACTTCCTAGTTGGGATGGCGGCCGGGCAGAGACGCTCCTCACTTTCCAGACTGGGCAGCCAGGCAGAAGGGCTCCTCACATCCTAGATGATGGGCGGCCAGGCAGAGACCCTCCTCACTTCCCAGACGGGGTGGCGGCCGGGCAGAGGCTGCAATCTCGGCACTTTGGGAGGCCAAGGCAGGCTGCTGGGAGGTGGATGTTGTACCGAGCCGAGATCATGCCACTGCACTCCAGCCTGGGCACCATTGAGCACTGAGTGAAGGAGACTCCGTCTGCAATCCCGGCACCTCGGGAGGCCGAGGCTGGCGGATCACTCGCGGTCAGGAGCTGGAGACCAGCCCGGCCAACACAGCGAAACCCCGTGTTCTCCACCCAAAAAATACGAAAACCAGTCAGGCGTGGCGGCGCGCGCCTGCAATTGCAGGCACTCGGCAGGCTGAGGCAGGAGAATCAGGCAGGGAGGTTGCAGTGAGCTGAGATGGCAGCAGTACAGTCCAGCTTTGGCTCGGCATCAGAGGAAGACGGTGGAAAGAGGGGAGAGGGAGAGAGGGAGAGGGAAAGGGACAGAGGGAGAGAGGGAGAGGGAGAGGGAGAGACATGCTTTCTTTCTTGTAGTTTCTGCTTCAGGTTTATTTGTGTTTGTAATGGTATTTTTAAATATGTCTTGGCTGCAGCCCTTTGAAAAAACATTTGTGGTACACAGTAGGTATATATATTTATGGAGTATGTAATGGTACTGGTTTTAATCTCAACTTGATTCTTCTGCAACCTTCGTTTTCTTCTTATAATGCTATTTTATCATTTCATGTTTGATCTTCCATTTTATTGAACTGCCATTCTTATGTTTTCCTAATAACACAATTGTATTGCAAAAAATTGCTCTCTGAGTCATCTTCCAGAAGACTCTTTCTTCATGTCTTTAGCGTGCTTTGTCTTTAGCATACACATAGTTGTATGTTATTTGTTTTATTTGAATAGTTGCTATTTGTATTTGTGATTATCCTAGACAACTCTGCCCACACCTTCCACCTGTTCCATGTGGTGTGCATTAATTCCCCTTGACACTCTGCTACCTGTGACAAATTTGTCTTTCCCTGTGAGTATCAGTCTGAGTGCGTAGTGCACTATATTTAACTTTTAAAACTCAGGTAATTCCTATATTATGGAAGCAATTCCAAGTCAAGAGAAAGAGGAGCCCTTCCTAAATTTATTTGGTAAAGATTGCATATCCCCATACTAAACATGATAAAGACAGAACAAAAAGATCTATCTTACTTAAGAGTAGAGAAATCATTAAAGTACTAGCTAATAAGATACATCAGTAAAGTGTAATAACAATATACCATAAACTATGTGGGTTTATTATAAAAATTCAAGGATGGTGCAAACCTAGGAAAGTTCTCAACATAATACATTACATCAAGAAAAAGAGAAAAATTACAAATAAGATAAACTGGGAAAAACAGCTGTAAAGAACATTATTGGAAATACAAAATTAGAACATGGACTGTGGATTAGCTAATGGTATTGTATAAATGTTAAGCATTCTGATTTTGGTAACTTCACTGGGTTTATGTACAAGATTGTCTTTGTTCTCAGAAAATACACACTGACCTATTTAGGGGTAAAGGAACATGATATCTCAAACTTTTAAATGGTTAAAAAAAATAAGATGCTGTAAGAGGGAGATACTAAAAGAGACTGCTAAGACACATGATACAAAATATACTATTTTTGCAAATTTTTTACAAGTTTGAAATTTCATTAAAACTATAAAGTTACCAAAAGAAAAAAATAATAGAAGTAAGCTAAATACTTAAATGTGAAAAACACAACTAGTGAAACCTAACAGCAAACACTATACTAAATGGTAACATTGGGAAGACATTTTCATCAAAATTAGATATAAGGCGGGGATGCTCACTATAATTTTGCTTACCTTATTGTATTAGCTAATAATATAAGAAAATGAAATAATTAGTATATTAGAAAAGATAAAGCAAATTACTTTTATTTTCAGATCACATGATTGTATTATCTACCTTATTTTCAGAAAATCCAAGAAATACTAATAACCATGAGAGTTGATAAGAGGATTTGGCAAAGTAATTCGATATAATTGTACAGAAATCAGTCAAATCACTATATAGCTTTTCTTTATATTAACAATAATCAGACACAAAAATGATTTTTAAAACCCCACTAAAAATAGTAATAAAAAACATGATAATTTGAAGTAAGTATCACAAGGTATCAGATCTAAATGAAAAAGAAAGAAATTTTATCAAAGGACATAAAAAGGACCTGAAACAAACATGAAAAGACACTTCCTATTTCTGTAAATAAATAACTATAAAAATATGCCAAATTATTGGGAGGCCAAGGTGGGCAGAACGCTTGAGCCTAGGAGTTCGAGACCAGCCTGGGTAACATGGCAGAGACAATCATTTTCTCTCTACTAAAAACACAAAAACTAGCCAGGCGTGGTGGTGCATGCCTGGAGTCCCAGCTACTTGGGAGGTTGAGAAGCAAGGATTGCTTGAGCCTGGGAGGTCAAGGCTGCAGTGAGCCATGATTGTGCCACTGCCACTGCACTCCAGCATGGACGACAGACTGAGACCCTGCCTCAAAAAAAAAAAAAAAAAACCAAAAAACCCCCAAACCAAATTAACATATAAATTAAATACAATTTCAGTAAGACTAAAATGGAGTTGTTTTTTTTTTTTAAAAAAAAGAGGGTATGGGGCCGGGTGCGGTGGCTCACACCTGTAATCCCAGCACTTTGGGAGGCCAAGGCAGGCAGATCACGAGGTCAAGAGTTCGAGACCGTCCTGGAGAAGATGGTGAAACCCCGTCTCTACTAAAAATACAAAAATTAGTTGGGCATGGTGGCACGCGCTTGTAGTCCCAGCTACTCAGGAGACTGAGGCAGGAGAATCACTTGAACCCAGGAGGTGGAGGTTGCAGTGAGCCAAGCTTGCGCCACTGCACTCTAGCTGGGCTCAGGACAGAGCAAGACTCCATCTCAAAAAAACAAAAAATAACAAAAAAAACACAAAAAACAAAAGAGGGTATGGCTAAAACATAAGTTCATATGTAAGAATAAATACCTATATAAGACTATCTGAGAACATTACACTTTAAGTGTAATGCTTCCTATTCAGAAGTAAACAAAGCCTTATCCAATGTAGATAAATAAATTACCAAGAAATTAAAGATTGTAATATAAGAAAACAAAAAAAATTAGAAGAAAACAATTTTTTTTGAGATAGGATCTTGCTCAGTCACCCGGGCTGGAGTGCAGTGGCAGAATCTCAGCTCATTGCAGCCTCTGCTTCCCTGGCTCAAGCAATCCTTCCACCTCAGCCTCCCACCAGGACCACAAGCATGTCCCACGCTCAGCTGGGTTTTTTAAATGGAAGAAAATTTCTAGATACTTTTTATAAATTTGGAGTGGGAGAAAGCCTGTTAAGACAATGCAGAAAACACAGAAGCTGACCGGGCACAGTGGCTCATACCTATAATCCCAGCACTTTGGGAGGCCAAGGCAGGTGGATCACTGAAGGTCAGGAGTTCAAGACCAGCCTGGCCAACATGGCGAAACCCCATTTCTGCTAAAAATACAAAAATACAAAAAATACAAAAAATACAATAAAAAAAAAATAGCCAGGCATGGTGGCACGTGCCTGTAATCCCAGTTACATGGGAGGCTGAGGCAGGAGAATCGCTTGAACCCGGGAGGCGGAGGTTGCAGTGAGCCGAGATCATGCCATCTCAAAAAAAAAAGAAAAGAAAACAGAAGCTATTCAATAAAAATGATACTTCCTGGACCAATATTATTATGAGAATGCAATCAGGTTGATGAAAACTATAAATCTATCATTTCTAGTAGTCCCACAAGAAAGAAAGCAGAAATGTTACTATGCTAAAAGACAATAAAATAATTCCCGTTTTCCTAGGAAAGGTAAGAAGGAAGAATCTTTGGAAAGCAATAGGGAATAAGGTAATGAATCAGACAGTAAACCTAGGAAAAAATGTGGTGATTTGAACAGGACAAAATGTGGGTAAAAAGAATACAAAGGAGCTCAGTCACTGCCAGAAAACAATTCGATGTCCTAGTAGAACATTTTGC
The DNA here is from genome assembly GCF_000001405.40 of Homo sapiens. Lineage (NCBI taxonomy): Eukaryota > Metazoa > Chordata > Mammalia > Primates > Hominidae > Homo > Homo sapiens. The sequence goes on along the minus strand of NC_000002.12, from coordinate 203,202,838 downwards.
TAGTATTCTCAGGGTGAATCTCTGACCTAATTCAAGAACATTTAAATGTGTGACTACCTGTTGTGTTATTTGCCATATCATACATGTAGTATCTCTGGAACCAGAAATCAAATGTATTCCACAGTAATCTGTAGCTAAGCAAGTCACAATATCTGTAAGAAAAGGAATTAAATAAAATGAGATGCCTCGTTTTGCTAAAATAGAACTTTAAGAGCAATTTTTGTTAATGTTCAAACTATTCCTAAATCAGTTATGCCAACAGGGAGGAATGTAGACATGGTACTGGAAAAGCATTGGGGAAGAGAGACACAGGAAAGCAGCAGTGTCAAAATCACCTCGGAGAGCTTTCTTTGAAATCCCCCTTCTCTGAGCATGAGAAGTCGACATGCAGTGTGGGGAATGACTACCACAATCTTGGGAGGAGGTTAGATAGTTTGAGATAGATCCCCAGTTAATTTTCATATGCTACTTTGCTTTCTCATCCCCATTCACCTTCTACTCCCATTGGGAATTGTAATCCTATAGAATATATGTCCTTAGAAAAACTGCACATACTATACTATAAATTCACAATACAAATATATTTTTCCTAAACTGCAGACGTAAGTGTTATCTTAGGATTGACTGGTACAGAATTAGCAGCAGACTCCATTTTCCTTCCCTAACAGGTTTATTAGAAAAAAACCTACTCAATGTTTTATTCTTATATTGAAGACTAATACACTAAGAAGTAGCAAGTTAAAACTACATTCAACAATTTCATCACTCTCATGTTTAACTGTTAACAAAGTAATAGAGCAGTTGATGTCTTATCTAATGACAGCAGATTTTATTACCATTTTGTCTTAAAATTCTTACTTTTATCATTCATTAAAAAAAAACAACTTAGCCTAACATTTTCCAGATACTATGAAGATGTATTTAATTTATGTGGTGCTTTATTATACCCAAAATACATGAGACACTCCTATAGAAAGTATATATTTATAATCCTACACAATAAAAAAGTTCACTCAGCTTCAAAGGTAAAATTTAATGCTCTTTACAAAGAGCACGTACTACTTTTATACTTAAGAAAAAAAGAAAATTTTTGAGCATTTTTGGAAAAAAAGCTAATGCTTACCCATATGCCGGATGATGTGTGAGATAATTTTGCCTTTTGTAAGTGACATCACTTGAATGCTATTATCCCAGTATCCAGCACTGAAGAGCAACTTTGCATCATGTGATACTACAAATAGCTTAGAAGTGATCTCTAGCCCGGGAGCAAAAGAACCATTTATACTGCGCTGAGTTCTGTAAACACAATTAAATATCAGACTTTTCCTTACAAGATCACGTATACTGATGTGAACTATTCTTTTTAAACCTCTCTAAAAAAGAAATAAAAAATTAGTCCCAAATGTCCTATTTGAAATGTCTATTAATAAACGATAGACTTTCAGAAAACATGTTATCTCACTGTAATATTTTTCATAAATTAAGAATATACATAACAATCTCAAGTGGTAAACAAAAAAAGGTGAAATCAGTGAAGGTGTGAAGAAAGCTTAAATCTTGGATTTCAAAGACAATTTAATAAAATTGGCAATTTTGTAAATGACAGCCTTAAAGTTTAAAGACAAGACAGGATATGCCAGGACCAGGAATATCAGAAATAAACTTAAACCAGGGATGTCCTACACAAGGTGATGCATAGGAGATAAATCAGGCAGATAAGTGTGTATCTAACAACACTTATGATGACTGTTCTCCATTTGAACCAAAGCAAGCATGCTGGTTTTATCAGCTTCCAAGTGCAATACCTGTGAGCTTAGCCAATCCAGATTCTGCAGAAAGACAAGTGATTGCAACTCAGTGTGTATATAGAAAATGAGGGCTAATTCTCATACTCTAGCTATAAAACTTTATTGTTCAATATTAATTTGCTGAGAATATGCTTCTTGCAAAACATAACAGTACTATGTGGGATAAGAAAGGAAAAAAAACATTTTCCTTAATCTCATGAAGTTGTATTCTAGTTGAGGAAGACAAAGATACAGTGATAACAATTATATCATTTTAAATAGTTTTCAAATATATGGTGTAATTTGATCCTCAACATGGAGTGTGATTTTTGAATTTTATTTTAATTTTAGTTTTTTTGAGGTGGAGTCTTGCTCTGTCGTCCAGGCTGAAGTGCAGTGGCGCAATCTCGGCTCACTGCAACCTCTGTCTCCTGGGTTCAAGCGATTCTCCTGCCTCAGCCCCCCGAGTAGCTTGGATTACAGGTTCCCACTACCATGCCTGGCTAATTTTTGTATTTTTATTTTTATTTTATTTTTTTGAGTTGGAGTCTTGCTCTGTTGCCCAGGCTGGAGTGCAGTGGCGTTATCTCGGCTCACTGCAAGCTCTGCCTCCCAGGTTCACACCATTCTCCTGCCTCAGCCTCCCTAGTAGCTGGGACTACAGGCGCCTGCCACCATGCCTGGCTAATTTTTTTGTATTTTTAGTAGAGATGGGGTTTCACTGTGTTAGCCAAGATGGTCTCGATCTCCTGACCTCGTGATCCGCCTGCCTCTGCCTCCCAAAGTGCTGGGATTACAGGTGTGAGCCACCACACCCGGCCAATTTTTGTATTTTTAGTAGAGACGGGGTTTTGCCATGTTGGCCAGGCTGGTCTTGAACTTCTGACCTCAGGTGGTCCGCCTGCCTCAGCTTCCCAAGTTTTGGGATTACAGGCGTGAGCCATTGTGCCCAGCCATGAATGTGATTTAACTAGAAAAAAATATAAGCAAACAAACAGGACAATTCAGTGTAAGGGAAACACCACTTTAAGTGAGAACATAACTTTTGGAGATTAAAATACATAGGTCTTATTTTTACATAATAAAGTAGAATAAAATTACAAGGAAGTCTATTATTCCTAATGTAATTGTATTTCTATAACTCATATTATGGAAACTAAGTTTTGTATTTAAACCAATATAAATTCAGGACATAACTTAAAAATAAGGGAAGGTTGGGGAGGGAATGGAGGGAGGAAGGAGGGAAGAAGAGATAATCTGGATCTCAAAACATTACTTTCAGGGCCAGGCGGCCTATAATCCCAGCACTTGGGGAGGCTGAGGTGGGCGGATCACTTGAGGTCAAGGGTTTGAGACCAGCCTGGCCAACATGGTGAAACTCAATTTCTACTAACAACAAAAATTAGCCAGATAATCCCTTGAGCTCGGGAGGCAGAGGTTTCAGTGAGTGGGGATTGCGCCACTGCACCGCAGAGCAAGACTCTGTCTCAAAAAAAAAAAAAAAAAATATTTCTTTCAGAATAAATGAATCAATTAATCTAGTTTTTTTCCTGGCAATAAGGTATCTGGTATAGCTATTTTGCTTTACATATTCATTTACTTACTTTGGATTTGTCACAGTTTGATCCTTGATGAATGTAAAGTAATTAGAAATGTTTCTGTCATAAGGCAACCATCCATGGGTTCCAATAACATAATTCATGCTTATTGTTATCTGGAAAAGAACATATGAAGACTCAAATTAAATGAAATATTAAGGAAAGCAGCCCAGAATAACCAGATGCTCACATGACATTGGCATTTATCACTTAGGGAACACTGTGAGACTGTGTACTTCAAACCTGAAACTCATTAAGCACATCTTAAGATAACTCAAACAGAAAAAGCTCTTTTTTTATCTTTTATTTTTGGAGCCAGGGTTTCACTCTGTTGCCCAGGCTGGAGCACAGTGACATGATCTCAGCTCATTGCAACCTTCAGGCATGCGCCACCATGCCTGGCTAATTTTTGTATTCTTTGTATTTTTTGTAGAGACATGGTTTCACCATGTTGCCCAAGCTAGTCTCCAACTCCCGGGCTTAAGTGAGCCTCCCACCTCGGCCTCCCAAAGCATTAGGATGACAGGCGTGAGTCACCACACCTGGCCTTGTTTATCTTATTGTAAGAAAACTTGTCCAATTTTTTTTTTTTTTTTTGAGATAGAGTCTTGCTCTGTCACCCAGGCTGGAGTGCAGTGGCATGATCTCAGCTCACTACAACCTCCCGGGCGCAAGCAATCCTCTGACCTCAGCCTCTTGAGTAGCTGGGACCACAAGCATGCACCACCATGCCTGGCTAATTTTTTGTATTTTTAGTGGAGATGGGGTTTTGCCATGTTGCCCAGGCTGGTCTCGAACTCCTAAGCTCAAGAAATCCACCCACAGCCTCCCAAGTTCTGGGATTACAGGTGTGAGCCACTGCGCTCAGCCCAATTTATCTTTCTTTAGGAAGATTATTTTTTCTCATGATTTCTCAAAGTTTATTAGCACTTATCAGCTGGCAGATGGAAGAAATTCAGGGACCAGTCTTACCATAAAAATATAATATATATCATTTAGAACATAAACCAGAAGGATAATTTACAATGAATGCAATGAACTGTTAAGGTCTGCCTGTAGTGACAGTCATAGTAAGTTCTCCTCTCTTCAAAATGAAAAGCTTTTATCTTCTTGATTATAAAAGTTAACAAGCAACCCCCGACAAACGAAATTCTGGTAACTTTAAAAAACGCAGGCACTTTGTGAGGCTCAGGTGGGAGGATCACTTGAGCTCAGGAGTTTGAGACCAACCTGGGCAACATGGCAAAACCTGATCTCTACAAAAAATACAAAAATTAGCTGGCCATGGTGGTGTGTATCTGTAGTCCCAGCTACTCAGGAGGCCGAGGTGGAAGGGTCACCTGAGCCCAGGAGGTCAAGGCTGCAGTGAGCTGTGATTGGCTCTCCAGCCTGGGTGACAGAGTGAGACTCTGTCTCAAAAAAAAAAAAAAAAAGAAAAGAAAAAAAAATATATATATAAGGATTGAAATTCACAAGATTGCCACTGCTCAAAAAGTACTACTACTATTTTTGTGTATCTTTTTATTTATTTATTTATTTTTATTTAGAAGGAGTCTCGCTCTTGTCACCCAGGCTGGAGTGCAGTGGCGCGATCTTGGCTCACTGCAACCTCCACCTCCTGGATTCAAGTGATTCTCCTGCCTCAGCCTCCCAAGTAGCTGGAATTACAGGCACCTGCCTCCACGCCTTTCTAATTTTTTGTATTTTTAGTAGAGACAGGGTTTCACCATGTTGCCCAAGCTGGTCTTGAACTTCTGACCTCAAGTGATCCACCTGCCTTGGCCTCCCAAAGTGCTGGGATTACGGACGTGGGCCACTGTGCCCAGCCTATTTTTATATATCTTTTCAGATTTTATTTTCTGAGCAAATGTTGCCCAGGCTAGTCTTGAACTCCTGGGCTCAAGCAATCTGCTTGTCTCAACCTCCCAAAGCGCTGGGATTACAGGCATGAACCACCATGCACAGCCAAAAAGTGGCTTTTAAAAAATATTTATTTCCTCTTTTTTTCTAAGTTGTAATGAATATAGGCATAGCAGTGTGAAAAAGGTAAAAATCAACTTACCAGTAACTCAGGGCTGCCTTGAGACATAAAAGAACGATACTGATTTTTGGGGATGGTGGCCTTTAATAGTGGAATACCATCACTAATCCCCTATAAAATAAAAGAGGTTTAGTGGCTGGTTCTGCTCATCTTTATTAGGTACAAATTACTGAAAACCGTCTCTTTAAATAAGGATGAATCCTGTGATACATCATTTTACTCTCTTGAAACATCTAATCAATTAATTTAAAATGAAGGAAAGGAATTATATACCATGTATATATGGCATACTTGAAATTTCTGAAACCCATCACCTTCTATTCAACTATTCTGCTTTTAAAAAAGAGATGTAGATTTCAAAGAGCAGCAATAATTTAAAACAGCCAATGATTTAGGATCTATCCTAAGTTATACTGACATACATATAAAGTAGAAAATACGGATCATATAAGAACATGTTTCTCAAATAAGTCAAATGAGAAAATTGGTCATAATTTATAGAAATTTCCTTTTGGGTCTAACTTTTAAAAAACACTTCTAACCCATTAACTAGGGTACTTCCTGAAAGCCACAGTAGGACCAGAAAATAAAGACAGCGTTCAGAAAACATCTGCCATTATCTTATAACAATGTGAAAGAGAACAATAATTTGAATTCAGTTCCCTGATGTGACAGTTGTTCACAAGTGATACCTAATATTTACTAGGTAAATGATAACATTATTGGGTATGTACTATGTATCAGGTGTTGTTCTAAGAACTTAATAGGGACTAAGTAACAAATTATAAAATTCATTATAATTTATAAAATTTTAAAAAGTTGGTGATTATCTTTTCTCTTTACGTTGTGAATTAATCCAGAGAAGAATGACTTGCATTTGAACAAGGCAAAATGAAAATGGTACCTGAAAAAAACCCATTTATTAAGCCCTTGCTTTCACTACTATCTCTACTTTCTTCACAATTTGAACACCTATGAAGAGATGACCTACAAAAGGCCTTCTCTTTTCATATTAATACATGGGGAAATACCTCTTACGAGGATGAAAAGGGATTAACAAGTTATTGGTACCCAAGGAAATCTATTGTGTTCTTTATACTGATCCAGATACTGAATGTGTCCTGGAGAAAGCTACTATGTGACATGGTAGGTACAGAGAAGGGCAGATGTGTTGCTGCACCTGCAGATGGAACTTGGAATGTACTATATTACAAGAAAAGTCACAAATGATTAGATAAGATGAAAATAGTTCTATTGGCATTATAGAAGAAATATAGTATTGCATGTCCATCAGATTATGGGTCAAATAGGGTCTTGTGTTGTTTTACATGCAGTAAAGAGTTAACATAGCAGGCCTGAGACTGCCATCATTGTTACAGAAAGGCCTACTTGCAAGACTGGCCTTTGGTTGGCATCTGGGACTTGGCTGGCGAACAGTTCATCCTTACACTGACATAAAACTTTCCCTCAATGACAAGGGTGGCTCACTACACCTAGAGTGTTTGTGCAAATAGTATGGTTTATGCTAAACACTTGTTTTTCTTCTGGAGTTTGGAATTTTGGTATGTGCTAGTCAGAGGGGTGTGTACGCGACCAGCCTCCAATAAAAACCTTGGGCACTGGGTCTCTAATGAGCTTCTCTGACGACAAAAAAATGTGTTTCCACATTTCATTACTGAAAGAATTAAGTAGATCTTATGTGACTCCACTAGGAGAGGTCTCTTGGACACTTGTGCCTGGCTTCCCCTGGACTGCACACCATGTGCCTTTTCCCTTTGCTGATGTTGCTTTGTATCCTTTCACTGTAATAAATCTTAGCCATGACTACAACTACATGTTAAATTCCGTGAGTCTTTCTGGCAAATCACTGAACCTGGGGGTAGTCTTGGAGACTCCCAACACATCCTGGGAATTAGTCATAATTTCTGAGCATTGTTTTTTTGTGTTCTGAGTTCTATGCAACTAACTTAGATACTTTTGGAAACAACCAAGTTTGTAGAGTTTGTATTGCAACACTAAATAACTATTTCAGTAAACATGGATTTAGGAAAAGAGTGACAGATTAATTTTGAAGTGCTTTCACAAACACGTGAAAGCATGTACCAAAATACAGTGGTGTACCCCATAAAACTGTTTAATTATTACATCAATTAAAAAATACAGTGATGCTTACTACAATATTGTTCATTTGAGTAAAATGTATTATAAAGCTTTAACTGTTTTTTTTTTTTTGAGATGGAGTCTCGCTCTGAGTGCAGTGGCGTGATCTCGGCTCACTGCAAGCTCTGCCTCCTGGATGCCATTCTCCTGCCTCAGCCTTCCGAGTAGCTGGGACTACAGGCGTCCACCACCATGCCCTGCTAATTTTTTATATTTTTTAGTAGAGACGGGGTTTCACCATGTTAGCCAGGATGGTCTCAATCTCCTGACCTCGTGATCTGCCGGTCTCGGCCTCCCAAAGTGCTGGGATTACAGGCGTGAGCCACTGCGCCCGGCCAAAGCTTTAACTGTTATAAAACTCATAAACATTTTTTACACTACATTATCAAAAAATTATATTTTTTGATAATTCATTTTCCCATGGTATTGAATCTGAGAAACACGCTGCAGTGATATTGCAATGCAGGGTTTTACAAACTACAGCCTGTGGGACAAAGCCAGCCCACCACCTGTTTTGTAGGCGGTGGGTGAGCTAAGGATGGGTTTTATATTTTTAGATGATTACATTTTAAGTGGTTATATATGTATCTACAGAATATCTTTGAGTTTGCCTTTTGGCCTGCAAAGCACAAAATATTTACCAGTTAGACCTATCTCACTGCTGCATACTTTTCAAATAAGTTATTATTTGAGACAAGAAAGAGTTTACCAACCTCTGCTGTATTGCAGAGACTGTTCAATGTATATTTTCAAACTAATCTTAGTAACTTTTTATTTTCAATTTTCTTTTTGTGAAGGGTTAATGCTATCTGTCCTAACCACATTCATAGGTATGAATGCATTTTATAATCACATTCTGAATTACTCAATTTAATATGTATATTTAAACATTTGAATTTTTTATTTAAACTCTTTCAATTACACCATTAACTACTCCTGTTTTACTAGACTACTCATTCTATCAATTAACAATGGACTTATTAGGATCTATTTTATATATGAGCAGACATTATAATTAAGAGCTATTAAATTATTATCTCCATCTACATATCATCTCGATTGTCACAAGAAGCATTTTAAGTCAAATTATTTATTCTTCTTCGTCAGGAAAATGTGAAGTAGATGAAAGAAAGCCAAGAAAAACAGTTCAGACTACCACTCAGCAGCAAACAAAAGCTTCCAATAAAAATGTTTTAAAAATCCAACAACAGATTATTACAGTATAATTTACTATCTTGAATTAAATATTATAATCCTTACTTCCCATTAAATAATAAAAGAACTTTAAAATGTACAGAATTTAGAGAAAACTCTTTTTGATATTACCAAGTAGGATATTACCTCTATAAAAAATGACTTGAGTTCAGGAAGGTGTTGAAACAGGTTTAGGGTTGAAGTGTCTATTTTGGTTGGCTTCTGCACTGCTTCTTCTGCTGATAATCTTGGAGGGTGTGGTTCCTTCAAAATAATTTTAAGGAAAAACAATTCCATATCTATGTTATTAATCTCTCACTATGTTCCTTCATATACACTAGGCTCTAGCTACAATGAATTACATACCATGCATTGTTGACAATTATAGGTGTTGGCTCAGACTATTCTCTTAGCAGAGATACTACTTTTTTCATTTCTTTGGAAACCCCACTTCTACTTTAAAGTTTTTCTTACTGATATCTCTCCTAAATTTTCAAGTCAGAATGTATTATTCTCTTTTATTATTTTTCCTTGGCAAATAATTTATATTTTAATTATAATTTATTTCTTTCTATATTGGATTACATATAGTTGTTTATGGTCTGTCTTCCCCAGCTAGGTTATAAGTGCCTTAAAGCTAGAGAAGCCTTATTCATTTTTGGATTTCCATACTAGACTAGTATCTTACACGTTAGATGCTTGGTAAAATTAAATGTAGTATTCAAAATTCAGAATGTATAATTTGGATGAATCTTTAATTCCTTGACAAGATCAAAATGTCAACACTGGCTGGGCGTGCTGGCTCACACCTGAAATCCTAGCACTTCGGGAGGCTGAGGTGGGCGGATCACTTGAGGTCAGAAGTTCAAGACCATACTGGCTAACATGGTGAAACCCTGTATCTACTAAAAATACAAAAATTGGTCAGGCGTAGTGGTGTGCACCTATAGTCCCAGCTACTTGAGAGGCTGAGGTAGGAGAATCGCTTGAACCCACAAGATGGAAGTTGCAGTGAGCCAAGATCGTGCCACTGCACTCCAGCCTGGGTGACAGAGTAAGACTCCATCTCAAAAAAAAAAAAAAAAAAAAAAAAAAGAAAGAAAGAAAAAAAGTCAATACTGTCAGAATCAAATTATAGGTACTGCTGCATACTTTTCAAGTAAATTTTGTTCTTCCTCAACTTTCATGTCAGAAACACAGAACAGTATCATCTATAAATATGAAATAAATGGCAAGTAAAATGAACATTTCAAAGGCACAGTTAAAAGGCAAAACAGAATTCTATCTAAAGTAAATTCTTACATCTCTACAAAAAAATATTGATTATAGGCAATAGATGTGAAAGCTGTAAGTACTAAAATATTTAGCTTTTAGATCGGGTGCGGTGGCTCACACCTGTAATCCCAGCATTTTGGGAGGCTGAGGCAGGCAGATCACCTGAGGTCAGGAGTTCAAGACCAGCCTGCCCAACATGGCAAAACCCCGTCTCTACTAAAAATACAAAAAATTAGCCAGGTGTGGTGGCGGGCCTCTGTAATCCCAGCTACTTGGGAGGCTGAGGCAGGAGAATCGCTTGAACCCAGGAGGCAGAGGTTGGAGTAACCCGAGATTGTGCCATTGTACTCCAGACTGGGCAACAAGGGCAAAACTCCCTCTCAAAAAAAAAAAAAAAATTATCTTTTAATAAATATTATTCACTTTATTTCAAATCAAAGGCTGATTTTTGTATCATTTTCATCACAATAAAAACTAATTAGCACCACTTGTAAAACAAAAAGAAAGGTAAAGCAGGTGTGAAAATATGATAGCATCTATTTCAAAGCCCTGTGAAGCATTCTGTTTTAGTCTGTTACTTTCGCCTTCTGACTGTACCAGAAGGTAAGGGATAAAGCATTGACTTCACATATGACTATTCTGTAAAAACCAATGTTGGAGGTTCCGAGCAAACTGTTGCTAAGGAACAGTAAAAATTACAAAGCTTAGCCCAATTACTGTATTGACAGAAGTACATCTATAAGTTAGAGCTTAGATACACTACTGTTGTAATAGCTGTGGCGATTTCAATTCAATACTGTATTCAAGAGTGATACAAAGATGATTAAGAGAAAGTTGCTGCCTTTAATGTATTTATAATGTACTGAGGTAAATGGATAAATATATAGCCTAAGGCAGAAAGTGTCCTAATTAGGTAGCAAATAAAGGCCCATAAGAACATGTTAAGAGATCTAGTTTAACGGGGGCTTACAACTACTCATTCAGAGGAAACATGGCATGCTAGAAAGGCTTTGGAGTTAGATGGTCAGGCATATAATCCTAGTCACTTTCTTGTTGTGTAAACATAGAAAAAGTATTTAATTTCTCAAAGGCATTATAGGCTAGGTATTACCTTCTGTGAGGCTTGGCTTTAACTCCTAAAAAATGAGGATAGCTGAATTTTTACTATGAAGATTAGGTAAAGTACCTAACAAACACAGTGATTGCTTAAGAACATATCTAGTTAATAAATGATATATTTTTTTGTACATTCTACATCACTAAATTCATATACTGAAAAAGATCAAGACATCTTTGAAAACTACCATTAGATTAATTTCCATTAATCTAAACCTGTGTGTCATCAGGAAGATAATGATTTAATTTCAGATACCAGTATAGGGAAAGAAATATATGTAGTAATATTTAATAATTTGATTCTACATTTTAAATATTCTATAATTTGATTCTTTTTTTTTTTTTTTTCAGTTGTCAAATGATCCTTTATTGAAATATTTTCCTTTGTGCTTAACTGGCTGGGCATTCCACAGCACCACTGTTGATGTCATCGATGATGTCATGAGGATGGCGGCCATCAACATTACAGCCCACAGACTGGGCAGTCCCCAGGATCTCTTTAATGGTTCCAGAGAGTTCTCTGGCTAAGGATCGGTGCCGCATCTGTCGAACAATGTTGACGATCTCATCAAAAGTGATATTCCCACTGTGTTTAATGTTTTTCTGTTTCTTTCTGTCTCTTGGTGGTTCCTTGAGGGCTTTGATGATCAGGGCAGAGGCAGAAGGCACCACCTCAATCTGGGCCTGTCTGTTCTGAATGGTCAGTTTCACTGTAATCCTCAGGCCCTTCCAGTCACCCGTTGCCTTGGCAATGTCATCACCAACCTTTTTTGGAGACAGACCCAGGGGGCCGATCTTGGGGGCCAGGGCAGAAGTGGCACCGACTTCACCTCCGGTGCACCTCAGGTATACGACTTTGATCTCGTTGGGGTCGAACTTCGGCGGCATGGTGGAGGCGGCTGGTGTTGGATGAACCCGGATTCGGGACGACCGAAGAAAGTTGCACCTTGGCCTCCTCCGAGCCGAAAGCCGAGAGCAATTTGATTCTTAAGACTGGGTTTGGGCTCTGGAAAGCAAGTGCCTTTTTGGGCAGATGTTAGCTATTAGAAGTTTTACATGTGGAATGAGTCCCAGCATGAGGACAGTTTTAATGGCATACCCTAATAGGTACTCAGTTTTTCCTCTTGGAAATAATATAAGACTTTCTGAGCAAACAGAAATCTTTCTGTGACTGAGAGTAACTGGCTATATACATGGATCTTGACTGCAATATTTTGTTATGTACTTAAATCTACTTCTTAAGTTGACTTAAATCTACTTCTTAAGTTGTTGACTTACCTTTAATAATTGACAGGGTGTTTGCCCAAAATTATTAATCATCCCTTCTAAGGCTTTTCTTTCTTTCTCATCTGTTAAGGCATCCAGATCCACAGCTCCTAAAACCAGAAGAAGTCAACTTACTATAGAGTGAAAACAAATCAGCAAGCCACATCACTGATTAATGTATCAGGCTCATTGGTGTGTGTGTGTGTGTGTGTGTGTGTGTGTGTGTGTGTGTGTGTGTGTGTACACACATCTTTTTTTTTTTTTTTGAGACAGAGTCTTGCTCTGTTGCCCAGGCTGGAGTGCAGTGGTATGATCTCGACTCACTGCAACCTCCACCTCCTGGGTTCAAACAATTCTCCTCCCTCAGCCTCCTGAGTAGCTGGGACTACAGGTCCGTGCCACCACGCCCAGATAATTTTTGTACTTTTAGTAGAGACGGGGTTTCACTATGTTGGCCAGGCTGGTCTTGAACTTCTGACCTCAGGTGATCTGCCTGCCCCAGCCTCCCAAAGTGCTGGGATTACAGGCGTGAGCCACCACCCTGACCTCATTGGTATAGTTTCAATAAAATATTATTCCATTCTTCAATTTACAACATTGTGAAAAGGTAATTCAAAAAAATCAGCAACGCATCAAACATTAAATATATATAAAAATTAGCTAAAATATTTTAAGCAATTGAAAGTTAAATGATATTCTATGAAGGTTTCTATTGGGCCAGGGGTGGTGGGTCACGCCTGTAATCCCAGCACTTTGGGAGGCTGAGGCGGGAGGACTGCTTGAGACCTGGAGTTTGAAACCAGCCTGGACAACAAAGTGAGACTTCATCTCTCTAAAAAATTTTAAAAATTAGCTGGGTGTGGTGGTATGCCTGCAGTTCCCAGCTACTCAGGAGGCTGAGGCAGCAGGGGCTGGTTGACCCCAGGAGTTCCAGGTTGCACTCAACTATGATTATGCCACTGCACTCTAGCCTGGGTGACAGAGCAAGACCCAGTCACAAGATAAAAAAATAAATAAATAAAAATTTCTTTTGCAAAAATACAAATTATACTCAGAGTACACCTAATTGTTTTGGTTATGATAGCCAAACTCAAATAAGAGTAATAACTACACAAAAATACTGCTTTAAGTTATTGCTTGAAACAAAGGTTTCAAAAGGTAATATTCTGGTTAACTGATTATACTCAGCCACACCTAATATGGATTGTTACACGACTAGTAATTGGCTAAACTAGGTAAGTCCAAGCTTCTAACAGCCATGCAATACTTTCTCCTTACAAACCTATTACCTGAATGGATCCGGTATAGCAAAAATATGCTCATTTACTAAAAGTCTCTCATAACTTCACACTATTCACAATCTTTAGAACTATTAGTCTTCTTAAGGATTAGTAAAGAACTACTTTTTAAAAATCATTTTAAGGCCATCAGAAGATATTCTTGATTCTGAGCTAAATAATGCCATCATATGTATCATTTGAAGAATCTGTTATTTGTAACTTCAAAGGCCTTGTTTCAAAATCTGCTACTGTTTAATACTGAATATTTAATGTTTGACTCAACTGGATAGGACAAATATGTTAGAGATCAAAAACTTTTATGATGTTAATAAGTGACATTTATAATTAGATTGGCATATATACACTTAACTACTATTACAAAAAAAGCAGCAGTCTCTTAATCTTTCAAGTAAAAAGATGTTTTTAAAATGTAGTCTTTCTGATATTAAATAGGCTTCAAATAACTGTAAACATATATTAAACAACAGTTTCTATCAAGGTAAAGCAAGAGAAAAAGTGTATAGATTTATACCTTCATAACTACAATAATAGAAAACGTTGAGTGCCTCTACTGCAGCTGGTCCCCTCTGTTTATAGCCAAAGATCAGATCTATCCATTCATGAAGATGAGCTGAAACATATTCAGACTCCTAGAAAAAGAATAAATTTAATAATTAATATAGAGATATCTTCCAACTACATTGTAAATTCAGTTCTTTAAAAAAGTAAGGACAAATGAAACATTTCCACACACAAATCTTTCTGGCAGCAAAATAAAATTATCTCAAAATAATGGCAAGCATTTATTCAATATATACTACATATATTAACTATTCCTGTCTACTATAATGTAGATATATTTATTAATATTAACATATGCATTTCCTAATAGGTGAATAAAACACAAATATGCTTATAACAGCCCAAAAACAACAGCAAAAGAGCTAAAAGATAGATATGGAATGCATCTCTGTGGCAAAATTTCCATTGAAATAGTTGTCTAGAAATTCAATTCAAGAAAAAAAAATATCAATTTAAGGAAACAATGAAACCACACTTAGGTGGAAAAAATGGCTGCAAATCATTCTCTCCCTCACAATAACCACTTACTAAGAGGAGGCCAGGGTGGCAGGTAGAGACCTCCTGTAAATTACTAGTGATAATTTGAAAGACAGTGAGGAAATTGTTATTAGAGACAGGAAAAAATGGGACTCATGTTTCAGTTACAGGAAAGAAAGAATGAACTCATGAATTTGGGTGTACAGACTTCCAAACAGTACATTTTAAAGTGCCATTTGGCTTCTTTCAGATGCCTATGATAAAGTGTGAGAGCAGTAAGATCGGTTAAAAAGTGAACTATTTGATTTTTTTTTTTTTGGGACGAAGTCTCTCGCTCTGTCGCTGAGGTTGGAGTGCAGTGGCACGATCTTGGCTCACTGTAACCTCCACCTCCCATGGGTTCAAGAGATTCTCCTGCCTCAGCCTCCCAAGTAGCTGGGATTACAGGCGCCTGCCACCACGCCCAGCTAATTTTTTGTATTTTTAGTAGCGATGGGGTTTTACCATGTTGGCCAGGCTGGTCTTGAACTCCTGACCTCAGGTGATCCACCCGCCTTGGCCTCCCAAAGTGCTGGGATTACAGGTGTGGGCCACTGCACCCAGCCAAAAGTGAACTATTTGATTTGTAAGCACAATTTAAAGAAAATATAAAAAAGCCAGATATTGCTGGATTCAAAAAAAAAAAAAAAAAAAAACCATTGCAAGAGCCAGGCATGGTGGCTCATGTCTGTTACCCCAGCACTTTGGGAGGCCAAAGCAGGTGGATCGCTTGAGCCCAGGAATTCAAGACCAGCCTGGGCAACATGGCGAAACCCACTCTCTACAAAAAATTAGCTGGGAATGGTGGTATTGCACCTACAGTCCCAGCTACTCAGGAGGCTGAGGTGGGAGGATCACCTGAGCCCAGGAGGACACGGCTGCAGTGAGTTGTGATAATGTCACTGCACTCCAGCCGGGGGACATTTCTCAGTCCCGGGATCTCTAGAGGGCAAAGACTCTCAAAATGAGAAATTGCCTAAGGCAACTATCAAATCAGAATGTCACCAATAAAATATGGTCTTGGATAAAAGTTTAGTTCAAGGGTTTGGCTGTAAAATAATCTGTTGAGACCTCAGAAAGATTTAAGGTTGTGTCCCACAGACCCACTCAACTAGAAAATAGAGTGTCTAGGAATCTTAAGAGCATTTTTCCATAGTAGCCACCCATCCAGCCCAAAGTAGAGAAGGGACTGTTTGGTAATGTTGAATGGCTTTTGTCCAATAGAGCTGACACATAAGAAACCTATAAAGTTTTAAATGGAATTAGACTAGTTTAGAGTAAAAGAGAGAAACTGTTTAAAAAAGAAGAGAGACCTTTGGCCTTCAATTCACTGTGGTTAGGAAAGAGGCTGACAAAGATACTCCTGTAAACAAAGTTTTATTATTTATTTATTTATTTATTTATTTTTATGGAATAAAAAGAATGACTTAGTGGGGAGCCAAAAGCTCAAAGGTAGAACCAAGAGCCACTGAGAACCCCTCTCGGGAGACAGGACTGGACCCTAACAGAAGATCTGAGAGCATGTCCTTACTGGAATTCTGAATTGCTATAAAACAGTATTTGTATTTGTGACTGCTAGGAGCCTCCTGCTTTTCTCCTCCTTTTGAATGGGAGTGTCTGTTTATAAGTTCTCTTATCCTTTCATACCACTGTTGTCATGTGGGGGCAAATAACTTCTCTCTTTAGTTCAGGCTTCAGATCCAAGAGGAGCCACATCTGAGTAGTTTCATCCACACACAGACTTGACTTAGATAATGAGATACTGAATTTTAGGCCTCAAGCCTTAATGCAGAATAGCAAACTACTGTCTGTGGGTCAAATCTGAGTTGCTGCCAGATTTGTAGAGTAGTAGTAGAACACAGCCACATCCATTTGTTTTTGCAGTACAATGGCAGAACTGAGTACCTGTGACATAGATCTTATGACCAACGAAGATTTACTATCTGTCCCTTTACAGAAACAATTTGCCAATTCCTTCCCTAATGAGATAAGAGTTGTGGGGGAAGGGTGTCTTGAGAGGAAGTGAATATATTTTGCATGTAGGAGGAAAATAATTTGTGACCAGAGGGCAGAATACATGTTGATTTAAGATAGCTACAAATTCTTTCTCACTGTTAGCACTGAAAGATGGAGCTCAGTTTCCCTCCTCTTCAATCTGGCATTGATACTGTTACTGCTTAAACATTACAAAGTGGCAGAAGTTATGCTATGAAGAAAGAGTGGAAGCTTCTACTTTTGGGGAGCACTTAGCTGCCAGGTGAGGAGTCTGACTACCCAGTTGGAGAGGAGATATCCTGACATTACATGGAGAGGGAGAAAAGCTAGCATCCTACCGTTTCGATGCAGCTTTCAGATGACTCCAATCCCAGCTGCCATATGACTGCTACTAACTGCATGAGAACCTCAAGCAAGACCAGCAGAATTCCTCAGTTGAGGCCAGCCAACCCACTGAACTGTGGGAGATGATGATTAAATGGCTATACTTTCTTTTTATTGTTATACTTTTAAGTTCTGGGATACACGTGCAGAACATGCAGGTTTGTTATGTAGGTATACACATGCCATGGTGGTTTGCTGCACCCATCAATCCGTCATCTACATTAGGTATTTCTCCTAATGCTATCTCTCCCTTAAAATGGCTATACTTTTAAGCCACTGAATTTTGGAACAGTTTGTTACTCAGTAATACATAATTGAAATATATAATTCTAATATCTTATTAATAGGGTTGTGAAAGCTGTATGGATAAAAATGGAATGCCAAAACCTAACAAAATTCAGTGGAGAGTCCATCAAGGAGGAGCTCTTATGCATACATGCCTACATGCCTACAATAAAGACTATGACAAAGACACTCTGAAAACCACAACCATACACCAAGAATACTTCTGCGAGGATGTCTGCCCAGCAACTGCCTGTTCAACCTTGGACTAATGCCATCCTTGTTATTAATCCGTGTGGTCAAGGATAATTGTTTCAAAACAACTCATGTAAACTTCCTCACTTTACCTTTAAAAATCCTTGCCTTCCTGGGTACATCTCTGGTCCCTAATGGTTCACCAGGGCACAGGTATTATCAGACTGCAATTCATCATTCATTCCCAAATAAACTTTTTTTTTTTTTTTTTAAATACAGGGTCTTGCTATATTGCCCAGGCTGGTCTCAAACTCCTGGGCTCAAGTGATCCTCTCACTTCAGCCTCCCAAGTAGCTGGGACTACCGGTACACACCACCCACACTTGGCTATACTCATTTTTGCTTTTCTAAATTTTTTCTAAATTCCTTATTCATGCATAGGGTTAAGGCTTACAAATATTATAATCAAATTCTGAATTTTATAAATATATACTTATTTTATAAATATATAATGATAGAAAATGTTTCCAAGTACTGGCTTAATTATTTTCAGAGTCCTCCAACATTTCAGTTTAGGTAAAGAATAAAGTGAGCTACTGTGGGGAAAAGTGGAGCCATCAATATCATCTGCAAGATAGCAACACAATAACCAACGTTAAACTAACCCTCACTAGTCCTTCAATTCCAAATTAGGAAATTTAACTAAAAACTAATACTTTATTTATTTATTTATTTTTGAGATGGCTTCTCGCTCTGTCTCCCAGGCTGGAGTGCAGTGGTGCGATCTCAGCTCATTGTCACCTCCGCCTCCTGGGTTCAAGAGATTATCTTACCTCAGCCTCCTGAGTAGCTGGGATTACAGGCACCCGCCAACACACCCACCTAATTTTTGTATTTTTAGTACAGATGGGGTTTTGCCATGTTGGCCAGGCTGGTTGCAAATTCCTGACCTCAGGTGATCTGCCCGCCTTGGCCTCCCACAGTGCTGGGATTAGAGGCGTGAGCCACTGTGCCCACCTTTTTTTTCAAGTGGCATTTAGGGTTTAGCTGCCTTTTTTTGTTTGTTTCTTTTTTTTTTTTTTTTTTTTTTTTTAGACAGTCTCGCTCTGTCGCCTGGGCTGGAATGCAACGGCGTGATCTCAGCTCACTGCAACCTCAGCCTCCTGGGTTCAAGCGATTCTCCTGCCTCAGCCTCCTGAGTAGCTGAGATTATAGGCATGCGCCACCACGCCTGGCTAATTTTTTTATTTTTAGTAGACATGAGGTTTCACCATGTTGGCCAGGTTGATCTCCGAACTCCTGACCTCAGGTGAGGCCTTGGCCTCCTTGGCCTCCAAAAGTGCTAGGATTACAGGTGTGAGCCACTGTGCTTGGCTTAGCTGCCTTTCTTTTAGAAGCTTAGTGAAATCTTTCAGAGAAAACAAAAATGTACTCATCCTTATTAGATTTGAAATAAATGTGAAAACTGTAAAACACCAAACTACACCAGCTTGGTGACTGGAATATTTACATACACAGCAGATGGACATTTTACAGAGCTGAAATGTTTAATATTTTGCTATATATATATATATTTATTCATGGTACTATACTATAGTCTCATTATATCAGAAGATTCATATCCTCAAAATAAATTGCTATATTGTACTTTCTAAAGTCAGCATATATAATAGATTACAAATTAATCTAGAAAAATAACTAAGTCAGATTATCCCATCCTCTGGAAAACACATCTTTTATCTTATTATTCTGTCAAATAACTAAATGCAAAACTCTTACCAAAGCTTTCCTATGTTTATAGATGAAATCTTCAGCTGATTTAGCCCATTTCGGGAGAATGACATCATTTACTAATTCTTTGGAAATCTGTAGACGACCCAAGTTAAATTCTAAGACATGTAAAAAGAAAATGTATCAAATCATTTTAGATTATAATAAACGAAGTAAAACAAACACTAATGAGGGCACATTCCTAAGCAAAACATATTTTTTCTTTTAAAATTCTTATCTATTGGAGTACATACCAGTTAATTTAAAAACAAAAATAACGAGTTTTAAATTAGCTATTATAAGGTAAATTAGAGTAAGAATTAAGTTGTTAAGCAAAAAAAGTGGGGGAAACTATAGCTACAACCCTTATTTCAATCAGACCAAAATGCAAAATTAAGTTTTCTTCTTACACTTAAAATAATGAGAGGGACACAGTCCCTCTAATAGTAAAATACAGCTCCTTAAAGCTTTTTGGTGTAACTCATACCTTAAGCTCACCTACTGGAAGAGTTATATTTGTCTGATGGAAGAATAATATTTACATACCACTATTCTAAATAGATACTTGCATAATAAAGATTTGCTCATAGGTTAGAACATGGCATTTTGATAAAATTTCCCCAAATATGAGGGTTTTTTTGTTTACACAACATGGCAGGGGAGAAGGGGGACTGTTAACACAAAAGAACTTCAAAAAAGAAGGCCTTAAAATACCAGTATGCTGCCTTAAAATACCAGTGTATCACAAGTTGGAGAGGAGTTTAAATGTCATAAAATGACAGAATGCACAGGGTCTTTGGTTTTATGTTAAACCCATCACAGTGTAGCAGATGTTATTCGTTGCCCACCTGATAGTCATTCCCTCTTTTTATTTGCTAGCAGAACCTTTATTTCATTCAAGTGTCCATCTCTGCCCTATATTTCATGCCCATTCCAGGTGACTGGTCTAGGGGTTGGTATATGACCCAGTTCTGGAGAGTGAGGAGAACTTATGAGAAAGAGTTTCTCACTCTTAAGAAAGGACACAATGGATTAACAGCCTCACTTATTTCTGCGATACTGTTGGATCTGCCTATGATGCCTAAAACTGCGTTAGGCATTTGTGACCATGAGAGGAACTAGCCAAAGCCAAAATACTCAGAATGGCAGAGTGAAAATACAGAAAAAAAGTTGGCGCTGATGATGCTAAACTATCTGAAACTACCATACCTCAGGATTTTTATTATGGGAAACACTAAAATTTCCTTGTTTGCACAATTTTGAGTTGGTTTTATTAAATTTTTTCCTAAAGGCATTCTGTTTTTCTTTGCTTTTTAAGTTTTTTATTCTTAAAGGCATTCTAATTGATATATTTGCTTTCTCCCAAATGGCTCATTTCAAAGAGGCAATGTATAGCTAGAAGTGGAGGCCATCAGGACAATGGTGCTAAAGATAGCAACTAACTCTGATATAAATTGTTAAAGAGTACCTTATAAATTCTTTATCCAAATGTAGTCTGCTCATCCCTCCTATTCTAGATACTCTGCTTTAGAAGAATCCAGTCCAATAGCTGACTGAGAGTTTAGGATCAGACTCAGACAACAGATTTACCTCATTTTCTGAAAGTCACCAATTCTGACTGCCTTACTGTGATGCCCTGCCTCCAACAGCTTGTTCCAGAGTTCATGGTCAAAGTGACATTAAGCCCTGGATATATTCTCCACAGTATGACAAATAATTGTACTGAATAAATGAAGGGTCAAACACTAACATTACATGTTAGGGCAGGGAAAAAAGTTGGTAATAACCCTTTAATACTGTGGAACCTCCCTAAAGAACACCAATAATAAAAATATTGCTAATTTCCTTATTTGTACTTAAAAGTAAATGTAAAACTACCTCACAGAAAAAGGATTTGGACATTTAAAAAGGTATTAATATTTAACTCCATACTTCTCTACTTCAAAAACATAACATAAATTTTCAAATATTACAGTAACTTATATCCTGTCATTTTAATTTGCCTACTCTTGCATGCTCTAAATCAGGAGTTACCAAATTTTTCCTATAAAAAGTCAAAGAATAAATATTTTTGGCTTTGTGAGTGTTATCATATCTGTTGCAACTACTCAAATCTGCCACTATGCTTACTTTGAAAGAAACCTTCTATGACACAAAAATGAAGCTGGCCGGGCATGGTGACTCCCACCTGTAATCCGAGCACTTTGGGAGGCCAAGGTGGAAGGATCACTTGAGTCCAGGAGTTCGAGACCAGCCTGGACAACAAAGTGAGACCCCATCTCTACAAAAAAAAAAATTGCAGGCATGGTGGTGCAGACCTGTAGTCCTAGCTACTCAGGAGGCTGAGCTGAGAGGATTACTTGAGCCCAGGAGGTCAAGGCTGCAGTGAGTAGTGATCACAGCACTGCATTCCAGCCTAAGGGAAAAGCGAGACCCTGTCTCAAAAAAAAAAAAAAAAAAAAAATTGACTGGCTGTATTCAGTGAAACTGTATATATAAAGACATGAGTTTGCCCATGGAGTTGGTTAACAGACCTGTAGTCAGCTGATGGTTAGTCTAAATCCTCACCTTATCTAACTCAAACACTTTTAACCTAAGTGGTATATATAGCTGAAATAGCATATGGTCATTTTTGCTTCCCTAGTAAACACTGTAGTCTGATAAATTCTCTTACTGATTCAAATTTGACTCCTTTGGCTTAGTTCCCTATAGCACTTCCCTGGAAGGTAAGACTCATAGCATTAGTTCAGCCCTGTCACTAAGTAATCCACAGACAGAATGAATCTTAAATAATCTACAGGATATTACAAAAATGTCCTGAAAGACATTTTTGAGGCTCCTCCATTGGGACCTGCTAGTCAAATTTTTAATCCTCTATTTCTTACGATTTTGATTTTCCAAAAACTCTGGGAAATAGAAGAATTCAGGAATAAGTTCTTTAACATCATATGGATTATCCATAAGAGCTTGCCAGGTAGCAGGAATAGAATGGAACTGTCGATCTGCACAGTCAAACCTGCATGTAGAAATTAAAAGAGAAGTAAATATTGAATGAAATCAACAACAAGACATGAAACAAAACTTTTAAACTCCCTTCAGGGTTCCTAATGATTAGAGGTACTGTTTTCTGAATCTCCTCTTTAATGCCTACATGTACAATTTACTCTCCTTATTATGATAATCTCTATCTTTCATATTGTGTTGTCAGGAACTAAATACTCTAATTTTAATCACCAGTAGCACCTTAGTTGAATTAGTTGAAAACCAAATCACACTGGAGAAAAATTTCAAATAAATTAAATATAATCTTAAGAGTCTTTTTAGGGCTGGGTACAGTGGCTCACGCCTATAATTCCAGCACTTTGGGAGGCTGAGGTGGGTGGATTACCTCAGGTCAGGAGTTCAAGACCAGCCTGGCCAACATGGTGAAACCTCGTTGCTACTAAAAATACAAAAATTAGCCAGGCGTGGTGGCACACACCTGTAATCCCAGCTACTTGGGAGGCTGAGCCAGGAGAACTGCTTGAGCCCGGGAGGCAGAGATTCCTGGGAGATTGTGCCACTGCACTCCAGCCTGGCCGACAGAGCAAGACTCTGTCTCAAAAAAAAAAGGCATTTTTGCTGAATAAAATTTATTATAGAAAGTGAATGTTATTTCAATATTTGAAAATCAGAGTATAAATATGATTATAAACATTATAGTATCAATATACTTGGTTAATAGATCTATAGGAACGCTGCTGATTTAATCACTGATATATAAATATTTTTACAAACTCTTCCTCTTAAAACCAGAGAGTGAGTTAGGGAAATAACTCTGTGGCTAAAGCTTTTATGTTTTACTTGCATAATCTATTGTCTTATTTTAATATTATTTAATTTTCAATTAATTAATTTTATGTATTTACTTATTTTAGAGATGAGGGTCTCACTATGTTGCCCAGACTGGAGTGCAGTGGCTATTCACAGGCACCATCATAATGTGCTACAGTGTCAAACTCCTGGCCTCAAGAGATTCTCCCACCTCAGCCTTCCAAGTAGCTGGGACTAAGAGGCCCAGGCCACTGCTCCCGGCTTAATTTTATTTATTTAAATTTAATCATGGGCACTGCGTCTATAGTAGCTGAATGAAGCTCAAATGGATATGCTGCAATTGTATTATGCTTTCCCTAATAAAACAACAGTATAAATCCCTTCTGTTTTATTTCATTTGATATTGTTTTCCTGGATTTATTAAGTATTTAATGGCCTTGAGTCTAAGGTAAGGCTATGCTACAAAGAAAAAAAGTGACATTAATGACCAATTTGTCTCTTGTGTTTTACACCTATTTAATCTTGGTTTGAAGCAGAGCTGATCTTAACAGAATTTTGAATTTAATTATAATTTAATTATAGACATCTGACCATCTAAAACATTTCAGTATATAGTATATTCAAGAAGAGGCATAGTTTTGAGATAAAATTAACATATAAATTGCTCGTTTTAAGTGGATGATTCAAAGGTTTAATTCAGTATATTCATAATTGTGCAACTATCATCACAGTGAATTTTACAACATTCTCATTACTCCAGGAAGAAATGTTGTACCTGTTAGCAGTCACTGCCCATTCACCCTACTCCCACCCCTGGAGACTGCTAATGTACCTTATATCTCTATGCCTATTTTTATTTCATTTTGCCTATTCTGACTATCTGTGTATTTTGGACATTTCATGTAAGTCATGTAATATGTGCCCTTTTGTATCTGGCTTATTTCATTTGGCATAATGTTTTCAAGGTTCATTCATATTATAGCATGTATCAATACTTCATTCCTTGAATTCATTCATGGCCAAATAATATTCCATTGTATGGATATATCACATTATTCATTTATCAGTAGATGGACACTTGTTTGTTTCTACTTTTTGGTTATAAATTATACGGGTATGGCCAGGTGAGGTGGCTCACGCCTGTAATCCCAGCACTTTGGTAGGCCATGGTGGGCAGATCACTTGAGATCAGGAGTTCACGACCAGCCTGGGTAATATGGCAAAACCCCGTCTCTACCAAATATACAAAAAAGTTACTTGAGTGTGGTGGTGCACACCTAGAATCCCAGCTACTTTGGAGGCTGAGGCAGGAGAATCGCTTGAGCCTAGGAGATGGAGGTTGCAGTGAGCGGAAACTGAGCCACTGTACTCCAGCCTGGGCGACAGAGTGAGACTCTGTCTCAGAAAAAAAAAAAAAGAAAAAAGAAAAAAAAAAGGCTGGTATGAACATTTATGTGCAAATTTTTGTGTGCATATATGTCTTCAATTATCTTAGGTATGTATCTAGAAGTGGAATTTCTAGGTTATACAGCAATTCTATATTTAACTTTTTTATTTTTTTTTTTTGAGATGGAGTATTGCTCTGTCGCCCAGGCTGGAGTGCAGTGACATGATCTTGGCTCACTGCAATGTCCGCCTCCCGGGTTCAGGCAATTCTCCTGCCTCAGCCTCCAGAGTAGCTAGGATTACAGGCACCCACGACCACGCCCAGATAATTTTTGTATTTTTAGTAGAGACAGGGTTTTACCATGTTTGCCAGACTGGTCTCGAACGCCTGACCTCAAGTGATTTGCCTACCTCAGCCTCCCAATGTGCTGGGATTATAGGTGTGAGCCACCACACCCAGCCCCTCTATATTTAACTTTTTGAGGAACTGCCAGACTATTTTCCACAAAAGCTATACCATTTTACATTCCCACTGGCAGTATTTATAAGGCTTCCAATTTCTCCACATGCTCTTCAGCACTAGTTATTATTTGTCTTTTTTATTATAGCTATCATAGTGGGTGTGAAGTGGCATCTCACTGTGGTTTTGATTTGAATTTCCCTGATGACTCATGCTGTTGAGCATCTTTTCATGTGTTTACTGAACATTTGCATATCTCCTTTGAAGAAATGTTTATTTAGATCTGTTGTCTATGTTTTAATTGGGTTGTCTTTTTATTATTAAGATATAAGAACTCTTCCCCCTTCCTCTTTTTTTTTTTTTTTAATAGAGATGGGCGTCTCACTATGTTGCCCAGGCTGAACTTGAACTCCTGGGCTCAAGCAATCCTTGTGCCTCAGCCTCCTGAGTAGCTGAAGTTATAGGTGTGTGCCACCTTACCTTGAGTGTAAGGGTTTTTTATATATTCTAGGTACAAATATATAAAAGTCCCTTATCAGGTATAGTTTTCATTTCATTTCTTTTCTTTTCCTTTTTTTTTTTTTTTTTGAGATAGAGCTTTGCTGTGTCACCCAGTCTGGAGTACAGTGGTGCAATCATGGTTCACTATAGCCTCGACCTCCTGGGTTCAATCTATCCTCCCACCTCAGCCTCCCAAGTAGCTGGGACTACAGGTGCACACCACCACACCCGACTAACTTTCTATTTTTTGTAGAGATGGGGTTTTGCCTTGTTGCCTAGGCTGATCTCAAACTCATGGGCTCAAGTGATCCACCTGACCTGGCCTCCCAAAGTGTTGGGGATTAAAGGCATAAGCCAACATGTTTGGCCAGTTTTTACTTTCTTGATGGTGACCTTTGAAGTATTATACAATCTATTTTTGAAGCTTTGTAAAAAAAATCATTTAGTCATAAAATTATTAAAAGCTGAAAAGACCTAGTTATACTTTATTGCATTTTTTTTTTTTTTTGAGACAGTTTCACTCCTTC
The DNA here is from genome assembly GCF_000001405.40 of Homo sapiens. NCBI lineage: Eukaryota > Metazoa > Chordata > Mammalia > Primates > Hominidae > Homo > Homo sapiens. Next base: position 203,176,710 of record NC_000002.12, on the reverse strand, counting down.
ACCCAGCCTGGAGTGCAGTGGCACAATCTCAGCTCACTGCAACCTCCGCCTCCCATGTTCAAGCGACTCTCATGCCTCAGTCTCCTGAGTAGCTAGGACTTCAGGCATGTACTACCATGCCTGGCTAATTTTTTTGTATTTTTAGTAGAGACGGGGTTTCACCATTTTGGCCAGGCCAGGCTGGTCTTGAAATTCTGACCTCAGGTGATCCACCCACCTTGGCCTCCCAAAGTGCTGGGATTAGAGGTGTGAACTGCCACACCTGGCCTACTTTACTGTATCTTATGGAGAGAAAAGTATCTTCTATCAGATACTTACTTTGGCAGGCCAAGGTGGGCTGATCACTTAACATCAGGAGTTCAAGACCAGCCTGGGCAATATGGCAAAACCCCATCTCTACCAAAAATACAAAAAAATTACCCAGGTGTGGTGGCACACCATACCACACCACACGCATCTCAGTGAGCTGAGATTGCACCACTGCACTCCAGCCTGGGTGAAGGAGTGAGACTCTGTCTCAAAAAAAAAAAAAAAAAAAAGATGCAATAAAGTATAACTGGATCTTTTCAGCTTTTAATAATTTTATGACTAAATGAATTTTTACAAAGCTTCAAAAATAGACTATATAATACTTCAAAGGTCACCATCAAAGGTTACATGGGACATGTAAAATCTGGGGATGTTTAGTGATCTGAGGGCCAGAGTCTCTTCTTGAAAGCCAAGGCTTATTGTACATAAACAGAAATAAGGAACCCAGGTTAACTGTGAGAGATAAAAGCTACATGGAAAGAGAACAGAAAAGGCAATATTTACATAGCTCTGGTTTGGGTAGGGAAGGCAAAATGGCTGTTAAACAGTAAGGCAACATGGAGACAAAAATGTATAAATAGGGAGCTATGTGGAGGATTTACTGAGGAACAGAAGATTCATGGAAAAGCTGGTTTCCTTAGGATTAGGAAAATGTACAACATAGGTAAGTTATAATACCCACAGTGTAAATACAGTGGTATCAAAGACTTGTTTGAGCTGCTGTAATAATGTAAGAGTCTCTTATTGCTCCTCCTTCCATTCCTCATGATACATATTTTTAGGACTACATAGGCATAGGCATTGGATTGGTTTGACTCTCCGGTGATGCCTTAGATTTAGCTCTAAATCAGATCTAATTATAAATCTCTGGTAGATTCCTCAAAACAGTAAGAATCACAAAGGTACACTGGGATAACACTGAAAAAGGAATTCTCCTTAAATCACTTGTGTGAGACAGTTTGAGTGACTCATTCTCAAACTAGTTTATTTTTAGCTGATCAAAATTTAATACAGGAGAATAAAAAAGACATGTTACACAGTACATGACATGAAGGCAAACAGTTTTCAACACTAACATAGTCATAAAAAAATAGCTTATTTACTCAAAACATACCTTCCACTCTGAAGTTGGATGTGGAGGGTGGTGAACGGTTCTACACGAATGAGATAGTGCATGACCCCCGCAGAATTTGAATAGTGAGTACCATAGTGAAACTTATCAATAGTTCCCATAGGATCCTCAAAATTTTCATATCTGTGGGGAAAAAATCCTAAAGTTTTAAAACCACAATAATAAAGTACATAAGGGGGCATAAGTTTGTATTTTATTTCTGAAAATACAGTTTTTAAAAAGTCCATCCTTCTTCATATGCCTCATTATCAAACTCTGTATTCATATCATTATACCATACTAGAAAACGAAAAAAATTTTATTGCTTAATACTTTTTTCTGAACAACAAAATATCATAAACACTTAATTCTGGAATAGTTTTCATTTTTATTTTTATTTATTTATTTATTTATTTATTTATTTATTTATTTGAGACAGAGTCTCGCTCTCGGCTCACTGCAAGCTCCGCCTCCTGGGTTCACATCATTCTCCTGCCTCAGCCTCCCAAGTAGCTGGGACTACAGGTGCCTGCCACCACGCCCAGCTAATTTTTCTATTTTTAGTAGAGACAGGGTTTCACCATGTTAGCCAGGATGGTCTCGATCTCCTGACCTTGTGATCCACCTGCCTCAGCCTCCCAAAGTGCTGGGATTACAGGTGTGAGCCACCGTACCCAGCCTGGAATAGTTTTTGTTATGCAATAATAATACATGTTCATTGTAGAAAAATTAGAAAATAGAGAATCAAAACAGAAGAAACTTAAAATCAACTATAATTCCACATCCCAGAGATAATTAACACAAATTTTTTGGTGAATATCTATCCTAATGTATGAATTAATATACAAATATTTTTCACATAAAAGTGCTACATATATTGTTCATAACAATATATTTTTCATTTAACAATTTTTCACTTAACAATTTTCTACAGACATCTTTCCAAATGACTGAGTAGTCTATTTTTAACAGGTACATAATACTGTATAGATGTACCACAATTTAACTATTTCTTTACTTTTTAGACACTTAGATTGTTTCCTTGTATTTTTTTTTTTTTTTTTTTTTTTTTTTGCTAGTATAAAGCACTGTGATAATTAAACATCCTTTTGTGGCCAAGGTAACAGGAAAAAAAAAAAAGGAAGAACCAGTCAAGAATTGTGAAAATTGATACCTAGAAATCTAAAGGTAAAAGAAAAAAGAGATGGTGGATAGGAAAAAGGCCTAAACCAGATTATTACCAAAAGATATACAGTGATTCTTCAAGGTCTATCACTGATACATGCATAATTGGTCTGAATGGTGACATCTGAATTAGCGTGTATAAAATCTAAATAAGAATAAAAGATTTTTGTAGGCCATAAACACTGAATTTCAAAAACCAAAATAGTAATGGGTTCATTAAGCTGAGGCCAATTTCCTTTTACATACTACTCATTAATATTCAGGAGAATAAAAAAGTTTTCAGGTCAAAGCCATTTGTATCTATGCAAAAATGTACCACTAAAATGTAAAACAACTTGTATCTTTAATTACCAATAAAATAAGTTATTTATATGAGTGTTTCCTTAGAACACTGTTTTAAAGAATTATAAAATCTTCTTTTGGTTATTATCAGAAAAAAAAGTTTGACTAATGGCAGTGATGGTATACATATATACACAGCAAAGTTCCACTGGTAAATCAAGTCAAATCAAATATCAAACATTATAAAAATCCTAGGGAAGGTTTGCAAAGAAAAAGTAGAAAAAAAAAGTACCACCTACTTTCATATCAATCTATAACTAAGTTAATGTGTAAAATAGTTTTGTCCTTATTATTAGAATTCAAAACTCAAAAGTCATCCCTAAGTTCACAGGGAGAAAAAGGGAAATTAAAATCAGGTTATTCTGTTGCCTGTGGGCAGCTTGCCTTGAAAAAATTAATTGTGAGAAGTTGACAGGGTAGATCATAAACAGAACTATAAAATCTTCTTCTTCTTATCAAAATGACATGTTCTAAATTGCCACACATTCTCTCTTCTTTATTCACATTATTACTGAAAACACATCAGTATAAGTTGTATATCTACCCAAATATTATATTAGACAGATACTTTAATATGTTTGATTATTAAGTTATAAAGTTTAAAACATCTGGGAAGAAAAATTTCAAGAATTTATTACTCTTTAGCACATACTTATTACATGGTAAAAAGAAATTCTGAGCAATATCAATTTAAATTTGGTGATGAAGGGAAATCAACACAAGTATAGTCAAGATTTCTGAAAGGCAACCAAGTTATTTTCAAGAAAACTTAGTGAAGTAATTATCAGACTCTGATTATCAAAAGTAGTAGTACGATAAAAAAAAAATTTTTTTGGTTGGCCATAGTAAAAAATCAATACAAATTCAAAGAAGCAATGTGTATTTTATAAAAGGAATAAGAAGCACTTACTTTTCTCTCATAGCTTTGGCGTTTTTTTCATTAACTACCCCAATTGGTTTGGAAAGATCTCGAAATACAGCAGGGTTATTAAGGTCCAACTCTTCCGAAGTATAATCTTGTAAAATCCAGGGAAACTAAAAGAGCCATAATTTACAATTTAGACATTCCTTCCTAGAGAAGCTAATATCCTCATATCTAATATCAAATGGTTATCTAAAGACAAAAAGGGATAGTCTCTAAAAATATTTTTTCCCTGTTGTAAATATCCATTCATCTTTAGTTCAATAACCAGAAGCATTATTTCCTATAATTCCACTGGAATCTTTTCTTTTCTTTTTTTTTGAGACAAAGTCTTGCTCTGTCACCCAGGCTGGAGTGCAGTGTCATGATCTCGGCTCACTGCAACCTCTGCCTCCTGAGTTCAAGCGATTCTCCTGCCTCAGCCTCCTGAGTTGCTGGGATTACAGGTGTGCACCACCACGCCCAGATAATTTTTGTATTTTTAGTAGAGACGGGGTTTCACCATGTTGACTAGGCTCGTCTCAAACTCCTGACCTCAGGTGATCCACCCGCCTTGGCTTCCCAAAGTGCTGGGATTACAAGCATGAGCCACCGCACCTGCCCCACTGGATATTTTCAAGGAAGTGAAAGAAAAAAGGCTTTTATTTAAATTAGTTTTCATGTTTATATACTTTTTGAAAATAACTGGGTAGAAAACATACAGAAAGGCCAAAGTGTTTTTATATTTTTTAAATAAAAAATAAGTATCATGTATATACTTATGTGATTTATAAAACTGTAGGGCAATTCCACATTTATAAGGTTTATGCAAAACTTACCACAGGATACTGTGCAAGGTCATTATAGGTTCGTCCTGCCATTGTATTTATTTGAATGAGGTAGTCAAAATTTGATATCTCTCTGTTTACCCATTTCTAGACAGCACAAAAAAGAGCAATATCAAAATTTAAAAATCTACATCTCTTAGACATTGGTAGCTATTACTGACAGTACCAAGAATGGGCTAAAAAAAAAAAAAAGGTACAACAGGGAGATAAATCAATATACTTTTCCTAAATTTACTTCTTTTAAAATATTGGTCTCTAAAAAAGGAACAGAAAATTCAACATAAATCTTATACCACAGTCTAGGTCTTGATAAAAATTCTTTCCTAAAAAAAAAAAACCTTGTCTTTTCTTCAATTACATGTTTTATTTGAATACCTTAAAATTTTTATTTTATTTATTTATTTATTTCAGAGAAATGGTCTCACTTTGTCACCCAGGCTGGAGTGCAGTGAAGCAATCACAGCTCATTACAGCCTCAAGCTCCTGGGTTCAAGCTATCTACCTGGCTTAGCCTCCCAAGTAGCTAGGACTAAAGGCATGCCCTATTACACTGGCTAATTTTTTAAACTATTTGTAGAGATGAGGTCTTGCTTTGTTGCCCAGGCTGGTCTCAAACTCCTAGCCTCAAGTGATGCTCCTGGCTTGACCTCCCAAAGCATTGGGTTTACAGGCATATGCCACCATGCCCAGAATAAATGTCTTAAAATTTCACATTTTATTTTATTATTTCATTTTTTAAATTACTTTTTTATTTTTGAGATGGAGTTTCACTCTTGTTGCCCAGGCTGGAGTGCAATGGTGTGATCTCAGCTCACTGTGACCTCTGTCTCCAGGGTTCAAGTGATTCTCCTTCCTCAGCCTCCTGAGTCGCTGGGATTACAGGCACCCACCACCATGCCCAGCTAATTTTTTGTATTTTTAGTAGAGATGGGGTTTCACCATGTTGGCCAGGCTGGTCTCGAACTCTTGACCTCAGGGGATCCACCAGCCTTAGTGCTGGGATTACAACTGTGAGCCACTGCATGTGGCCTAAAATTTCGAATTTTAGGACTATTCCACTTAGAAATTTTTGTTACAAATTGAAATTTTCATAAGTATGCATATTAAAAAACAGTGTCTTGATATATTAAAACTATCCAACTATTTTAATGAAACATTACATTAATTATCCTCAGAGGATACTTAGGTGTAGCCCAATTGTTCTTGAGTGCCAAGTTGAGGGATCAGCACTTAAAGAATAAAGTTTATTGCAGAGGCAACAGGAAACGTACTTTATTAAATAAAACTTTTTTCACTGGCAATAGTAAAGAATTGCTGATGGGTCTTGAATAAGGGCAACACTTAAGAAAGATTAATGTGTTTGTGGGAGGAAGGAGACAGCCAGGAAGCAAAGACCCTGATTAAGAGACTACGAACAGTCCTGGAAAGCCAAAAACAACGGCTTTCCTTTGCGTCCTGGCAGAACAAATCCAAGTGACACTGGGATATAAATAAGAATATAATTCATGAGAGCATTAATTCACTTTGGCTGGTAGGAGAATTGGCATTTTTTGGCCCTTTCCAGGCCCTTTTTAAACCTCATGCATTGATTATTTTTATTATTAAGATTTTAAAACCCATGTTATTATTATTATTATTATTTGTGACAGAGTCTTGCTCTGTCGCCCAGGCTGCAATGCAGTGGCACGAATCTTAGCTCACCACAACCTCCGCCTCCCCGGTTCAAGCGATTCTCCCACCTCAGCCTCCCGAGTAGCTGGGATTACAGGCGCCCGCCAACATGCCTGGCTACTTTTTGTATTTTTTAGTAGAGATGGGGTTTCACCATGTTGGCCAGGCTGGTCTTGAACTCCCAACCTCAGGTGATCCGCCTGCCTCAGCCTCCCAAATTGCTGGGATTACAGGCGTGAGCCACTGCGCCCAGCCTTATTTTTTAAAAAGAGAAAATTATTAACGGATATACCCATGAACTGAATGATACAGGAGGTGGCAGGGAGGGCACTGTCTGTGTGAGGGAAACAAAGGAAGATTCAAAGATAATTCAAAAGATCAGTCTGAATGGAAGAACAGCAGTTGTAAAAATCAAAGGAAAATCAGAAGAAGTCAAGTTTTACTTAAAATGAAGAGCAGAACAGTTCATTAGAGACTATTACAATTTCCTACCTGTGTCAATCCTGATGCTTTGAATAACTCCTGTGGTGATCTGCTTCCATAATAACTATTTGGGGAATGAAGTGACAACAGTCGGCTATATATTTTGTTTCTAACCTATAAAAAACAGCATTTTATACTTTAAAAATGAATCAAGACAAACTTGGAAGATTATGGTAGTCACAATAGCTGTATTGAGAGACAATTCACCCTTTTAAAGTATACAACTTAGTGTTGTGTGTTTTGTTTTGTTTTGTTGAGACAGTCTCTGTTGCCCAGGCTGGAGTGCAGTGGTGTGATCTTGGCTAATTTTTTTGTATTTTTTGTAGAGATGGGGTTTTACCATGTTGCCCAGGCTGATCTCAAACTCCTGGACAACAAGTGATCCTCCCACCTCAAGCTCTCAAAGTGCTGGGATTACATGCATGAGCCACCACACCTGGCTTCAGTGGTTTTTTTTTTTTTTTTTTTTTTTACTATATTCAAACAGTTGTGTGACTATCACCATTATCTAACTTCAGAAATTTTTTATCACCTCAAATAGAAATCCCATAGTCACTAACAGCTACTTCTCAATTCTGCCTCCTTCCCATTCCCTGACAATTATTAATCTAATTTCTGTCTCTATGGGTTTGCCTGTTCTGGACATTTCATATAAACAGTAGATTATGGTTTTAATTACCCTATTGTACTTGCTGAAATCAAGCTATGTATGTTTACAAAAATTATCATGTATAACGGAAATATTATTAGACTTGGAATTAGAAAACTTGCTCAAGTATACTTCAAATTTAGTTCTGCAATTTACTAATCATCTTGGCAAATAAATTAAATTAAACATAATACCTATCCTTATAGTACTGTGAATTATTCAGGGCTATACAAATGCAAAGTTATAAAATTCACTTATAGTTTCTTTAACTATTAAAAAAGGAATAATGGAAATTGCCTTTTTTTTTTTTTTTTTTTTGAGATGGAGTCTCGCTCTGTCACCCAGGCTAGAGTGCACTGGCGTGATCTCGGCTCACTGTAACCTCTGCCTCCAGAGTTCAAGCAATTCTCCTACCTCAGCCTCTCGAGTAGCTGGCATTACAGGTGTGCATCACCATGCCCAGCTAATTTCTGTATTTTTAGTAGAGATGGGGTTTCACCATGTTGGGCAGGCTGGTCTCAAACTCTTGACCTCGTGATCCAGCCACCTTGGCCTCCCAAAGTGCTAGGACTATAGGCGTGAGCTATCGTACCCAGCCAGAATCTGCCTTATTTATTTACCTATTTTGGAGACAGAGTTTCACTCTTGTTGCCCAGGCTGGAGTGCAATAGCGTGATCTCGGCTCACTGCAATCTCTGCCTCCCAGGTTCAAGTGATTCTCCTGCCTCAGCCTCCCAAGTAGCTGGGATTACAGGCATGTGCCACCACGACCAGCTAGTTTTTGTATTAGTAGAGATGGTGTTTCACCATGTTGGCCAGGGTGGTCTCGAACTCCTGACTTCAGGTGATCCACCCGCCTCGGCCTCCCAAAGTGCTGGGATCACAGGCGTGAGCCACTGTGTCTGGCCAAATTTGCCACATTTAATCTCATGGTTGTTATAAAGATTAGCTACTTTATAGAAATGTACTTTAAAGACAATAAAGTTATACAAACACCCAGTACTTAGCAGGGGCAGACTTAGTTTAATTACATGACACAGCTTTCCATAAAACACATGCTTTGTATTTTCCTATGAAGGAAAACTTTCTTGTAACAGTAAAAAGACTTTTGTAAAACTAGAAGAATGGTCTTTAAACATCTTAATCAAATCCATCAATAAGTCAACCTGGGTTCCACAGAAGAATGGAAAATTAGTTATTGTGTGTGCTAATGTGAGTCTTCTGAAAAGCAGATGCCAAGACACAATTAAAATGCGAATATTTTACTAGGGGAGACGCCTACGAGAGAAAATGGGAGAGCTATGCAAGGTGGGGAGAGCTGTCAAACTGTAATAATACCTGTCTGACCTCAAGTGAATGAGAGAGGGGAGGAAGGCCGGGCCCAAGCATTCTCAGTAATGAGCCCAAGCTTACACAGCTACTGGTGGAGACAGTACACGGACCCTGGTAATGTGGCTTTAGAGCATATGCACTTAACAACTTACATTACTTAAGAATTTACTATATTCCTAGAAGAAATAGATTCCTCATTATTTTTTAATTTGAAACCAATCTAATTTTATAAATCTTGTCATAGCTTACATATTGTATATTACATCACAAGTGAATGTAGTGAGGCACTAAAAATTCTACTTTATCTAGCCATATATATAAAAACTGAGCTCCCCCAAAACTCAAACGTATATAAATCTCAACAAAAATTCATACACTGATTAGCCCCCAAAGTATGTATTTTTTCCTCTAACATTTTGTCTTGATAAAAGAATACAGCCCAAAGTTCCATTAGAGCTCACTAGCTGGAAACGTATTTAAAGCTAGCATTTTGGGATTTCCTGAAACCATAATACATACCTCTTTTTTGAAATTGAGAAAGTAGTTGGATTGGTCAACATGAAAAATCTCAAGGGCTGATCTTCTTAAATTGTAACGCCGGAGATGAATCTCTCGAATTTGAGAATGAGGCCACTTGAAATCAAAGCCTACTCCTGAAAACGGAAGAAATCTTGTGACTGAGATACCATATAAAGTTACTCATGCTAAGTAGAAAATACCTCTTAGTTCTTGACAAAAGGTTTTAGGAAAAAGGAATTCAATTTCTGTACTATATAAACCATTTGTTAAATGTGTTGGATATTTAAACTGGTTCTTTTAAACTATTTTAAAGTTCTATAACTATTCTACTGCCTTCCCATTAGAATACAATATAATTCTGAATACATCTCAGAAACAGTTTTCCTTTTCTCTGTATGCTGGCATCTTAGATTTATTCATCCTTTTATTATCACATAAAGGATGACATGAGAAGCCTATAGGAATAAGTACACATACAAAGGTATGATAAAATGAAGACTATATTAGGTTGGGTGCAGTGGCTCACACCTGTAATCCCAGCACTTTGGGAGGCTGAGGTGGGCAGATCACATGAGTTTGGGAGTTCGAGACCAGCCTGACCAACATGAAGAAACCCTGTCTCTACTAAAAAAAAAAAAAATACAAAATTAGCTGGGCGTGGTGGCACATGCCTGTAAGCCCAGCTACTCGGGAGGCTGAGGCAGGAGAATCGCTTGAACCCGGGAGGCAGAGGTCTCAGTGAGCCGAGATCGCACCATTGCACTCCAGCCTGGGCAACAAGAGTGGAACTCCATCTCAAAAAAATAATAATAATAAACACTGTATTTTGTAACTTAAGTTTACAGCAATTCCCTCTAGCCAAACCCTTAAAAATGCATTGATAATTTTTAAAAAGCATTCCCTTCCACACCTTGGTGAATAACAAATTTGACCCCTTACTGACTTTCCATTTCTCCCTTCACATGATAGTTATATCTTACTGCTTTCTTCTTCTCATTCATGATTGATAAATTAGATACTTAATTATTGAACAGCAAAAATTATTTTTTCCAGAACTCCTCACCATCTTCTTTTTCAATGCTGCCATCATAGAAGTAAATGTGTTGAGTAGTGATTTCTAATCTGCCAGGAATTACATCAATTATTGTAATGAGTTCACAGTCTTCCATCAATACCAATTTTTCTTTTTGATCCTGTTCTTCTTTCTCATCACTGTAAAAACAAGAAGCCAATAAACAGAAAAATTCAACCATTTATTTTTCTTAAATAGAAAAGAATGCCACATTTAAATATAATCTCTTTTTTTTCTTTTTTTTGAGACAAGGTCTTGCTGTCACCCAGGCTGGAGTGCAGTGGCACAATGTCGGCTCAATCACTGCAACCTCTGCCTCCTGGGCTCAAGCAATCCTCCCACCTCAGCCTCCCAAGTAGCTGGGAATACAGGTGCATGCCACCATGCCCAGCTAATTTTTATATTTTTTATAGAGGTGGGGTTTTGCCATGTTGCCCAGGCTGGTTTTGATCTCCTGAGCTCAAGGGATCCACCCACCTCGGTCTCCCAAACTGCTGGGATAATATGCATGAGCCACTGTGCCTGGCCTCAAATATAAATCACTTATCTGTCAAATTAATGTCCAGGAAAGAATATCTGAATTACCCTCAAGAAGTATTCTGCATATTAAATTACTTAAACAGTATCCAAATATTTTTATTACTCAATGATTCAGTTTCATTAAAAATAAGCTTTACATCCTGATTTTATATGACCCATTATAATAAAACACAGTGAACCTGTAAAACAATTAGCAGAGGACAGCTGAAAAATAAGGCAATATTGGTCATGTCATTTTAGTTATATTCTGGGAGACATGAATTGACCCACAAAATACAGGAATCTGTGACTAAGACTGCATTGTAGTGGTGTTTGTAAATAATAATTAGAAGTACTAAATATGAATCTTAAACTATAAAATGAGACTTTCAAGAGTAACTAAAACTAGAGAGCATTACCATCATAGCATTCCCCTAACAAGGGAACTAGAGATAATGCAAAGAGCTACTATTGCCATACCTTACTTAAAGTGAAGTCACCATATATTAGGAGGAATATTATTTATATTTGCTGGAGGAAGTAACTGGAGAGACAGTCTTTTGGTGGCCTAGGTGACTTTAACTGCCAAGTATAGAAATAGGAGCTCCTGGGTGGGCGCGGTGGCTCACGCCTGTAATCCCAGCACTTTGGGAGGCAGAGATGGACGGATCACCTGAGGTCGGGAGTTCAAGACCAGCCTGACCAACGTGGAGAAACTCCGTCTCTACTAAAAATACAAAATTAGCCAGGCGTGGTGGTGCATGCCTGTAATCCCAGCTACTTGGGAGGCTGAGGCAAAAGAATCGCTTGAATCTGGCAGGTGGAGGGTGCGGTGAGCCAAGATTACGCCACTGTACTCCAGCCTGGGCAACAAGAGCAAAACTCCATCTCAAAAAAAAAAAAAAAAAGAGAAATGGGAGCTTCTACCACTCACAGAATGTTATTCAAGTAAATCTTTTAAGCCAGCTAACTCTCTGGTCCTAGACATTTCATATCTGCCTCATGTCCAGGGTACCAATGACTAAGTCTAATTTTATTTTTAGTGGGTTTCCATGAGAAGTTCTGTATCACCATTTTAAGCTTGCAATGTTGCAATCATTTATTTAAAACTAAGCTTTTCTTTTTTTAAAAAATAATTACTGGAAAGAATGTTTTCCCAAACACTGAAATACTAATATTTACAGTGATAAATAGAGCCATGAGTAACCCTAAAAAAGTAAATAGTCTGAGGGTTATTTATATTAAATGACAAAAAGTATTTTGGTTCTTCAGTGTAAAACAAATGAGTCTGACATCCATTAAATTCACTAGTCATCAAAGAAAGAAAAAAAAAATCCCAATTACAAAGCCAACTGAGTATCTACCAAGATAGTTCCCTATATAACTGCCCCTACCCAGTACCCTGAAAATAATAAAGGAAATCTAAAAAAAATTACTGAACTAATACAAGTAAAAGTCCTGATTATGCCACCAAAGGATACTACTGAATCTAGTCAATTTGTAATATATATATATTTTTAGATGGGGTCTCACTCTGACACCCAGGCTAGAGTGCAGTGGTGCAATCTTTTTTTTTTCTCTCAAAGATTGTACAAAGTTTTATTTGACATGCCAAAAAAGGAAAAGTTAGTTTTTAATCACATGTATTAATATAATAGGTATAATCTATTAATAAATTTATAAACTTCTATAAAGCAATTAAGAAAATAAACTGAGGAACAGACTGAGTAAAAATATGCACAAAACATCTGAAAAAATTCTTGTATACAGAATATATGAAAATATCCTACAGTTGAATAAGAAAAAAGACAACCAATTAAAAAATGGGCAAAAGACTTGAACAGACATTTCACAAAGGAAGGGTCACCAAACACATAAAAAAGAACCCAACAACTATACATAAGGGAATTGCAGATTAAAACCACATCGAGAATGATCATAACAGCTTTATTCAAAATAATCCCAAACTGAAATAACCCTGGAGATTAAAGAAATTGTGGTATATTTAAACAACAAATACCACTCATCAATAAAAAATAATGAACTACTGATATATACAGTTGTGTTTCCTGAGTGAAAAGAACTGGGAACAACAGAAACATGGTATGATTCTATTTATATGAATTTCTGGAACCGGTAAAATTAATCTGTAGTGGAAAAAAGTCTAAATTGCCTTTGGGAGGATGAAGGAGGAAGGATTGATTGGGAAGAACACAGAGAATTTTCTGGGGAGAAGGTGATTTCAGTATCTTTTTGGGGTGAGGGTTATAACACAGGTTATGAGTATTTGTCAAGATTCATAAAATTCTACAGTTTTTAGAATATATAAAAAGAATATAAAATTATTTTTATATTTTACTGTTTGTAAATTTTACCTAAAGAAAAAAGGACTTTAAACAAAATTGAAATCTGTTTGCTTTTTTGCAGTGGAATGAGTTAGCAACTAATGATATGAGTTAAGCAATTCTTAAAGCACTTTCTGTGTATTCTAGGCTTGACTAAATAAGTAGGCTTATTCAGAGTAATGGTATCCAGGTTTTTCACCTGTGGAGAAGGAGTTACAAATATGTTAAAGAGAAAGTCTATATTTATTTATCTGTTTATTTCTTTTTTGAGATGGAGTCTTGCTCTGTCACACAGGCTGGAGTGCAGTGGTGCAATCTCAGCTCACTGCAACCTCTTTCTCCCAGGTTCAAGAGATTCCCCTGCCTCAGCCTTCTGAGTAGCTGGGATTACAGGCACTCACCCCCATGTCTGGCTAATTTTTGTATTTTTAGTAGAGACTGGGTTTCGGGTTTCATTATGTTGGCCAGACTCAAAACTCCTGACCTCAGGTGATCCGCCTACCTCGGCCTCCCAAAGTGCTGGGACTGCAGGCGTGAGCCACCGCACCTGGCTGAGGAAGACTATATATATATTTTTTGTGAGACTTGGTCACTGCTCTATTTATTTGAATACAATGTTGTGCTTTTTGATATTATATTAATTTGCTACAGTATTGAAGTCCTACATGTAATCACTTATTATCAAACAATATATTTTTGTTAGAGAAAATCTGATAAAATCACTGCAATCTTGCTTCATTGTAACCTCCACCTTCCAGGCTCAAACATTCCTCCCACTTCAGCCTCCCAAGTAGCTGAGACCAAAGGCTCACATCACCATGCCAAGTTAATTTTTTGTATTTTTGGTAGAGATGGAATTTTGCCATGTTGTCCAGGCTGGTCTGGAGATCCTGAGCTCAAGTGATCTGTCCACCTCGGCCTCCCAAAGTGCTGACAAATTGAGGGCCACCATGCCTGGCCCTCAATTTGTAATATTAAAATGAGCTTCAAAGAAATATTTGCCATATGTAGTTTATAATGTAAACAAATAATATATTTGGGACATAGCTACTCATTCTTGGCTGAATATGTGGCTTTATCAACATAGAAAGTTAAATATTAGGCTGGGTACAGTGGCTCACACCTGTAGTCCCAGCACTTTGGGTGGCCAAGGTGGGAGTATCACTTGGGGTCAGGAGTTTGAGATTAGCCTGGCCAACACGGTGAAACCCATCTCTACAAAAAATACAAAAAATTAGCTGGGCGTAGTGGCACACACCTGTAATTCCAGCTACTTGAGAGGCTGAGGCACGAGAATCACTCGAACCCAGGAGGTGGTGGTTACAGGGAGCCGAGATCGCGCCACTGCACTCCAGCCTAGGTGACAGAGTAAGACTCCATCTCAAAAAAAAAAAAAAAAAAAAAATCAAATCAAATCAAAACAAAACAAAACCCCCAAAACTCACATTAGGGCAGATATACAAATCATGAACTTCAAAGGTAATCCCTAAGCCATGTACAGATCCACTGGCAAAGGATGGCAGTCTTACTGGATCAAGGGGTTTGTTTATTTTAGAGATGGGCGGGTCTTGCTTATTTATTTATTTATTTTAGAGATAGGGTCTGGCTCTGTCACCCAGGCTTCACTGCAGTGGGGTGATCATAGCTTACTGCAGCTTTCAACTCCTGGGCTCAAAGTATCTTCTTGCCTCAGCCTTCCCAATAGTTAAGACTATAGGCACACACCACCACCATGCTGGCTTTTATTTATTTATTTATTTATTTATTTATTTATTTATTTATTTATTTATTTATTTGAGACGGAGTCTTGCTCTGTCACCCAGGCTGGAGTGCAGTGGAGTGATCTCAGCTCACTGCAACCTCCGCCTCCTGAGTTGGAGCAATTCTCCTGCCTCAGCCTCCTGAGTAGCTGGGACTACAGGCACGTGCCACCATGCCTGGCTAATTTTTGTATTTCTAGTAGAGACAGGGTTTCACCATGTTGGCCAGGATGATCTCAATCTCCTAACCTTGTGATCCACCTGCCTGGGCCTCCCAAACTGCTGGGACTACAGGCGTGAACCACCACGCCTGGCCTATTTTTTTTTTTTTTTTTTTTGAGATGGAGTCTAGCTCCATTGCCCAGGCTGGAGTGCAGTGGCGCAATCTCGGCTCACTGCAAGCTCCGCCTCCCAGGTTCATGCCATTCTCCTGCCTCAGCCTCCCAAGTAGCTGGGACTACAGACACCTGCCACCACACCCGGCTAATTTTTTGTATTTTTAGTAGAGACAGGGTTTCACCGTGTTAGTGAGGATGATATCAATCTCTTGACCTCGTGATCCACCCGCCTCGGCCTCCCAAAGTGCTGGGATTACAGGCGTAAGCCACCGTGCCCAGCCTCCCTGGCCTATTTTCTTAGAGAGAGGGTCTCACCATGTTGCTCAGGTTGGTCTCAAACTCCTGCCCTTTAGTGATCCTCTTGCCTCAGCCTCCTGAATAGCTGGGATTATACTCATGAGCTATAGCACTCAGCTGGATCGGGGGGGTTAAACACAACCTCTAACCAATGACTGACCACCAAGCTATGCTGACCCACAGACAATCCCTACTAGGCCAGGTTTTACAACAAAAAACAAAACAAAAAAACCCCAATGAATAGAGACGTCATTGGCAACACACAGCCGGTTAAAACAGGCTCTACAGAATTAGTTCGGGAAAGTAAACAAACAAACAAAATCACAACAGTAACAACCATAACAGAGGGAGATCAGAAGCCAGATTGGCTACAGTTTGTTACCAAAAATGTATAGTTTTTTTTACAAAAATTATGAGAAAACAAAAAGCAAAGTATGAGCCATAAACACAAAAGCAGTAAAAAGAAACTGTCTCTGGGGGACCTCTGATGTTCAATTTAACAATGGCTTCAAAGTAGCTATCATAAAAACATCAAAAGAACAAAAGGAAACTATGTTTAAAGAATTAAAGGGAATTACAGCAATGAAGCTCATCAAATAGAGACTATCAATAAAGAGACAGAAATTAAAAACGTTTAAAAAAAGAACCAGGCCGGGCGTGGTGGCTCACGCCTGTAATCCAGGCACTTTGGGAAGCCGAGGCGGGTGGATCACCTGAGGTCAGGAGTTTGAGACCAGCCTGGCCGACATGGCAAAATCCCGTCTCTACTAAAAGTACAAAAATTAGCGGGAGCATGGTGGCAGATGCCTGTAATCCCAGCTACTCAGGAGGCTAAGGCAGGAGAATTGCTTGAACCTGGGAGGTAGAGGTTGCAGTGAGCCAAGATCTCGCCACTGCACTCTGGCATGGGCGACAAGAGCAAGACTTTGTCTAAAAAAAAAAAAAAAAAAAATAGCGGGGGGCAAGTGATTTGCATATATAGTCTCCAAAGTAGATATATATTAATGGCAAACAAGCACATGGAAAGATGCTCAACATTATTAGGTACTAGGAAAATGCAAATAAGATAGAAACGACTTCAAACCATCTAGGATGGCTATAATGAATTTTTACAAAACCACAAGGAAAATAACAAGAGTTGAGGTAGATGTGGAGAAATTAGAACACTCATACCTTGCTGGTGAAAATGAAAAATGACACAGTCCCTGTAAAAAACAGTTTGGTAATTCCTCAAAAGTTCAAACAGAATTATCATATGATCTAACTATTATACTCCTCAGTAGATAACCAAGACAACAAAAAACTTATGTTTGCACAAAAACTTGTACCTGAATATTCATGGAAGTACTATTCATAATAGCCTAAAAGTAGAAACAACCTAAATGCTCATGATTGATGAATGGATAAGCAAAATGTGATTATCCATATTCTGGATAACCATAAATGGTTATAAATGGAAAATTATTTAAAATATTATTCAGCCACAAAAAGGAATAAAGTACTCTCATATGCTATGACACGAATGAATCTTGAAAACATTATTCCAAATGAAAATAAGCCAGATACAAATTGTAGGAGTTACAGAAAATGTCCAAAGTAGGCAAATCCACAGAGACAAAGTAATTAGTGGTTGCCAGGTTATGTGAGAAGGGGAAAACTGGGACCGACCACTCAAAGGTACAAGATTTCCTTTTGGGGTGACATAAATGTTCTGGAATTATATAGTAGGGATGGTTGCACAAACTTGTGAAAACATTAAAAAAACCCCACTGTATTGTATGCATTAAAAATGGTAAATTTTATGTTTGTGAGATATACCTGGATTAACAAAAATAAAGACCTCCCTGGATAAGAAACAGAGAGTTTGTGGCAATCAGACCTTCCTTATTAGAAATACTAGAGGGCTGGGTGCAGCGGCTCACTCTCTGGTGGCCTGTAATCCAAGCACTTTGGGAAACCAAGACGGGAGGATCATGTGGGCCCAGAGGTTCGAGACCAGCCTGGGCAATACAGTGAGACCCTGTCTCCGTAAAAAAATTTAAAAATGAGCTAGACATGGTGGTGTGCCTATAGTCCCAGCTACTCAGGAGGCTGCGGCAGGAGGATCACTTGAGACCAGGAGGTGGAGGCTCCAGTGAGCTGTGATCACACCACTGCACTCCAGTTGAGGTGACACAGCGAGATCCTGTCTCAAAAAAAAAAAAAAAAAAAAAACCCTACAGAAAAACACACACAAAAAAACTGGAGAAAGTCTTTTAGGCTGAAAGGAAATGATATCAGATGATAAATGAATGTACACACAAAGAAATAAAGTGCACAAGTATGATACTTGATAATTATGTAGCAAACAAAGCATAAATAACATATATTTGTTTTCCTCCTATAATTCATTTAAAGACAACTGCATAAAACAGCAACTATGAAACTGTATTACTGAACTTATACAAAGAAATGTAATACGTATGACAGTAGTGACACAAAGAGGAGATGAGGAAATTAATACATTTTACATTTGCTTAAAGAGAGCTTTTGAAGTACAAATTAAAAATTTTAAAATGTATCTAAGGCTTTTCAGGTTATCTGTTTCTTCTTGCAGAGGTTGGGTAATTTGTATCTTTCAAAGAATTTGTTTCATTAAGCTGTCAAACTTACAGGCATAAAGTTATTACTATTCTTTTCAGTCATTTTATTATTTGTGGCAATATCTCCTCTTTCAATCCTAATATAGGCAAATTATGTTGTCTTTCTTTTAATCAGTCTGGCTAGAGGTTTATGTTTTTTGCTTTTTGTTTGCTTGTTTTTAATAACCAGGCTTCAATGTTTTTAATCTTTCTTTTTGTTTTTCTCTTTCATGAATTTCTGCTTTGTCTTTATAATGCTATTTCTTTTGCTTAACAGTTTATATTTTGTGCTGTACATTTCCATCTGAACACAGGTATAGCTGAATCTCACAAATTCGATGTACTGCTTTCATTATCGTACAGTTCTAAATATTTTCTAATTTCAAGGTCCAGTTCCATGTTATCCCAGTTCTAAGAAGCCTTCCTCAATAATCTCAGTTAATACTGATAAAATCCTAACAGCTGATACAGCATTAACTGTTGGACCCTGGAAATACATGGTGTTAGAATTTCAAGCAAATCTTTTCCACGATTTTGCAATCCCCTTTCTCAGAACAAAATAATTTTAAATATTTATACATACACATTTACTCTAGCTGTTATATCCTCTTCAGGAAGGTCTAATTTATCCTCCACCATATCACTAACTTTTACTTGTTTCACTACTTCCAAAAGCAATGTATCACTGGAAGGCTGTGAGTGTTGGATACCTGTTTTAAACACAAAATATCTATTAAACATAAAGTAAAAAACAATATTATAGCCTTTCTGTAATTTCTGACTGCTAATTGTGTTCCTGACTGTTAGATATAACAATATGTATATTATAAGTAAAGACGGTACTTTGATTTAGAGTAATCCTTCACGTTTGATGGCGATTTTGACCACTACTATTCATAAGGTAAAAAGAATAAATGTTTAAAAAATAATAGTATCTATTTTTAATAACAGTATTATTTGTTTCAGAAATAGGCCAAGTACTCTCTTTATTTATATTTAATTCTAAAGGTTGCCAATAATTAAGTCAAAGGAAGAAATATTCTAATTGTATTAATGTAATAGAACCATTTTTACTGTGCATTTGTACAAAAGCAATACTAAGAATATATGACAAATTGTCTTTAATTGGGAAATAATACACAGACCAAGAGCGAAAGTGTTTACTTTCTGGACCACATGGAACTTAATACATAATTCCGAGGCAATTATATGCAATACATGTAATGTATTTTATAAACTAAACATCCTGTAAAAAGGCAGGTCTGGTATAATGAAAAGAACATGGTCTATGAAGTGGTGAACCTAGACTCAAATTTAGTTTTGCCAGTTATTAAGCCAATGACCCTTCTGAATTTATGTTTTCTAAATTGTAAAATGGAGACTTCATCACAAGGTTGTTATGTATATGAAAGGTAATATATGTGAAACATCTGGTACACATTAAATATAAAATAAATGATAGCTACTATTATATATTTATCTTCCAACTATCTGATTGAAATAAGAACAGCAATACAAATATATGCATAATTTATAGGATTGGAAAAAAAATTAACATACTTAACTTGATGAATAAAGACATTTCATTTATGGCAAAAATAATTCATACACAATATATAAAATAACACAATACTGCAAATAACTATAAATAACAAAACACTATAAAGACGACAAATCCTCCCTTAACTTCTCAAATGATACCGTTGCTCAGACATAAGATGAATCAACGTAACGTACAGCTGCATTTTTCTGTGTAAATCTGTTTGATCATACCCTCTACATTGGGAAGTAGTGATTCACATTTTCCCTAGAACAAGTTAGTAACTATTTCTACTGAACATGTTTTTTCATGAGGTCTAATTTATTGTTAAAACATTTAATTAACGAAGTACATGACAATGCAATAAAAAGTGAAAAGAAGGAAGCCTAGGTAGTCTGATACAAATAGGAAATTGACTTTATATAGATGTATGGTACTATTCTGTTAACAGTATGAATTGAAAATCTGATGAAAGATTGGTGAAGGATGGAGAATGAAGGATGGACTGCAGCAAGGAGGCCAGCTGGCAAGCTACTGTAAGTTTGGAGAAAGCACCAAGCTAAGCCATGGCAATAGCAAAGGGAATGAAAATAAGGAAAAACATTCAAAAGTTATGTAAGAGATAGAATCAACCAGACACAGTACCTAAAGAGCTATTATATGTAGGAATTTCAGAGATATGAGGAGAGACTCATGGATAATGTGGATTTTAATTTCAGCAACTAATATATGGAGATATTGATAACTACAATACCAGATACAAGAGAAGTAGAAACTAGGGTAAGGAATACACATATGAGAAAAGATAATAAATTCAGTTTCAGAAATGTCATACGGAGACTGTGTAAGAGATATCCCAACAGGCAGCTGGAAACATTGTTCTAGAGTTCAAAAGGAAGGTTGGAACTAGAAATACAGATGGGAAAGGAGCATTACATATATGGTGGGTTAGCCATGAGATCACTCAGGAAGAACACAGGTAAAAGGCAAGATTCTAGGAATGGATCTGGGAACATCATCATTTAAAGGTGTGCAGGAAAAAAGTTTTAGAAAAAAAGACTAAAAGTTGGTATAAAAAGTAGGAGGTTAAGCAGCAGAGCTAAGAAAGAAATATATTTACAGGCTGAGTGTGATGGCTCATGCCTGTAATCCCAGCACTCTGGGAGGCTGAGGTGGAAGGATCACTTGAGCCCAGAAATTCAAGACCAACCTGGGCAACAGAGGGCGACCTTGTCTCTACAAAAAAAGTTTAAAAATTAAAAAATTAGCTGGGTGTGGTGGTACACACCTATAGTACCAGCTGCTCAGGAAGCTGTGGCAAGGAGGATCACTTGAGCCCAGGAGCTCAAGGCTGCAATGAGTGGTGACTGCACCACTGCACTCCAGCCTGGGTGACAGAAAGATATCCTGTCTCACAAAACAAACAAACAAACAAAAAAAGGAAAAGAAAGAAGGAAAGAAATACACTTACAGAGAAGGATAACCACTAAATGCTTCAGAAACAATGGAAGCAAGGTGAGGACCAAAAATAAGTTGTTAAGTTTGCCAATCAGAAAACAGCATGTCTAATAGAGAAGTACAGACAAAAAAAATTTCTTAAATCAATTTTTTTTTTTTTTTTGAGAGAGGGTTTTACTGTGTTGCCCAGGCTGGAATGAAGTGGTATAATCATGGCTCACTACAGCCTCAATCTCCTGGGCTCAAGCAATCCTCTCACCTCAGCCTCCCAAGTACCTGGGATCATGGGCGCACATGACTGCACCCAGCTGACTTTTAAAATTTGTTTTGTAGAGATGAGGTCTCATTATGTTGTCCAGACTGGTCTCGAACTCCTGGGCTCAAGCAACTCTTCTCCTTGGACTCCCAAAGTGCTGGGATTACAGGTATGAGCCACCACACCTAGCCAAACCAAACCTTTTTTTTTTTTTTTTTTTGAGACAAGGTCTCACTCTGTTGCCCAGGCTGGAGTGCAGTGACACGATCGTGGCTCACTGTAGCCTCGACCTCCTGGGTTCAAGCAATCTTCTCACCTCTGAGTAGCTCCAACTACAAGTATGTGCCATGCTACAAAAAATCGTATTTTTTGTAGAGATGGGGTATCACTATGTTGCCCATACTACAAACCAAATATTTTTACTGATACATTTAAGAATATATTTACTTTTTCACTCTTCAAATTCCCTAATTTACAAGTGGGTGTGTTCCAAAAGGTGCTTCATAAGTCAGCTGTTTGAAATTAATAATGGATTTTCCATCCAAAATAATATTTTAAATCATGGTTAGCTTTGCAGGTTAGCCCATAATGAAAACACTATTCTATACATCTGCAATGGGTTGCTTATAAAAAGCAGTATTGGAGTAAGTAAAACAAAACAAGATAATATTTTAAAAAAAGAAAACCATGAATTCTGGCAGTTAACGGAAATATAGACAAAACTAAGGAGTAGACAAAACTAAGGAGTAGGCAAAACATTTTGCAGTTAATTCTGAAGTATACTTCAAAGAACTTTAAAGATATTAAAGACTGATGCCTTTTTTTATGATTTCCAATTTCACCTTGAAATATATAATTTTTTTTTCTGTACAGTTTTATTGTCACTATTACACTTGGAGTAATTTTTTTTTTTTTTTTTGAGACGGGGTCTGGCTCTGTCGCCCAGGCTGGAGTGCAGTGGCACAATCTCGGCTCACTGCAAGCTCCGCCTCCCGGGTTCATGCCATTCTCCTGCCTCAGCCTCCCAAGTATCTGGGACTACAGGTGCACGTCACTACGCCCGGCTAATTTTTTGTAGAGACAGGGTTTCACCATGTTAGCCAGGATGATCTTGATCTCCTGACCTCGTGATCCGCCCACCTCCGCCTCCCAAAGTGCTGGGATTACAGGCGTGAGCCACCACGCCCGGCTCACTTGGAGTAAATTTTTAAAGTGAGAAAAAAAAACAAAAAGAACAACTGAGACTAAGAAGGGACATAAAATTACATCTGTGTGCATGTGTCGAGGGGTGAGAAGGAGAGGAAAAAACAGAGGGAACTTTATGGAAGGAAATTTCTTGGCAAAAGTCGAGAAAATAATATGGAACACTATGCCTTAAGTAACTATTAAAGTCATTTACCAAAAGATGTTTGTTGGGTGTTAATGATAGTTACATTTCAAAGAGTAGAGAAAGATACTTACAGAAGAGGATACAAGATTCTTTCAGAGAAAAAGCTATACACAACTGGCTATTGCTATGTAAGATAACACTCAAAGTTAGTGTTTATATCATGGACAGGGCCATTATTTTGAATTAAGGAAAACCACTTACTGTATCTGATTTATTTCAAAATGTAAGACTCTAAATGGCAGGCATCATAGCTCTCTTGATTCATTTTATGGCATCAAATGTTTTGGCCATATGTTAGGGCAATTAAAAAAAATAAGATCTGGCCAGCCATGCCGGCTCAAGTCTGTAATCTCAGCACTTTGGGAGGCTGAGGTGGAAGGACTGCCACTTGAGCCTAGGAGTTCAAGACCAGCCTGGCAATATGGTGAGACCTTGTCTCTACCAAAAAAAAAAAAAAAAAAATGCTGGGCATGGCATGGTGGTATGCATTGGTAGTCCCAGCTAATCAGGAGGCTGAGGCAGAAGGATCGATTGAGCCCAGGAGGTCAAGGCTACAGTGAGCCATGTTCAAGCCTCTGCAATCTAGCTTGGTCAACAGAGAGAGTCCCAGTCTCAAAAAAATAAAAATAGTTTAAAAATAACATCTAAAAGTTGGTACTCCTGTCATCTAAAACTACAACATAATATGCCTATGACTACCAATGATTTGTTGTTGTTGTTGTTGTTGAGGAGGAGTTTTGCTCTTGTCACCCAGGCTGGAGTGCAAAGACGCGATATCAGCTCACTGCCACCTCTGCCTCTCGGGTTCAAGTGATTCTCCTGCTTCAGCCTCTGGAGTAGCTGGGATTACAGGTGCCCGCCACCATGCCCGGCTAATTTTTGTATTTTTAGTAGAGACAGGGTTTCACCATGTTGGCCAGCTCGAGGTCTCGAGCTCCTGACCTCAGGTGATCTGCTGCCGCGGCCTCCCAAAATGCTGGGATTACAGGCATGAGCCACTGTGCCGGGCCCAGTGATTCTTGATAAACAACATTTTGGGGTATTTCACAGACCTATCTTAAAAAAGGGAGAGAAGACAAGTGAGACAGTTATAAAGGAAAGGCTTCCTAAAGAGTTGCAGAAACCCGTTAAGATCTGTTTTGAAATAGTGTCAGGCAAAATTTTTGTTTGTTTTGAGACAGAGTTTTGCTCTTGTTGCCCAGGCTGGAATGCAGTGGCCTGATCTCAGGTCACTGCAACCTCCGCCTCCCGGGTTCAAGCAATTCTCCTGCCTCAGCCTCCTGAGTAGCTGGGATTACAGGTGCCCGCCACCATGCCTGGCTAATTTTTTATATTTTTAGTAGAGACGGGGTTTCACTATGTTGGCCAGGCTGGTCTTGAACTCCTGACCTCAAGTAGTTTTTTTTTTTTTTCTAGAAAAAGGCATTGGCCAATCTAAGATACTAAGGGTCTAGAGCACTATAAAAATAGGTTATAATAAAAGGCATAAAGGATTGCTAAGAATTATGGCTGGGTGCGGTGGCTCACACCTGTAATCCCAGCACTTGGGAGGCAAAGGTTGGGAGGATAACTTGAGGTCAGGAGTTGGAGACCAGCCTGGCCAACATGGTGAAACCCCATCTCTACTAAAAATACAAAAATTAGCCAGGTGTGATGGCATATGCCTGTAATCCCAGCTACTTGGGAGGCTGAGGCATGAGAATTGCTTGAACCCTGGAAGCAGAGGTTGCAGTGAGCCGAGATTGCGCCACTACACTTCAGCCTGGGCGACAGAGTGAGACTTTTGTCTCAAAAAAAAGAAAAGAAAAGAAAAAAAAGGATTGCTAAGAATTCTATCTAACATTAGTATTAGCCTCAGTCTTGATGAACAAAAAAACTAAGAGAAAAGAACATTGTTTCATTGCAAGAGACATAACAGTTGATATGAAGTACAGTATACTTTTATAATTAAAATTTTTTTTTCTTTTAGAAATTACAATCAATGGAAGTATTAAATCACCTTGGATTTAGGCCAAATGTAACAGGACTGAAAACATATAGTCACTTAAATATCAATTATAAAATGCCACCCTTCCTTCATAAGTAAACACATTTAAAACAATAAAATAACAATCGTCAACCCCACGAACACTCTCATTATCTTCAACAAACAATTAAACAGTCATTGGAACTCACCCAGATTATCTCTCAAGGCACTAGCTTCCTCATGGGTTTTGAAATTATAATTCGGTACCAGCTTAAGTCTCATGCGGGAATAATTCTCTACATTAGCTAGCTTCCAGTGAATTGGATTCTGTTTCCTAAGAATATTCATAAGCAAATAAGTAAAATTATTTAGCTTAAGTTACAAAGATTGTTTGATTTAAATAATGTAAAAAAGTATCAAGTATTTTACATTTGTTTAGTACCATTTTATTTTATTTTTATTTTTCAGAGACAGAGTCTCATTCTGTTACCCAGGCTGGAGTGTAGTGGCACAATCTCAGCTCACTGCAACCTCTGCCTCCTGGATTCAAGTGATTCTCGTGCCTCAGCCTCCTGACATAGCAGGGATTACAGGCATGTGCCCCTACGCCCAGCTAATTTTTGTAATTTTAGTAGAGATGGGGTTTTGCCATGTTGGTCAGGCTGGTCTCGAACTCCTGGCTCAAGCAATTTTCCCGCCTTGGCCTCCCAAAGTGCTGGGGTTACAGGTGTGAGCCACCATGCCCAGCCTATTTAGCACCATTTTATAAAACTGCTCACATTTTTTATCTCATTTAATCCAAATAACTCTGATAGAACCAAAGTGAGTATGCGTAGCTGCACTTTATACATGAGGAATCTAAAACAGACTACATTATTTGCCCAAGATGACATGAGGTTTACAGGTAGCAGAAATAAGATTTGAACATGGACTTTCAGACTTGACAGCTTGATACCTTTACTCTCTCACTGTTAAATGGGAGTTCTTAATTAGCTATACAGATGGTTGATATTTCCAATAGTTTTCAAAGTAAAAAATAATTTTACTACAAATAAAGGCAATATAATTGCAAGTGAATCAAAGATCTAAATATAAGAGCTAAAACTATAAAACTCTTAGGAGAAAAGATAAGGATAAAACTTCATGACCTTGGACTTGGCAATGGTTTCTTAGATATGACACCAAAAAAACCCAAAAAAACAGAAAAATAAAAACAACAACAAAATAGATTAAACTGGACTTTGTTAAAATTAAAAACTTTCCTGTATCAAAAGGGCTGCTATTAATAAAGTGAAAAGACAATCTACATACCTGAAAATCATATATATGATCAGGGTCTATTATTCGATATATATATATATTTATATATACATTCTTACAATTCAACAAAAGAAATCAAACAATCTAAAAATGGGCAAAGGACTTGCGCAGACATTTCTTCAAAGAAGATGTAAAAATGACCAACAAGCATGTGAAAAGATGCTAAACATCATTAATCATTAGGAAATGGAACATGAAATCATAAAATACCACTTTACTCTCACTAGGAGGGTCATAATAAAAAATCAGGAAATAACAAGTGTTAGTAAGAATGCGGAGAAATTGGAACTCTCACACATTGCTAGTGAAAATATAAAATGATGCAGCTGCTGTGGAAATCAGTCTGGCAGTTCCTTAGTAAATTAAACACAGAATTATCACACGACCCAGTAATTCCATTCATAGTCTATACTCAAGAGAATTAAAAACAAGTGTTCAAACACTTGTACACAAATGTTCCCAGCAGCACTATTCAAATTAGCCAAAAAATGGAAAACAATCCAAATGCCTATCAACTGCTGACTAGATAAAGAAAAGGGATATATCCTTATAAGGGAATACTATTCAGCCATAAAAAGGAATAAAGTACTGATACATGCTACTACATAATGAAAACATTATGCTAAGTGAAAGATGGCAGACACAAATAGCCACATATTGTATGATTCCATTTATATGAAATAACCAGAACAGGCAATAAATACAGTCAGAAAGCTGATTGGTGGTTGCTAGGGAGTGGGACAGAGGATAATAAGGAGTGACTTTTTAATAGGTACAGCATTTCCTTTTTAGGTGATAAAAATGTTATGAAGTTGGACAGTGGTGATGATTGTACAACATTATGAATATACTCAGTGCCAGTGAACTGTACATTTTAAAATGGTTAAAAGGATAAATTTTATGTACATTTTACCACATTTTAAAAAGGGCTGTATAAAAAAAAGATAATATAATTAAGCAAAACAGAAGTAACTGAGGATCAGTTAAGTGAATTGTAAAATATTCAAACATACAACAGCATTAGCCCTAGCTCAAAGAGGTGGTATCAGAAAGACAGAAGTAAATTGGTTTAACACTCTCTAAGAGTCTAAAGTCCAATAAACTTCATATCAAAGGGTCAAAGGAAGGCAAATAACTGTATGATAAAAAACAATACAACCTCGAATCATCCCAGACCTATAATTCATGGAAAGACAATAAATAAGATTAAAAGCACCCTTTTATGAATTGAACATTTAAGAAATTGGAGTGAAAGGGGGCATTTGCTCAAAAATTTCTAGACCAGAGTACTAAAGAAAAAGGAGTACTTAATAAAATTATATCCTCTTACCTTTTAGCCCAAGGTCCCCTTTCACATGTAAGATAGAGCTGTATTGCTTTCCAGCGTCTAAGAGTGGCTAACTGTTGACTGCTAAGTTGTTTAAGCATATTATTATACCTCAGGTTCTCTTGGCGTGCTTTTCGATTAAATGGCTCCACAAACAGCTCCTGAAAGAAACAATAAAAAGTAAGGTCATTGACTCATATATTTACAGGTATATTTACATTTTAATTCCATAATTTAAAATTTTTGACCAATAAAATCTTGCATTATGAGAAAGAAGCTAAGTAACCAATAGGCTTTTCTTATTCCATTAGAATCATTTTCTTTGATGAAGTGTGATATAATTTTACCTATAATCTATTTATATTTTTTAAAACTTAAAAAAAAAACCAACCAACAATAAACACGTGAAGAACTTCAAAAATGGAAAGTGCCTCAACACAGAACTTTTAAACTCAAGATAATTAACCTCCTACTTACTGTCAAGTAAAATAATTTTCCTCTGGGATCTTTTGATTTATAAGGCATCTAAAATGAGACTCAAGAGGAAAGAAAGTAGAAATTGTATACTACAAAGACATAATTTTAATCTGTGAAATTAATGCTTATAGGTTTCAAAGAAACAAACCGAAGACTGGCTTATCTAACTCACATCAATATTCATCTATTAGAAACTAAAATGACAGCATTAATTTGTTTCAAACAAACCAGCACTGAATTACATTAAAAAGAACAGTTAAAATTTTAAACAGTTTTAGAGAGACATTACAGCAATGTGTGGTTAAAAATACATGCCTTGGAGTTAGACCTGGATACAAATCTTAGCTTTTCTGAGCTAATTTTCTTATCTAACTTTATCTTTAGCTTAGTTGTTTCTCTTAGCTAATTCTCTGAGGCTCAGTGTCCTCTCATGTGTAAAATGAGGTTAACAATAACTGTCATAATAAAGATGAACATTTAAAGTACTTAATATAGTGCTAGAAAAATAGCAAGTTCTCAATAACTTGTGGTTGTCGTTATTATAATTGTTATTGTTAACTATTATTAGACTTAGTAGGAAATCAATTGTTTTGGAATACAATGTTACTAAATATTTAAAACAGATCATTGC
This sequence comes from Homo sapiens, assembly GCF_000001405.40. Lineage (NCBI taxonomy): Eukaryota > Metazoa > Chordata > Mammalia > Primates > Hominidae > Homo > Homo sapiens. The sequence continues at coordinate 203,148,043 of NC_000002.12, read as the reverse complement.
TGAGAAAACTAAGGAAGTCATGACAGCTCCATGGTAATTAAACATAAATTCCACAGTTTTGAGGTTCAATAATATGAGGATATTCTTAAATTAGGTATTTCTAGAAAACCTAAAGGTAAAGTTAAGGGGAAAGTGTTGATGAGAATACAAACTGGTAGAACTTCTCTCAGGGAAATATAACAGTATTTATCATAAGGACTACACACTAGTAATTCCACTTATCCTAGAGAAATCTTCTTGGATAGCCACAAAAATATAACTATAGGGATGTTCAATACTATTTATAATAAAGAAAAAAACTAGTAAATGAGTCTAACAATGGGAAATAAATTTAAATGTACTAATATATAAAACAATGGAATACTTTGCAGCCCGGCATGGGAAGATGTTTACAATATATTTTAAGTTAAGAAAGGAACAATGTTCTCATTTTGGCTTAACCAAATATATACACCTTAAAATTACTTAAGACTATTGAGTCTTCCAATTCATGAATACAGTGTCTATCTGTATTTATTTAGGTCTTCTTTAATCTGTTTCAAGTGTTTTTTAGTTTTTGGCATATATACAGCAGATGCTGTATATATTTTGTTAGATTGATACCTAAGCATTTTATTATTTTTAGAGCTATTGTAAAAGTATTTTTAGAAAATCTGTTTCCCATTCATTACTCATTGCTAGTGAACAGAAATATGATTAAATTTTGTGTATTGATTTTATGTCCTGTAGCCTTGCTAACCTTGCTTATTTGTAGTAATTTACTGGTATAACAGAGTCCTTAAGACTTCCTACACAGAGAATCATGTTATCTTTGGATAGTTTTATTTTTTCCTTCCCAATGTGAATGCTTTTTTATATATTTTTTCTATTCTTACTATACTTGCTAAGATTTGTGGTACAACAGTAACTAACAGTGGTGAGAATGAATATCCCTGCCTAGTTCCCTATCTTAGAGAAAAGTACTCAGGTTTTCGCCTCTGAATATGAAGCTAGTGGTAGGATTTTTGTAAAGGTTTAAGTATTTCCCTTCTATTCCTAGTTTGCTGAGAGCTTTGATTACAAATGGATGTTTAGTTTTTTCAAGTGCTTTTTCTGCATTTACTGATATGATAATGTAGTTTTTCTTGTTAAGACTACTAATGCGGTTCAGTATATTAATTAATCTTCAAATGTTGAACCAGTCCTGCATCCTGAGGATAAATTCCACTTTGTTGTGTCATATATTATTATTACCATTATTATTATTGTTCTTGAGACCGAGTCTTGCTGCTCATCTACACTGGAGTGCAGTGGTGGGATCATGGCTCACTAAAGCTTTGACCTCCTATACTCGAGTGTTCCTCCCACATCAGCCTCCTCAGTAGTTGGGACTACAGGTGCGTACCACCACACCCAGCTAATTTTTAATTTTTTTGTAGAGATGGAGTCTCCCTATGTTACCAAGGCTGGTGTCGAACTCCTCACGTAAAATGATCCTCCCACCTTGGCCTCCTAAAGTGCTGGGATTACAGGCATAAGCCTCTGTGCTTGATCTAATGTATTATTTTAAAAATGTATTGCTAGATTTGTTTTGTAGCTATGTTCCTGACAGATACTGGTCTGCAGTTTTCTTGTACTATTTTTCTATGATTTCACTATGAGGGTAATATTACCCTCATCAAATGAGCTAGAAATGTTCCTACTTTTCTATTTTTGAAGAGACTGAGAAAGTGGCATAATTTCTCCATTAAATGTGTGGTAGAATTTGCCAGTGAAACCATCTGGGCCTGAAGTTTTCCCTTTACGAAGGTTTTTAACTATAAATTATATTTCTTTAATAAATATAGGACTTTTCAGGTTATATACTTATTCTTGAACTAGTTTTGGAAATTTGTGTCAGTCAAAAAATTGATCCATTTCATTTAAGTTGTCATATTTATGTGCATAGAGTGGTTTGTAGTAGTCCCTTATTACAATGTTGATGTCCGGGGAGTCAGTGGTGATACTGCCTCTTTCTTTCCTGGTATAAATAATTTTTCACATCATTCTCTCTCTCCTTTTTTTTTTTGTCAATCTTGCTAGAAGTTTATCTGTTTTATTGATATTTTGAAGAATTCGACCTTGGTTTCATTGATTTTCTCTATTATTTTTCTGATTTCAATTTTATTTACTTCTGTTTTTATCTTTACTCATTCCTTACTTTTGCTTATAAGGATATGGATTAATTCTGTTTCTCTGTTTTTCTTTCTTTTTTTTTTTTTTTTTTTGAGATGGAGTCTCACTCTGTTGCCCAGGCTGGAGTGCAGTGGCATGATCTCTGCTCACTGCAACCTCTGCCTCCCAGGTTCAAGCAATCCTTCTGCCCCAGCCCCCTTAGTAGCTGGGATTACAGGCACATGCTACCATGCCCAGCTAATTTTTGTATTTTCAGTAGAGGTGGGGTTTCGCCATGTTGGCCAGGCTGGTCTCGAACTCCTCATCTCAGGTGATCCATCCACCTCGGCCTCCCAAAGTGTGGGGATTACACGTGTGAGCCACCTCGCCCGGCCATTTCTCTAGTTTCTTAAGGTAGAAACTTAAAATTTGATGCCTTTTTCTTTTCTAATATAAACATTATGTCCTGTAAATTTCCCTCTAAGTGATGGTATGTATCCAGCCTCCTTAGAGGGATCTATTAACGTACTATCAGCTTAATAAACTTTTTGCATAATCACTATATAGAACATTTTACTATTAATTGATCTTGTTACTGATTAGCTGTTTTTCTTCTAATTCTAAGATAATTTTTAGACAAATAAAAGAAATACTGCTTGTTTTAAAGTTTGGGGCCTGTATTACTCTTAATCAATATTAAATGCCTAAAATCAACAAGAAAAACTAGATATTAAAACATTTACTTTTTACCTGAAATTTGAGCTTGCTTTCCCCTCCTTCCCGGTCTCGTTTATGCATATTTACCATTAAAGCTTCATAACAATCCTTCCAATAAAGTGCCATGTTCTCATGACCATCGTAAAATGTATGAGCTTCATACTGCTTCATATAAGGTACAATCTTACCAAAAAAATAAAAAAGATACATAAAATTTAATATATGACTTCACCTCTATAAAAATGGTAAATTAGCAGAAAAATCTTGATCAAAAAAGATAAAACTTACATATTTTTCAATGTAAACTTGCCATTCATTTGAATTACAATATTCTTGAAAATCTTCAAAAAATGAGGAGCTACCATTGGTAAAAGGTAAAGAAGGTAGGTGCAAGTTCATGAAGAGAAGCTCATAAATTTTGGAAACCAGGGTACGAACAAGGGGAATCAGAAATGAGTAGATTTCAGTCTGTTCCTTGATTGATTGACTTAGAACATGTTCCAGCTTCCCTAAAATGTAACATGCTTCATCCTGATTTTCAATCACTTTGGTCTGAAGAAGGGTATTTAGCTTAGCTGATGCCATTGCACAAACCTGGAGGAAAACAGTTTAGATGAGAAAGAGCAGACTAAAGCAAACATTTAGTGAAAGCACAAGTTCTGCCTGGCTCTGTGGATTCAGAATTTTTACATAACTGTCAAGAACTGTGAAAGGTCTCAGATGTTACTTTGCCTCCAAGCTAAAGGGTTAGCTGCTACAGTTTCACAGGTATTGGCAGAAGACACAAGACTCCTGAGTCAGAGACCAAGATCTACAGCAATAGCAGTAGCCAGAGTATCAGCATTTGCATTGTTTTCTCAAAGTGCAATTCCCACAGTGAGAGATGAAGAGGACTAGATGATGTCTGCACATGTAGACACATTTTAGGAGAGAAACCACCAGTATAAAGAGAACCCAAATCTTTTTTTTTTTTTTTTTTTTTTGAGATGGAGTCTCACACTGTTGCCCGGGTTGGGGTGCAATGGCTTGATCTCGGCTCACGGCAACCTCCACCTCCTGGGTTCAAGCGATTCTCCTGCCTCAGCCTCCCAAGTAGCTGGGATTACAGGCGCCTGCCACCATGTCCGGCTAATTTTTTGTATTTTTAGTAGAGACAGGGTTTCACTATGTTGGCCAGGCTGGTCTTGAACTCCTGACCTCGTGATCCACCTGCCTTGGCCTCCCAACGTCCTGGGATTACAGGTGTGAGCCACCGTGTCCAGCAAAGGGAACCCAAATCTTTTATACCGGGCAGCAAACTTGTCTGATTTTGCTATGGAGGGAGACATTATCTTTATTATATTGGATAGTAAACAAATCTTCCCTTTTCTCTGGAGGAAGACATAACCTCTATCTTCCAAAGTTGCTCATATGAACAACCTCAAAAATCTAGTTCATAACAAAGGCAGCCAGAGTCACTATTCAAGATATATAGAAACACAAGAGACCCATGGAGAACTGTCTACCAACAATGGCTGTAGGAAAAAGCACTCTCTTTCTCTGGATATGAAAGAAGTAGCATACAGCCCTAATTGCTATTGGCAGCTGTTCTGTGTCCATAAGGGAAGCCAGCTTAACACAAGCTGACAGATGATGGAGAGTGGTGCTGTGAGGACAGCAAATAAATGGAACTGGAGCCCTGACTGAATCCTGCTTAAACTCACCTTAACTATGAAATTCTAAACTATATGAGCAAAAAAATCTTCTTAACTAAGTCAATTTGGCTTGATGTTTCTGTTATTTGAAATCAAAATATTTTGATACATAAAGAACAGGTATACAGGAGTCCAAGTCCTTGATCAGAAACCGAACTACCCTTAAAATTCCCGAGTAATATACATAGTCAGGGCACAAGCCCAGACAAAGAAATACTGTATACTACTACTAAGCTTTGGCCTTAATCCCCAGTGAGGAAAGGTAAATTAGATCACTAGGGGTTTCCTTTTTCCTTGGCTACAGAAAGATCTAAGTCTTAAAATTAAAGCAGGAAAAATGACATATTGTGACTCCTTCTCCCTTAACCCTATATCCTCACTTGGATCTATATTACTTCCCAAATAAATAAAAGCAAAATAAAATTAAAAAGTATTAGAACCTGAAACCACTTCAAGAATGTATTTGTGCCAAAAGCTGGTCTGCGCTGTACACACAGGTCTTTGCAGGATAAGGCAACAAGAGACTTCAGGTACTCTTTCCATGTAAATCTTAGCAATGTAAACAGCATTGGAGGAAACGATCTCTAACATGACTCAAAGCTCTGACTTCTCTACCCTGCTCATATTTTCCCCCAACCCATCCCTCTTCCCACCTTTTAGTTTTTGAATCCGACTAAAGGAACTGAATTCCAAGAGTCCAATAAATTAAAGAAAAAAAAGTCATACAATCCCTACATCCAGGAAATACCAATGTAATATTATGGGCTTTTTTTTGGTATGTGTTTAAGAAAATACTATTTACATAAAAAGTTAAATATCCAATGTTTTGCTTTTAACTTAATGTCATTAAATTAAATAAACACTAAGTTTACACATTTATTTAAAAGTACCAAGGTACTTTTAATGAATATAAGATAATTTACTTGACTACTGCTTTAATTTTGGATACTGACATATTACATACATATATTGCTTTCTTTTCCCTCATTATAAATAGTCTTGCATTAGGGTCACCTGAGGAGTTACAAAAAATACTGATGCCCAGGCTGGGCATGGTGGCACACACCTGTAATCCCAGCACTTTGGGAGGCTGAGGCGGGCAGATCACCTGAGGTCAGGAGTTTGAGACCAGCCTGGCCAGCATGGCGAAATGCCATCTCTACTAAAAATACAAAAATTAGCTAGGAGAGGTGGCACATGCCTATAATCCCAGCTACTTGGGAGGCAGAGACCAGAGAATCACTTGAACCCAGGAGGCGGAGGTTGCAGTGAGCCGAGATTGTGCCACTGCACTCCACCATGGGCAAAAGAGCAAGACTCTGTCTCAAAAACAAAAAAAAATACTGATGCCCTAGTCTCACCCCATTCTGAATTAATTACTATGGGTGATGCCCTACATAGGTATTTTTAGAATGCTCCTCTAGGTGATTTAATGTGCAGCCCAGGGATGGGAATCATTGGCTGAGCTAAGGCAACAGGGGGAGTAGGGAACAGGCTAACCGGAGACACTATATACAACTAAATGAATCAACAACCATGCAGTCCTATTTTTGAAAGAAGCTGGGAAATCTTAGTTTTTATGTAAAATTTTTAATACTTAAATACTGGCAATTAATTAACATGTATGAGCCAAATAAAACAAGTTTGCAGGCAGCTCTATTATAACCCCTATACAGAAAGAGGTTCCTGTTCTAGCCTTTAATGTGTACAACCTCAGGGAAATATGTTTTTATTTCTGAGAGAATAAAATTACACAATAGGCTAGTGAGAAATGTTTTAGGTCACTAACCACTAGTAGACAGAATCAGTCTCATCTGGGCCAGGTGTGGTGGCTCACACCTGTAATTCCAGAACTTTGGGAGGATGAGGTGGGCGGATCACATGAGGTCAGGAGTTTGAAACCAGCCTTGCCAACATGGTGAAACCCCACCTCTACTAAAAATACAAAAATTAGCCATGTGTGGTGGCACACGCCTGTAGCCCCAACGACTTGGGAGGCTGAGGCTAGGGAATTGCTTGAGCCTGGGAGGTGGAGAGATTGCAGTGAGCCGAGGTTGTGCCACTGTACTCCAGCCTGGGTGATAGAGCTAGACTCCATCTGAAAAAAAAAAAAAAAAAAAAAAAAAAAAAAAATAATAATAATAATAATAATAATAATCTGTCTTATCTGTAGGTGCTGTGCTTGTACTTATAAAGCCCCTATTATGGAATGGGCACTGAATACTTAATTGTGAACTAAATAAATACACATTTTGTTTAGGAAATTTCATCAAATTAAAAAACACTGAGGGTAAACTACAAATGAAAGAAAAAAAAGTCCTAACATCTAAAATAAAGAACTATCTAGCATGCTAACTGCAACTACTTTAGCAGTCATTAGGCTAAATTTAATGAAAAAGCCAAAAAGGCTATCCTCATTCTACTTCTAGGTTGAAAAAAAAAAGAATACTATAATGAACATCTATGTGTATAAAGGTGGTTCTGTATTTTATTTTAATTAATTAATTAATTTATTTATTTTGAGACAGAGTCTTACTCTGTTGCCCAGGCTGGACTACAGTGGCATGATCTCGGCTCACTGCAACCTCTGACTCCTGGGTTCAAGCGATTCTCATGCCTCATCCTCCCAAAATGGGGTTTCGTTATGATGGCCAGGCTTGTCTCAAACTGCTGGCGTCAAGTGAATCCACTCACCTCGCCCTCCCAAAGAGCTGGGATTACAGGCATGAGATACTGCGCCTGGCCAGTTTCATATTTTAGATATTACTTTAGAATTAGTTTCAGAGTAGAATTACTAGACAAAGAGTATAATCATTTTTTTTAAGTTCTTAGTTCATATATTTAAAAATTGCATTTAAAAGTCTGTATAATTCAAAATTCCACCATCTGTGTACTTTAATGCCCATATACTTGTTTAGCTTTTCCATATTTTCCAAGTTTTCTACAATTGAATATGTGTTACTTTTAGGATGAAAGGAAAAAAAAACCCTATTAGTAACACAGGGAAATGAGTTTTATATAATAGTAAGAAAAAGAAAAAACACAAATCATCCGAAAACATGACATCTGAAAAAGATATATTCATAGAACAAGAAAGAAGTAACGTACTAAAATGCTAATAGTTATTTTCTCTTACGTTATGCTGAATTATTTATTTTTTCCTCTATGCTTTTGTGTATTTTCTTTTTTTTTTTTTTTAACAGAGTTTTGCTCTTGTTGCCCAGGCTGGAGTGCAATGGCGTGATCTCAGCTCACCACAACCTCTGTCTCCCGGGTTCAAGTGATTCTCCTACCTCAGCACCCCAAATAGCTGGAATTACAGGCATGCGCCAGCACGCCCGGCTAACTTTTTTGTATTTTTAGTAGAGACGGGGTTTCTCCATGTTGGTCAGGCTGGTCTCAAACTTCGGACCTCAGGTGATCCGCCCGCCTCGGCCTCCCAAAGTACTGGGATTACAGGCATGAGCCACCACGCCCAGCCGCTTTTGTGTATTTTCTACAATGAGTATGTGTTACTTTTACAATGAAAAATAAATATCTATTAAAAATAGAATTACTTCTATGCAGCATTCACAATAATATAAATAAAAATAAAAAATAGAATCATCAGACTATACTCCTTTAAAAATAGAGTGACCGGGGGCAGTGGTTCACACCTGTAATCCAGCACTTTGGAAGGCTGAGGTGGGCAGATCACATGAGGTCAGGAGTTTGAGACCAGCATGTCAAACATGGTGAAACTCCGTCTCTACTAAAAACACACAAAAATTTGCCAGGCATAGTGGCAGGCACCCGTAGTCCCAGCTACTTTGGAGGCTGAGGCACAACAATCGCTTGAACCTGGGAGGTGGAGGTTACAGTGAGCCGAGAGCCACCGCACTCCAGCCTGGAAGACACAGAGACACTCTGTCTCAAAAAAAAAAAAAAAAAAAAAAAAAAAAAGGTGGGGGTGGGCAACCTGTTGTCAGAATTTTAACCTCTCCATGTTCTTATTAATATTATATCTAGTTTATGTAAATCAGAAGCCAGACACACTCCAACCTCCCTGCACCAAATAAAAAAATGGAAACATCAAAATAAAATAAAAAGGGCCAGGTAAATAGCTGTGAAAATCTTATCATGACTAATCTAACCCAGGTTCTCACAAGTACCATATGTAACTAGAAAAGTGAGAGACTAAAATTCACATCAAACTTTTTCAGCCTTTTCCATTTTAAATTTAAAACAGAAATAATAAATATTCCTTGTGACCAATATTTATCTTCATATCTAAAACCTAGCACAATGCTTAGTACTTTGTAGGTAGTGTGTGATAAATAAAAAAAAAATATGAGATAAAATGTAAAATTGTGAATTAGTAAAATAGCAGAAAAAATTTAAAAGGAATAATTTAAAAAATAATTTTTCTAAAAAATTCAAGCCCTAAACTGCACATATATAAACAGTCTACACAGGCTACCTAGCACCTGAGTAGTTACATTCAATACAGATGATATGAGCAATGTTTCTAATATAAGCTATGTATAAATCCTGTAAAAGGAAGCCTTAAAATTATATAAAGTTATTAATATCAGGAAGAAATAACAAATTAACTGCCTCTCAAGCTCCTCAAAACTCCAAATGAAATCATGGATACTTTTAGAACTAATGAAAAACTTAAAATACCAAAAAGACATTTTAACTGGCTTGTTACATAAATAATACCTATGCTGCATGCAAGCACAGAAAATAATATAAAAGAATGGACAAACCTGCAAATTACCCCTTCCAATGAATCCTAGAAGCAACTGGATCTGAATTTGAGAGAGTTTTACCCATACTGGACTTTCAGAATAGCAGACTGACAGACAGTCAAAGAGCAGCATCATATCCTCTAAAAGCTATCACAAAGGAAAAAAATTGAGAAATAAAAACATTCAGTTTTTCAATTTACTGATGATCAATTTTCCCCAACATTAATACAAACCACAAATATTTCAAAAGCTAGTCCAATGTTCAGTTGACAAAAGCCAAAAGAATCATCCTAGTAATAGCTAACAAAAATCTGTGACTATTCATCACATCTTATCCTTGTTTATTGAATCTGATTAAGCATTAACGCTCTAAAAAGAGGGGGTGCAAAATTTTTCTTTGAATAAAGTTCTTAACTACCCAAAATATAATTTTAAAGAGATATTACTGCACCTTCTCGGTCCACATGTTTGAATTAACTAGTCCCTCTGACTGAAGAAAGTCCTGTATGATCAGCACTAGTCGGAAGGCGTTTTCAGCAGTTACTGGATTAGTTTTTGCTTCTCTGTTTTCTGAGATTGCCCATTCTAACATCTTTTGTAGCAAACTAAATGGAAAACAAAGTCCTCTTAAAACCATTGTGAGCTTAGAAAAACAGTAGGACATTAAAAACAAAACAAAATAGCTTGAGAGGCAGCACTGTATCTCTAAAGATATACTATCTCTAGCAGGTATCCCTAAGATACTGTAAATGGAAATTGAATTTTTTTTTTTTTTTGAGACGGAGTGCAGAGATCGCTCTTGTCGCCCAGGCCGGAGTGCAATGGTGTGATCTCGGCTCACTGCAACCTCTGCCTCCTGGGTTCAGGCGATTCTCCTGCCTCAGTCTCCCGAGAAGCTGGGATTACAGGCATGCACCACCATGCCCGGCTAATTTTTGTATTTTTGGTAGAGATGGGGTTTTGCCATGTTGGATAGGCTGGTCTTGAACTCCTGACCTCAGGTGATCCACCTGCCTTAGCCTCCCAGAGTGCTGGGATTACAGGCATGAGCCACCATGCCAGGCCTATAAATGGAATTTAACAACAATGGAGAAACGTTGAAATGTTTGGAGTATTTATCTTTAATATACATAGTATTAAAAGTCAAAAGTTTCCTGTTTTACTTGACTATAAAAAAGCTATGACAATAATTCATATTCCATCCTTCATGAGATACTTAAATTAGTTTCTTTAAAGCTGGAAATTGGCAAGGTTAGGGAAGAAAGCCTTATTATGCCTTACAGAGAGTCTTGCCCTGTGGAAAAAAGATGTAATACTTCCCCGGTGTACTACCATTACAGAGTCCTATTATCTACAGCAGGGGTGTCCAATCTTTTGGCTTACCTGAGCCACACTGGAAGAAGGACTGTCTTGGGCCACACATAAAATACACTAATGATATTTTAACGATATGTTTTAACAATAGCTGATGAGCTTAAAAAAATCACAAAAAAATCTCATAATTTTTTAAGAAAGTTTATGAATTTGTGTTGGGCCACATTCAAAGCCATCCTGGGCTGCATGTGTGGCCTGCAACCTGTGGGTTGGACAAACTTGATCTACAAGGAACCCTAAATCCTTCAGAGAAATAATTATCATGAAAACCCAACTCCGTTCTCTTAGCACGGAAACACTCAAATTTGGACAAGCCTGTAGAAAACAATGTATCAAGTCCTCAAATACTGCAAGAAAACAGTTTAAACAAAAAATCTGTAATCACTTATGACCCAAATTTACTTAAGACTTAAACCTCCTCATACTGGAATGAGTTTGGGATTCCTCTTTAGATCCTACTAATACGGCAAAAGATAGGAAAAGGAACTGAGCACAAAGTTTCTCTTTTTCTCCCTTGTTATATCCACAGAATACTGAATAAATGTTCAATAACTAACGTTATTTTAGACTCCTGCTGTCACCAAAAGGAGGATGGAAAATCACTAACTAAATGCTTACGTTAGTTTTATTTCATCTGATGGTCGAAGTAGTTCACTGGATATTCCTGGTTTACTTAGTGCTGAAAACACTTGTCCTCGTTCAATCCAAGTATCATCATCAGACTTTTCTAGTCCCTTACACATTACATAATTCAAAATATGTGTCAGTAATTGAAGAAGCTCCTCCTCACATCTCTATGGAAAATATAAAGTAATTTTAAATAACTAGAGGGTGTAGTTGTTCAAAGCACATCATAAGAACCATTACATATACTCATTGTAATCATTTAACATATTTTTAAAGTCCTTAATGAACCTGGAACTTTACTAGGCCCTAGAGACATAAGATGAGTAAGACATTAGCTTTGCTCTCAAAAAACTCACAATCTAGTGACTTCCAGGTTTCTAAACCTTAGATCATGAAACTTAGAACATGAATACAATATGAAATTGTTAACAACTGCTCACATATTTCTAAGGATTAGAAGTATATATCAGACATGAAAATAAAAACAACATTTGGAAAAATAAGCAATTTTACCTCTTGGCTTTCAAGTAAAGAGAAGTCATCACTAAAGCCCATATCATTTGTGATGCTGCTTTCTCTGTCAGAGTGCACAGAAAACGATTTAGTAGACTCTACTGGGGATGGTGTGCTAGGCAGACTGTCTGGCACTTGACTTCCACTATCACTCATTTCACATGAGTCAATTCCACTGAGGTCTAAACTCAAATGTGAAGGGTTACTATGCCAGAATTCCTCTTGATTCTCTGATTTGAAAGACAATTCTCCCACAGAGCTATCTTCTGGAAATAATGGTGTGTTTGAGTCTAAAGAGTGTCTATCCTCCAAACTCCACTGATCCGAAGACACATTAGCTGAGGCAAAAGAGGTGATTTTTTCCTCATCTGTTTTTTCATCAGAGTTCTTCTTGGTATCTTCAGTTGACATATTTTTATCATTGTCTTTCATTAAAACAGCTCTACTGTGCTTATGAAGAGTATTTCCGTTTTCAAATTTTGCTTTTAAAAAAAGCCTAACTAAGGTGTCTTGCCAACCCACTTGCTGTGATATTTGATGTGCTGCATCTGGCTGGAACTGCAAAATTTGCAAAACCTGTAAAAAGATTTAGAATACAAAATTCTTCAAAAAGTACATAGTACTTTATATCAAAAATAATATTTTCAGTTATTTTAATGATAAGGTAATTTAATGAGAAACTATAGAAGAATATACTTTCAAAAGATTATATTCTTAATTAGATTATAAACTATTTGGAAGACTGGCACTGTGTTTCCAACTAATCTCCATATTACTCATTGTACAGAGTAAGAGTACACTAAAATATCTGCTGGAAGATAAAAAAGAAAAATTAAAATGAATAGGATGATGGTATATGTTAAATAATAGAGTAATATCCTCTCAACTAAATACTTTCCATGAGCCCCCTACATTTGTTCAGGAAATATTATTGCACACCTACTATGTGCTAGGCACAGTTTTAGGCACTAGCATTAGGGGAGTGAATAGGACACATAAGACATTTTGATAGAAACTGAGTATACCAAGGATGTTTTTCTGTCTCGTTTTTTTCAGGGAAAGTTAAGTTTTTTTTTTTTTTTTGAGACAGGGTCTTGCTCTGTCGCACCAGTGCAGTGGTGCGATCTTGACTCACTACAACCTCCGGCTCCTAGGTTCATGCAACTCTCCTGCCTCAGCCTCCCGAGTAGCTGGGACTACAGGCACACAGCACCACTCCTGGCTAATTTTTGTATTTTTAGTACAGACAGGGTTTCACCATGTTGGCCAGGCTGGTCTCGAACTCCTGACCTCCTGTGATCTGCCTGCCTCGGCTTCCCAAAGTGCTGGGATTACAGGCATGAGCCATGGTTGCTTTTGCAAAAACTTTTTTGTTCAGTATGTCTACACTAAAGTCTACATTGCTTAGTAAGTCTATATTATACAAACAGAACAAAAACTAAACTTTAATTCCAGAAAATGAATTTCAGCAAGATGGATGCCACTGCTTAGCTAGAATAGTAAACAGTGACATGAGAATACGTATGATCTCTACTATCCAATTGATTAAAATTTTTAGATAAAAACAAGTTCTTAAAAAGCTTTAGACATTCAGTTAAGATCTTTTAAGACAATTTTATCACAAAGTCAATAAACTTCTATGTAGATGAAAAGAACTCTAGCTTCCAGGGTTTTGAGTATCTCTCTTAACAGAAGTTTTAGCTCTGACAATTTTCAGAGCAAGAGATGAACAATGTTGGTAAGGACTTCAATATTACTAGTACTAATACATGTTGATACAGAAGGCAAGGAGTCACAATGACGTGAAGATTCTTTCTTTATTAATACAATATCAATCAGTGAGCAACTGTTACTTTATAGGTGCAGAATAACAATTTTTTTCTTCCAGATTAAGCTTTACTTGGCAAAGAAACTTTTCATGCTGACTTTAAAGTTTCCATAAAATATGACTTATTTTATATCTATTTTATACATAAATAATAGATAAAACCAAGCTGCACTGAGAGCTGTTTCTAATTATACGTGAAAAGGAAAGGATCAATTTATATGACCTGCTCCAAATACTCAGAGCTAAGTACATAGGGAAATAATCACTGTCACACACACTGTTTGTATAAATGTAAACTGGTACAGTTATTTTGAAGGACAATGTGGAAAAATCCATCAAAATGTAAAACGTTAATACCCTTTGAAACAGCAATTCTATTTCATGGAGTATGTCCTACAGATGTATTACCACAAATTGGAAAACATAAAAAGACATTCATAACAGCAGTTTATAACATGGAAAAGCAGGAAACAACCTAAATGTCTATCAATAAGGAACCAGATAATACTTTATTAAATAGCCATACAATGAAACACTATGCATTTCCATTAAAGAGAAAAGGAAATTATACATATATATTATACAACAAATATATATATTTTTCTTTTCTGTCAGTTAAACAAATAAATTATATATGTGTGTGTATATATGTGTATATATATATAAACTCTATATATAGAGATCTCTTATTCTCACACACACATATATATATATATATATCAAGAACTGTGACAAAATCATGAGGTAAAATAAAAAAAAGAAAAGCAAGGAAGCAAATTAAATAGGTCAATGGTTACTAGTGGAGGACAGAGAAAGTTATGATCTGAAAGGGGAAGACAGGATAACTATCTCTTGACTTAGTTAAAGGTTAACTGTGTACTAAAGACAAATCATTGTTGGAATACTCCTAAACAAATTATAGAAAATTATTTCCAGAAAGTTTCAAAAGATTCAGAAACTCTATAATATGGTATATTAATTAGAAATGGTCACAATCATTGAAGGTTCTTAATAAGAAAATTATTCTCTGGTAATACATTTTTGACTCTGGAAAGAACATATTTGCAGGAGACCACGAAGAACTAAGAAAACATTCACATGCTAATTTCTTATGATAACATGAAGTTAATTTACTTCAAAAAGAAAATTGTTTACTTATAAAATTACGTCATTTATAAAATAAATGAAAACTTGTATCTGCTGCAAAATAATGCAAAGTTATTTATAGCATGATGGTGATGCTGCTATCATTAAAATATATCTTAAGAGTTTACTGACCTTTCTGCAGATGGCCACTCTAACATTTATATGTGCTCTGTGAGATATATATACCACAGATAGTAGATCTTTGAAATTAATAACAGGATCTATGGTAGGAAAAACAAAAAGTTAAAATTAAATACCAGAGATAACCAAAGAAAGAACTGTGGATAATACTTGTATAAAATGCTGAAATAATTATTTCATTTTAAAATATGAATTATAGGTATGTTCAAATTTTAAAGAAAAAATAGGTTTAGAATGTTTGACATCCTCCTGAGTCAACCCTAAATAATTGTTCCTTTTGATTGCTTGAACGTACTGTCCATACTGCATGGCTCTTATATTATTATTTATCTTTTTATATACATGTCTTATCAACAAGATTGTAAACTAATCAAGACAAAGAATCTTATATCCCCAAACTCCCAGCATCTGGCATAAATTCTACTGTCTGTCATTAAGTACTGAAAAAAATTATTTAAAAAAATTAGAAGCAGGGCATGGTGAAACATGCCTGTAGTTCCAGCTACTTGGAAGGCTGAGGTAGGAGGATCCCTTGCATCCAGTATGAGGCTACAGTGAGCTATGATCACACCTGTCACTAGCCACTGCACACCAACCTGGTCAATACAGCAAGACTCTGTTTCTAAAAAGAAAAACCAAAAAACCAGAACAAAACAAACAAAAGAAACAACAAAGAATATCTGAAATTAGTTTTCATTTGCCTTTAAAAATTTAAGCTCCTTAAGAAAAAACAATCTTTTGCACATATTTTCTGTAGTGTCCTTTTCTTGTTCCGTGGACTCACTTATTAACTTAATCACTTAGTCAATAAACATTTACTGAGTAAGGAACTGTGCTACGCCCCGGGGAGACAAAAACAACAAAACTACGTAAGATATGGTATCCAAGGAAGGCCCTGCTGAATCAAATAACAGATATTTTAAAAGCAGCCTGAGAAAGGTATGAAAAAAACTTACAGGAAAAAACATTTCTTAAATATGTTAGCTTTATTAGCCTTATTCATACCTGTATTTATGATTTGATGGGTGAGGTTTTTAATAAGAGAAGTATTAACAAGTGCTTCATTAAGAAGGAGTCCCAGTCCCGAGTAGCCAACTTCTCTGAGTCGAATATGTTGTTTACTACGCTCATAAACGTTCGTGCATTTCAACATTTGTTCCATAATCTGGTCACGACAAGTAATATATTCTCAATATAGAAAATTAAGAATAGTTTGTCATTTAACATTAAAAATGTTAACTTATTAACATTAAATATTAATGTTAGTATTTATTAGCATTAATATTTAATGTTAGTAAGTATTGCTATTAACTTATAGCAATATTAACTTATAGAATAAAATAATGCTATTAACTTATAGAATAAAACATGGCTATACTTTGTTTTTGGAGCATCATTTTATTCCTTAAGTACAAAAACTTCAGCATTAACCCATTTATGCCGGAGGTTGCAATTTTTTGAATTGCAGACATGTGTGAAAAGTCAGACCTTGGTGATGACCTTGAGCAGTGGGATATAAATAACTCCCAAATGCTTAGTGTTCCAATAATGGAACAATAGGCATAAAAGAATAGGCACTCCCTATTATAGTATAATGTAAAAATGGATTTAAGAATAAACTGGACTGGGCACAGTGGCTCATGCCTGTAATCCCAGCACTTAGCGAGGCTGAGGCAGGCAGATCAACTGAGGTCAGGAGTTCGAGACCAGCCTGGCCAACATAGTGAAACCCTGTCTCTACTAAAAATACAAAAATTAGCCAGGTGTGGTGATGCGTGCCTGTAGTCCCAGCTACTCAGGAGGCTGAAGCAGGAGAATCACATGTACATGGGAGCCAGAGGTTGCAGTCAGCCAAGATCACACCACTGCACTCCAGCCTAGGCGACAGAGCGAGACTCCGTCTCAAAAAAATAAACAAATTTTAAAAAAGAATAAACTGGACTGAAATTCATCTGTAGTTGTATAATTGGTATGCTTAAAACTCTAGTTTAATTACATGGCAAATTAAAGAGAAATAATTTAAAATTTTGTTTCTTAATGAGAAAGGCTTAGGTGGAAACAAACCATGTAGTTTGCAAGAACAAATGTGTGTCAGTACACCTCTGGATCAATCTAATAATCCACTTAAGTAACAGTTATTAAAATTAAAATAATTTTCAAGGATAAGTAAACATTTGTGAAGCAACTCTTCTATTTATTTTATAAGTTACTGATCTCTCTGGACTCAGTTTCTTCATCTGTAAAATGATAATAGTAATAATACCCACTTCATGAAGTTATTGCAAGACTAAGTAAGCCAATATATGAAAAGTACTTAGTTCCTGACATATAGTGGTTGCTACATAAAGTTTGCTATTATTATTAGCTGTTGAAATGTTCTGAATTGCCACATAGACCCACCAAGTCAAGAAGATGGGAGGTTTTATATTGAGGATGGTATGACAAAGTGAATATTCCACTGAGAGGATTTTCAGATTACAATATAATTAGTTTTTTAATATGCAAACAACTGAAACATGAAAACTATATATAAAAATAAGTTGAACATCTTAGAGAAATAGATATAAAAATAATTTATAGTCACAGAATGGATATATTGCAAGAAAATTCATATACCCACAAACGCCTCAAAATACAAAGATGTTTAAGAAATGTTTGTACCTTAAAAATGATTTCTCTTAGTCTGTCAGAGTACTTCTGATTTAAGAGCAATGCGTACAGTATGTCAGCATTTCCTGGTTCAAAAAGCAGTAAGAAAAGCTGACCTCTGGTTGGGCTGGTACGTAGGAGACTGAAGAGCACGTCCAAAATTCCAAAGAGCTTTTAAAATTAAACAACACAAAACAAACCACCACATTCATATATACAAGCACAAATAAGGTCATAAGCCACAAAAGTTATTTAATTAAATCCTATATAATGTTTTATCTTAACTTCACTATATCTGATATGATGTCTTTTTAAAAAAATTCTTTTGAGACAGAATCTCCCTCTGTCACCCAGGCTGGAGTGCAGTGGCGTGATCACAGCTCACTGCAGCCTCGACTTCCCAGGCTCAGTGATTCTCCCACCTCAGCCTCCCAGGTAGCTGGTACTGCAGGTGTGCACCACCATGCCTGGCTGATTTTCTGTATTTCTGGTAGGAATGGGGTTTCGTCATGCCGCCCAGGCTAGTCTCAAACTCCTCGGCTCAAGCGATCCACCCAGCTCACTGCACCTGGCCTCTGATATCTTTTGAACCAGATATGCTTTTGTCTTATTCAATTTCCTTTAGTATATCCTTTCACTATTCAAATTTACCTGTTGGAACCATATCTATCCTCTTTTATCCATATGAAAAGACATCTCCTCCATAAAGTCTTTCCTGGTCTTTGCAACATGTAAAACCCTCTTGGGAAAACCTCATAGAACTTTGTATCTCTCTTACAGATATTGTCATACTCTTCTTTGTTTATAGTTATTTGTAAACTTCTCTTATTGACCCCTGCCCCATTAGCTTAAAAGAATAATAATTCATCATTATATTACATGTAATGTCTAATATTATTGTGTGTAAACAGTAAGTCCTCAACAAATAACTCTTTAACTGAAATAACCAAAAAAAATATTGTTGGCAATGAATCATAGATACAGCTATCATGAAATAAGATGGGAATAATGAGAAGCTTTTGAGCGGCAACCTTATAGGGAAACAGCCTGCATTAACTCATCTAATACCGATAATGAAGTCATGTAACCACTGAGTAAATAATAAATATTATATATAGAGGGCAAAATAGCCTAGTCAACATAAATCTACTTAAATTTGTGGTATTGCGGAGGTTATACCAGAAGAGCACAAAAATGGCTCTAAAATGCTTTTTTTTAACATTTGGGTTCTAGTTTCAGGTTTATCAGTTGTGTGACTTTTTAAGTCACATAATCTCTCTGAATATAAATTTCCAAAAGCGTACATGCAAAAAGTAATTCCTGGTCTGTATATGTTATAGCAGTGGTTCTCAAATTTTACCACGTGCACGAGAATAATCTGGAGGGCTTGGTTCAGCAGTTGAATCAGTAGTATATCTGCATTTCTAACAAGTTTTCAGGTAAAGTTGGTTAGGGGCCAAACAAAGAGAACCACTAACTTAAAGGGTAGTTCTGAGGATTAAACGGGATAATGTAAGTAAAACTAGACACACATTTATAATTTACTCTTTATGTAATATTTTATTAACCTAGGTTAGAAATCTACCTACTAATGGCTGGGCATGGTGGCTGATGCCTGTAATCCCAGCACTTTGGGAGGCCGAGGCGGGCGGATCACGAGGTCAAGAGATGGAGACCATCCTGGCCAACATGGTGAAACCCCATCTCTACTAACAATACAAAACTTAGCTGGGTGTGATGCTGCGTGCCTGTAGTCCCAGCTACTCGGGAGGCTGAGGCAGGAGAATCACTTGAACCTGGGAGGCGGAGGTTGCAGTGAGCCGAGATTGTGCCACTGCACTCCAGCCTGGTGACAGAACAAGACTCTGTCTCAAAAAAAAAAAAAAAGAAAGAAATCTACCCACTAACTTTGATGATAACTTCGATGCTAAGTAAACATACACCACGCAGACTATGAAAACAGGCTTCAGAATTGCCAAAGGAAACATTTCCATATATTAAATTTTCTAGCTAATTGGAATATTAAATTACACTGTCATCTATTTTATGAAAAATTTAGTTAGTAGATAAAATTTACTTCTGGCCTGGCGTGGTGGCTCACGCCTGTAATCCTAGCACTTTGGGAGCCCTAGGCGGGTAGACCATTTGAGGTTAGGAGTTCAAGACCAGCCTGACCAACATGGTGAAACCCTGTCTTTACCGGAAAAAAAAAAAAAAAAAAAAAAAGGCAAAAAATTAGCTCAGTGTGGGGGTGCACACCTGTAATGTCAGCTACTCAGGGGGCTGAGGCAGGAGAACCACTTCTCCTTCTGGGAGATGGAGGTTGCAGTGAGTCGAGATCGTGCCACTGCACTCCAGCCTGGGTGACAGAGCGAGACTCCATCTCAAAAAAAAAAAAGATAAAATTTACTTCTTAAGTGCATAATATTGAATGTGACACTACACATATTTTACTCTCAAAATATTTAACTAGACACAAACATACGTTCAGAAGATGATGTAGCAACTCAAATGTTAAAAAGGAAAAGTAGATGTATCTTAGGCATAATACCTGTTCTTCTTCATTAGTAGCAGCTATGTACCCCATAATACTTTGTATCTCTTCATGAGATCCACCTTTGCACAGAAAATATTTAATTAGTCCATACAAAGAAGTCCTTATTGTTCGAATATCATCTAGAGATAGTTCATTATATTTACAACCATTCCTGAAAGACAAAACAAAGTATAAGAATTGAAATTTTAATTTTTACATTTCCTTTTTTCTGAGATGGAGTCTCGCTCTGTTGCCCAGGCTGGAGTGCAGTGGTACAATCTTGGCTCACTGCAACCTCTGCCTTCTGGGTTCAAGCGATTCTCCTGCCTCAGCCTCCTGAGTAGCTGGGATTACAGGCACACGCCACCACGCCCAGCTAATTTTTGTATTTTTAGTAGAGATGGGGTTTCACCATGTTGGCCAGGCTGGTCTCAAACTCCTGACCTCACGATCTGCCCACCTCAGCCTCCCGAAGTGCTGGGATTACAGGCGTGAGCCACCGCGCCCAGCCTAATTTTTACATTTCTATATTTTCTACATAAAAGAATTCATAGTGTTAAAAAAATATTTCCATGTAATTCTGAGATTCATAGTAACTTTGGCTTGCTTTTCTTTTTAAGGAAAATCTTCTGAGTTAAGAGTTTCAGTGAATAAAATAGCTTATGTGAATACAACACCCACTGCATAGCAGACATACTTTAAGTGTTTTACATTATTAACTAATTAACTTAATCCTCAAAACAACCAAAGGAGGTAACAGTTTTCTTATCTCCTTTCAAAAATGAAGAAACCCAAGCACAGAGAAGTTGAGTAATTTGCCTACAGTTGCACAATTAATGAAAGCCAGATTCAAACTCAGTGTATGCGATCCACTGTTCATCATTTTAACCTCCACTGTATCCTACCTCTCTCCAGTTAAAACATACTAGAATCGCTGGTAAAGAGAAAGTCTACAGTCTACACATTCCAATCAAGTAGCAGACAGAAAATAATATATCAAACTGAGAAAGAACAAGGGCATCATACCCATAATAAATCCTAAGTGTATCTAGGAGAAACTGCACACCATACTTCTTTCGGAAAACTCTCCTGCTGTCTTTAATGATGGTTGAAAGATACTGTATGTGACCTAAAATAAAAAGTTCAATGGTAAGTAATTCAGCTAAAATAAAGTCAATAGGTAGTTATAAATTTCTAAAACAACTATAAAATGTTTATCTGAAAGCCTGCTCTCACCGATTCGAAAGGGAAAATCTCCACGGTTCCAAATACGAAAGTCAAAGAGTAAATATTGATACATTTGTTGCAGGAGCTGCATATTTTTCTCTAATGATACTTGTTCAATTAGTAACTGAACTGCCATCAACACATTAACATCCATCAAGGTGCTTGGCACCTGAAACCAAACAGAAGAGGGTTTCATATAGTTCAGTTTAAATAACTGTCATTAAGTTATAATTTTAAATCATTAATCAGAACATCTACTAAGTATAAAAATAGAAAAACCCACATTAGAAAAATAAAAACTTAAGTATTGGTTTTTCTGATATTAGACCAGAATATATTCTCCTAGTGTCATATTCCTAAAATAGTCTTATATTTCTCAACATCCCAAATATCAAAGCTATCAAACAAGGTTGTATACATCAAAGATTATACACTATTACATAAAATAAGTATTTCTTGTATAAGATGATTCCATACAAGTTTTTAAAAGCTGCCTGTGAACAAATTATATCCATTAATATAATTCAAGTTGTAATAATCTTTAAAAATATATTTATTAGGAAGAAAAAATCCCAACATCAACTGCAAATCACAATTATTAGCTACATCAACACAATGTTAGACTGGCTCACCTTCTGAAGTAAAGCACCAAGAGTTGCAACTCCATGGGAGTGAATAAGATTGCCCTGGTTGATAGGATGTCTCTGAATAAAATGTTTCACAATTAAGATAAATGTTGCAACTAGGTTTCTCTCTAGTCTTGACTCTGTAGAATCAGGAACATATTAATTATCATAATTTCTCTAATCACTTTTATATCACATTTTCTATATCTTAATGCACACTGTTACACAAAGTAGAAATCTGGTTCAGCAGTCAGCTTCCAACGCTCTATTGTACAATAGAATCAGAAAAAGCAGCAACTATAATATTGTATATTTATGTGCACATATTTTCTCTACCACAAATTTAACAATGTGGTCATATTTCCACTAAGAGTATAAACTAAGGATACTGGAGATTAATCTGTCGTTTTTTGATGAAAGTATTATAAACTTTCTGAATGATATTAGTAAAAGTAGAAACAACTGCTACAGCTACAAATGGTTAAGTTTCTTCCTAATGACAGTAAAACATTTTCATTTATTTCTCAATTAATTCTCAAATTTCTCAATGACTATTTTGTGTTAATTTCATCTTAATACCTGAGGCCTTTGTGGAAGTCCATACGAGCCAATCTCCTTCAACAGGTGTTACTGATTCAGGAACTGTGCTTTCATTCTTTTCTTCAGGAATCTGTCCTTCACTAAAGTGGCTGATTTGTTCCAATAAAGGAAAGAGTACATTTAACCCACCTATGCAGTTTATGATATCCTAAAGGGAAAATTATAATGTTTAAATCTTATAAAAGGAGGACAATTTTGTCATTTAATATCTTCACATGTATGAAGTTATAATCTGCTAGATAAACCTTTGAGCAATGTACAGGATAACCTAAGCTGAAGGAATTTTTGTGTAGGAAGATGCTTTACAGGGCAGCCTCAAGGGTCACCATAATCAAAACTCAAGAGAGATCAGGCCAGACCATTTTTACTCCATCTTCATTTTCCAAATTTTAGGGATTTCGAACATAGGCAAATGAAACATAGCCCCATAAGTGGACTTTATAATGTAACTCCAACAATGGAAAAACAACTGTCACTAGGCAATTAGGCATAATAAACAAGAGAATAAACAATGAAAAAAAATGCATTTGGTGGTAGAAATATGACTGACTCCTCGACTTTTAGTTAACAAAAAGGTAGAGAGGGTATTTCAGGCAAAGTTCAAAGTTTTGGATATTTTGGGTAGCTTAATAAAATATTTTCTATATCTTTTGATAAGTTACTAATATCACTGGCTTCAGTTTCTTCATCTGTAAAATGAGGATAATAGTAACACCCACTTCATAAAGTATTGCAAGGATTAAGTAAGCTAATATATAAAAAGTGCAGTCTCTGACATACAGTCGATACCATACAAGGTTTGCTCTTATTATTAATTATTAAAGTGTTCTGAATTGCCACGTGGACATAACTTAAGTCTTCAAACAACCTCTTCACATTCTTTGCTTGTTTTCTTAGAAATAAATTTTATTGTGTATATTTGAGGTTTACAAAATAATGTTGTAGGATACACATAGATAATAAAATGGTTACTATAGTGAAGCAGATTAACATTTCTATCATTTCACATAGTTACTTTGTGACAAGAGCAGCTAAAATCTACTTATTTAACAAAACTCCCTAATAAAATGTAATTTTATTAACTATAGTCCTCATGTTTTACATTAGATCTCTGGACTTGTTCATCCTACATATCTGCTACTTTGTTGGGTTTTTCTTGTTTGTTTTTGAGACAGGGTTTCGCTCTGTCACTCAGCTGGAGTGCACTGGCCTGATCACGGCTCACTGCAGTCTCGACCTTCCAGGCTCAAGTGATCCTCTCACCTCAGCCTCCCAAGTAGCTGAGACTACAGGCATGTGCCACCACACTCAGCTAACGTGTGTATTTTTTGTACAAAGTTTTGCCATGTTGCCCAGGCTGGTCTCAAACTCTTGAGCTCAAGCAATTTGCCCGCCATGGCCTCCCAAAGTACTGGGATTACAGGTGTGAACCACTGTGCCTGGCCTCATATCTTCTACTTTGTTTTGACTGTTTGTCATACCAGTTTTGAAGAGCTCTTTGTGTAAATAAGTAAATTAACTTTTTGGAAGGCAAATATTATTTTACCAGTTGTCATTTAACTTTTTTGGTCTTTGATTTGGCTACAGTATAAAAATACGCCTTTCTCTTGATAATCTGTTGCTTTTTGATTTCCACATTAGCCAAAAGTCTAACTAGTTAATAATCCACATAGCTGTAACTCAGGCCACAAAAAAACGGCTTTGATTTTCAGGTATGTATGGTACATATAAACAGATTTCTATATATAAAATACCACATGGAATCAGCTTTGTAAAACCAGTCTTACAAGTAAAGCAAAAGTTAACTTATGAAGTGTCATTCATGTCATAAATCCTACTATGGTAACAGATAAAAAAAAGTGTTCTGGCCGGGCATGGTGGCTCACGCCTGTAATCCCAGCACTTTGAGAGGCCAAGGTGGGCGGATCAACTGAGGTCAGGAGTCCGAGACCAGTCTGTCCAACATGGTGAGACCCTGTCTCTACTAAAAAATACAAAAATCAGCTGGGTGTGGTGGCAGGTGCCTATAATCCCAGCTACTTGGAAGGCTGAGGCAGGAGAATCGCTTGAACCTGGGAGGCAGAGGTTGTAGTGAGCCGAGATCCACTGCACTCCAGCCAGGGCGACAGCAAAACTCTGCCTCAAAAAAAAAAAAAAGAAAAAAGAAAAGAAAAGAAAAAGAACAAGTGTTCTTATACCAAAATTAAGGAGAAAAATCCTTTATATATCATGAATAACATGAAATTAACACTAATTGATAGATTAATTTCTACATAGGCAAAATTATCTTAATGATTTCTTTTCACTGAAATAATAAACGTATTTGGTTGGTGTTAACTGATTAGAAAAGTTTTTTTTTTTTTCCTGATTTACCAGCAAGTCTTCTTATAATTATCTTTTATTTCCCTGATTTACCGGCAAGCCCTCTTATAATTATCTTTTATATTTCTTTTATTTAACTTAGGTTATAACTTCTATTTAAAATATCATTTAAGGAAACACTATATTTAAGAATTAAGCCTTTCTCACCCTAAACAACCTTTACTAATTTAATCACTCAGTCAACACTTATTTGTTGCATAACCCTGTACCAGGAACTGATTAAAAAAAAGAAAAAAGCAGTGACCCTTCCTTCAAAGTTCTTTTGGACTACTAGAGCATTAACCAAGCAGTTACTATTTGCCATGGTAAGTGAAATAATAAAGTGCTAGGGATACCCATAAGAGCAGTTTGGTCTTGGAAAGTAAGTAGAAGCCTCTAGATGGAAGCAAAGTTCCAGCTGTGACATAAATATGAGGCCAATGAAAAAGGAAAATAAGATTTGAGAACCCATACAGACATGGCAAAAACATTCAAACTCCACACAGACAGTTGCCCCTGCCAGGAATCAATTTTTTTCTCACTGACTTTATAATGAACGACATTATCCAAAGACCTGCTGTAGCTTACAAAGGTAACTATACTTCAAACCAAAGTCATTCAACTATGTTAGTCATTTAACTTTGCATTTGTTTACCCTTCAAATTGTATGTTTGCATAACCCTTTAACTGAGACCTATTATTTAGATCAATCTGGCAGTGCTTTAAAAACAAAATCCTTAATAAGAGTATCAGTAAATTATGTAAGATGTTGCCCAACATTTACTATTAATTTACCTTAATGTCCCAGTTCACTACTTTGTTTCCTGTTAATCTTCCATGCAAACAATTAGTAGATAAATCAAGACAGATTGAATTTTTGCAGGCCTAAGAATAAAAGAAAAATATGGCAAACAACCAATTAGAACAAAACATAAATTTAACCACATATAGAACATTTCACCATAATACAAAAAGGAATATAGGATAGTCAAAGATAAGATGCCCATAATATGAATTTTAGTATTGCTGTTCTGTTTTAAAAGAAAGAATCAGGGCCGGGCGTGGTGGCTCATGCCTGTAATCCCAGCACTTTG
Source organism: Homo sapiens (assembly GCF_000001405.40). Classification (NCBI taxonomy): domain Eukaryota; kingdom Metazoa; phylum Chordata; class Mammalia; order Primates; family Hominidae; genus Homo; species Homo sapiens. Next base: position 203,122,044 of record NC_000002.12, on the reverse strand, counting down.
GGAGGCCGAGGCAGGTGGATCACCTGAGGTTAGGAGTTCGAAACCAGCCTGGCCAACATGGTAAAACCCCATCTCTACTAAAAATATAAAAACTAGCCGGGTGTGGTGGTGGGCACCTGTAATCCCAGCTACTCGGGAGGCTGAGGGAGGAGAATTGCTTGAACCCAGGAGACGGAGGTTGCAGTGAGCCGACACGGTGCCAATGCACTCCAGCCTCAGTGACAGAGTGAGACTCTGTCTCAAAAAATAAATAAAAATAAAAAAGAAAGAATCAGGAATTAGATTCTAAAGCACCCACTTAGAAAAGTAGGTCACTGCTACTTGTCATCTGACAGATGAGCTATAGGCAGAACTTGTTCGCCAGCCACAGTGATGTTTTTTTTTTTTTTTTGGAGACAGAGTCTCACTCTTGTCACCCAGGCTAGAGTGCAGTGGTGTGATCTTGGCTCACTGCAACCTCTGCCTCCCAGATTCGAGCAATTCTCCTGCCTCAGCCTCCCAAGTAGCTGAGATTACAGTGGTGCGCCACCACATCTGGCTTAATTTGTATTTTTAGTAGAGATGGGGTTTCACCATGTTGGCCAGGCTGGTCTCGAACTCCTGACCTCAAGGGATCCACCCACCTCGGCCTCCCAAAGTGCTGGGATTACAGGCATGAGCCACTGCACCCGGCCTCGCCAGTCATAGTTTTTAAATTTTTCTCTTTTAAACAAATACATGAAAACAGATTTTTTGCTTTAAAAAAATTCAATGTTTTATTTCCATTAGCACTTCCCTAGGCACAATTTCAAGATACACATAAAACGTGTGATTAAAATGAGAGATAAACCATAGAACAAAAAAAAAATCATAATATAAAAATACAATTACAGGCATAAGATACTATTTTCCCTCATGTTGTTGCCAGACAATTCTGGCTGCATTCAGAGTAAGAGCTTAGTCTGTAACTTTAGAAACAGTGTTATTTGCTAACCTCCATTCGTAAAGGCATGTTAACTTCATATTCAATCCGAATTTTCAGGTAATGCAGCATCCTTGAATCTAATCTAATCCCCATTCCAAAAGAAAGTAAACCTACAAATTTTAGCGCACATGATGTAGTTACTGCTTTCCTCTTAAACAATTGAGAAAAATTGCTTTAATCAAACAAATACTTAAACGTTATCCGTCTCCGAGACAGACACGTCTTTCTCTAGTTACTACTTTAGTCTGTAACTAAAAACTGTGTATCTATGACCTGTTTTAACAGAATAATCTCCTAATGGTATGACACTCTCTAGAATCCATTCCTCCAATCCAACTTTCACACTGCAGCTTAAGACCATTTCTAAAATGCGAATCCGATAATATTACTCTTCTGCTAAAAATTCTATCCATTGCCTATTATCTACTCTGACATAGGAGGTTTGCTCTAATGTGACCTTGCTCTCTAGTCTCATCTCCTCTTGCTCAGTGTCCTATACCCAAACACATGTAGAACCCAGTTTTACAGTCTATGCCTTTTTAGGTGATATTTACCATGCATCCCTGCTCAACCTTGTCTTTTAAAACACAAATGATACCATCTTCTTTATGATTTTCTAGCTTCCTGGAACAACAAACCACTCCTCATTTGTACCCTCACTATTAATTTGTACATTATTCCGTACATTATTCCAACAAAGAAATATTGTATATTAGTTAAGGATATAAATTAAACAGGCTGGGTTCTAACTCCAGGATTCAATGGAATTATGAGTCTAAGCAAGTTACTTATCTTACTGAGCTTCAGAAAACTAAAGCTTAGAAAAGATAACCAATAATACCATATACCTCTCAGGGCTTTTGTGAAGATTAAGTGAAACAATACACGTGAAATACTTAGCATAGTGCTTAACATATTGTTAACACCCCATAAATGGTAGCTAAAAAGAAAAATAAATGCTCATAAAGTTATGTTGAACTTATTTTTTAAAAAATTTATTTTGCTTTAGATTGTAAGCTTCTTACAGACAGAGACTTTTATTTATTTATCTTTGTATTGTAAGGGTATAGCATAATTCTTGGACTAAGAAGACATTCAATAAGTTTTAAGCAAATGAATGATTAAATACCTCCTACAATTGAGTACAAAAAAAACTGTTGACTATTTTAAAAATCCTCTGGAGCAGCTTTTCCCAAACTAGCATTTGTTAACAACTAAGTTATAATAACAAAATATGTTCTATGCTCAAATAGCTGGTGAAACAGTAGGACAAAACAAAAGTAAACTGGTTCCTTTATAGCAGAATTTTAAAAATGTATCACTAACCTCCAAGAGGGATATAAAGAATGCAACTGGGCCGGGCACGGTGGCTCACACCTGTAATCCCAGCACTTTGGGAGGCCAAGGCGGGCAGATCACTTGAGGTCAGGAGTTCGAGACTAGCCTGACCATCATGGTGAAACCTCGTCTGTACTAAAAATACAAAAATTAGCCAGGTGTGGTGGCGCATGCCTGTAATCCCAGCTACTCAGGAGGCTGAGGCAGGAGAATCGCTTGAACCCAGGAAGCGGAGGTTGCAGTGAGCCAAGATTGCGCCACTGCACTCCAGCCTGGCAACAGAGCGAGACTCCGTCTCAAAAAAAAAAAAAAAAAAAAGCAACAGGCCGTATGCAGTGGCTCACGCCTGTAATCTTAGCACTTTGCAAGGCCTAAGTGGGTGGATCACTTGAGCCCAGGAGTTCAACACCAGCCTAGGCAACATAGTGAGACCTTGTCTCTACAAAAAATCAAAAAATGGGGTGGGAGTATTGCTTGAGCCCAGGAGGATGAGGCTACAATGAGCCATGATTGCACCACTGCACGGCCACCTAGGTAATGGGAGTGATACCCTGTCTTTAAAAAAAAAAAAAATAGAATCCAACAGTCCCCCAAATTTATTTAACTATAGAGTCCCTGTCTCATGACATAGCACCATTTTGCAGAAACATTCCTTCAGTAATCTGTTTTATTGTATTTATCAATAGTCATATTAAGTTTCTTGGGGAAAAACAAGACAATAGCTATTTTTTTGGTAGTATAGAATTTTTTACTTTCAATGGTAAAAAAAAAAAAAAATCCAACTTTAATGTTAACAAATTCAAAGTTACTTTGTAAAAAGAATACGATGACCATAATGTCAAAAAGACCAGTCAGGCCCAGTGCGGTGGCTCATGCCTGTAATCCCAGCACTGTGGGAGGCCAAGGCGGGCGGATCACTTGAGGTCAAGAGTTCAAGACCAGCCTGGCCAACATGGTGAAACCCCATCTACCAAAATACAAAAATTAGCCAGGTGTGGTGGTACGTGCCTGTAATCCCAGCTACTTGGGAGGCTGAGGCAAGAGAATCGCTTGAACCTGGGAGGCAGAGGCTGCAGTGAGCCAAGATTGCGCCACTGCACTCCAGCCTGGGTGAGAGAGCGAGACTCCATCTCAAAAAAAAAAAAAAAGTTGGCTGTCACACATCCAGAACTTGCCACTAAATATACTGTTTGGATTATATGCAATTATTTCTTAGCTATCTATGCTATATAGTGGAGAATGAAAATAGGTGTAAGATACAATTCCTGCCAAGAAATAACATAAGATGTATTAAACAAACATGTATCTTTGGGAAAAAGAAGTTATACAAAGCAAACAAAAATATAAGACTCAAGAGACCTTATAACCAATGCAATGCATAAACTTTGGATCCAGGATTCATTTCTAAAAGGCTATACAAATATTTTTGGAAAAATTTGAACACAGAGTATATATTAGATGAATTATGGGCCATTTTCTTAGGTAGGTAGATGATTATGTAGAAATATACAGGGATGAAGTGTCTTGATAGTTATGTCAATTCGTTTTCACAAATGATTTGAGACAAAAGTCAGCAAGTACAGTAAAACATTAGTAATTGGTTAATTTAGGTGAAGAGTATATAGGATATCACTTTACCATTCTTTTGACTCCTCTCTAGATTTGAAATGTATCACAGCAAAAAGAAGGGAGAAAATAAAACTAATAAGCAAATTTTATTAGGTCAGATACAAAAAATAAATATTTAAAAGTAAGGCCAGACACGGTGGCTCATTCCTGTAATCCCAACACTTCGCGAAGCTGAAGTGGAAGAATTGCTTGAGCCCAGGAATTCAAGACTAGCCTGGGCAACAGAGTAAGACCCTGTCTCTATAAAAAATACAAAAAAAAAAAAAAGCTCAGCATGGTGGCACATGCCTGTAGTCCTAGCTACTCCGGAGACTGAAGGTGGGAGGACTACTTAAGCTCAGGAGTTCAAGACCATAGTAGGCCATGATCCCACCACTACACTCCAACCTGGGTAGCAGACTGAGAACCTGTCTCCAAAAAAACGGTGTGGGGTGGTGGAGTAGAAAAAAGTCCTTTTTCCTTTTACTTATCTAATAAAAGCAACTGAGGTCAGCAAGGACTGAGGAAAAAAAGACAAAAGAACTGGGAGAAACAAAAGAACTGGGAGGAAGAAAAGAAGTAGCAAAAATATTAATTGCTTCCATTATACTCAATGTTACATGGACTCAGAAAATGTTTTGGTTTTGTGAGATTATACATTTTTCTTTCTTTTGAATGGAGTCTCGCTCTGTTGCCCAGGCTGGAGTGCAGTGGCACGATCTCGGCTCAATGCAAGCTCCGCCTCCCCAGTTCGTGCCATTCTCCTGCCTCAGCCTCCAGAGTAGCTGGGACTACAGGCGCCCGCCACCGCGCCTGGCTAATTTTTTGTATTTTTATAGAGACGGGGTTTCACCGTGTTAGCCAGGATGGTCTCGATCTCCTAACCTCGTGATCCGCCCGCCTCGGTCTCCCAAAGTGCTGGGATTAAAGCGTGAGCCACTGTGCCCGGCCGAGATTATACATTTTTGTATATCTTTTTCTAGTTTAGCCAGCTTGTGCATGATAATAATTTATTACTTTCTTTTTCTTTTTTGAGATGGAGTCTCAGTCTGTCACCCAGGCTGGAGAGCAGTGGCACGATCTCAGCTGACTGCAATCTCTGACTCCCGGGTTCGATCAATTCTCATGCCTCACCCTCCTAAGTAGCTGGAACTACAGGTGCCTGCCACCAAGCCTGGCTAATTTTTTGTATTTTTAGTAGAGACGGGTTTCACTATGTTGGCCAAGTTGGTCTCGAACTCCTGACCTCAGGTGATCCGCCCACCTCAGCCTCCTAAAGTGCTGGTATTACAGGCAAGAGCCACAGCCACTGTGCTGGGCCCCCCCCTTTTTTTTTTTTTTTTTTGAGACAGGGTCTTGCTCTGTTGCCTAGGCTGGAGCGTAATGGTGCAATCACAGGTCACTGCAGCCTCAAACTCCTGGGCTCAAGGGATCTTCCCGCCTTTGCCTCCCAAGTAGCTGGGACTACAGGCGCATGCCACTAAAACTGGCTATTTTTTTTTTTTTTGGCATTTTTCATAAGTTTTATAGAGACAGGGGTCTCGCTATGTTGCTTAGGCTAGTCTGGAACTCCTGGCCTCAAACGATCCACCTGGGCATCCCAAAGTGCTGGGATTACAAGTGTGAGCCACTGTGCCTTCTGGCCTTTTTCTCCTTTTGAAGTGAACATTTTTTCTTCTCTTTCTTTCTTTTTTTAAAATTTTTGGCTACATCACATTTAAAAAACTGAGAACAATTCTGTTTCATCTTTCCTTCCAGTAAACTATGAGAATACAAACACAAACAATTTCACTTACTGAAGTCAATTCATCGGTACAAATTCCAACTGTAACTATTGCCATTAGTACCACAGGGATGACATAATGATAATATTTGGACCCTCGTGGAGGAGGTATACCTTAATTTTTACTGCTTCTCACCTTCCTTTGAAAATTCATGATTATTTTGATGGCAATTCAAACCCCTCCTTTTAATTACCCAATGAAATGACAAAAGGAATAGAAAAGGAACTGCAGTTCACAACATAGTTATAACTAGATGGACAGTTCACAAATTTACTCTGACCTTTGCTGTGTAGTAAAGAAGGATGTTACCAGGCAGGTCGGCCATGTCAGACTCTTGACACTTCCAAGGGCTTAAACAATTTGGACCTGAAAATTATTTACACACACATACACACCATTGAATATATATGGTCTCCTTGGTTCTGTGTTATCAGAATAAAATTTAAAATTAAGCTGTTTCAAGCTACTCAAACAACACAGCTGAAACTCATTAAGCTAAAATTTACTTTGTTTCCATATTCCAGTTTATCTAAAACCTACAAAAATTGGGAAATAAATCAATTTCCATTACAGAAAATTTTTTTTATATAGTATTAACAAACTATTATCAGCCAGGTACAGCCTGTAATCCCACAGCTCATGCCTGTAATCCCAGCACTTTGGGAGGCTGAAGCAGGTGGATCACTTGAGCTCAGGAGTTTGAGACCAGCCTGGGCAACATGGTGAGACACCATTTCTACAAAAAAATATCAAAATTAGCCAGAGGTGGTGGCATGTGCCTGTAGTCTCAGCTACTCAGGAGGTGAGAGATCACTCAAGCCTGGGAGGCAGAAGTTGCAGTGATCTGAGATTGCGCCACTGCACTCTGTCCTCAGCAACAGAGTGAGATATTGTCTCAAAAACAAAAACAAACAAAAATTATTATCTGGTCACGCATGGTGGCTCACACCTGTAATTTCAGCACTTAGAGAGGCTGAGGCGGGAGGATCACCTGAGGTCAGGAGTTTGAGACCAGCCTGGCCAACATGGTAAAAACCCCACGTCTACTAAAAATACTAAAAAATTAGCTGGGCGTGGTGGCAGGTGCCTGTAATCCCAGCTACTCGGAAGGTGGAGAATCGCTTGAACCCAGGAGGCAGAGGCTGCAGTGAGCTGAGGTCGTGCCATTGCACTCCAGCCTGGGCAACAAGAGCAAAACTCTGTCCAAAAAAAAAAAAAAAGAAAGAAATTATAAACAACCTAAGTAAATAACACGTCTTGAATCCAAGGAAATATGCAACCATTAAAAATGATCATTTAGGCCTAGCACAGTGGCTCACGCCTGTAATCCAAGCACTTTGGGAGGCCAAGGTGGGAGGATCACTTGAGGCCAGGAGTTCAAGACCAGCCTAGCGAACATGGCGAAACCTTGTCTCTACTAAAAATAAAATAATTAGCTGGGTGTGGTGGCACACACCTGTAATCCTAGCTACTTGGGAGGCTGAAGCACAAGAAACACTTGAACCCAGGAGACAGAGGTTATAGTGAGCCAATATCAGCCACTGCACTCCAGCCTGGGCAACAGAGCAAGGCTCTGTCTCAAAAAAACAAACAAACAAAAAAAAACAAAGAAAAGAAAAGATAAGGTTCTAATATAAAGTCTGAAATGTGGGCAATCCCATTCATCTCAAAATTCCCATGCAATCTAAAAAAGATATTTAGACAAATAAGAAGCTATTCTGCAGTTACATAACTCTTAAAAGCTTAACTCCTGAACATCCTGTTAGAATATACATATAATTTTGAAAGTAGTTAGGATCCAATAACTATTAGTACATATGTTTAAAATCATAGCCAAAAGAAAAACAAAAAGCCAAAACAAAATGAAAAACAGTTTGCAAACTTATCCAAGGTTCCCTAATTCTACTGCCTTCATGAATTCTTCAGATATATTAATATATCAGTTGAAAAAATGACAAGTTTTGGAATAAGGCTCATGATTTTGGAAGCAGTTACATAATTTCTTCTAGAGATACGGTTATATTTTGTTTCATCAATTCATTAAAATCTGTCAAAAGTACTGGCAGTGTTATGGACTGACTATGTCCCCCTAAACTTCCTATTTAAAGCCATAATCCCCAATGTGACTGTATTGGAATAGGGCCTTTAAAGTGGTAACTGGGATTAAATGAAGTCATCGGGATGGGGCCGTAGTCTGAGAGAACCCCTTATAATAAGAGACACAGGAGAGGCTGGGCGCGGTGGCTCACGCCTGTAATCCCAGCACTTTGGGAGGCTGAGGTGGGCGGATCACAAGGTCAGGAGATCGAGACCATCCTGGCTAACACCGTTAAACCCTCGTCTCTACTAAATATACAAAAAATTAGCCCGGCATGGTGGCGGGTGCCTGTAGTCCCAGTTACTCGGGAGGCTGAAGCAGGAGAATGGCGTGAACCTGGGAGGCGGAGCTTGCAGTGAGCCGGGATCGCGCCATTGCACTCCAGCCTGGGCCACACAGCCAGACTCCATCTCAAAAAAAAAAAAAAAAAAGAGAGACACAGGAGATCTCTTTCTCCGTCCATATGCACACAGAGAAAAGACCATGTGAGAACACAGCAAGAAGGTAACCACCTCATAAGCGAGGAAGAGAAGCCTCACTTATATAGAAGTGAGAGCCTGATCCTGATGTCACCTCGATCTTGAACTTCTAGCTTCCAGAACTGTGAGAAAATAAATTTCTGTTGCTAAAGCCGCCCAGTCTGTGGTATTTTGCTATGACAGCCCTAGCAGACAAATACAGGCAGTATTATGGATGATAACTGAAATATTTCCCAAAAAAGGTTTGCTTTATTTATGCCTACAAAACAAAAACTATTAGGTATGTGGAGGGGCTTTTTCTTCCCTTTCAGCTTCAATTAAAACAAATACACTCTTCACATGAAATATATTCTTCAGAATATATTCTTCTATATTCTAAATATATTCTTCAGAATATATTTAGACAACAAAAAAAACTCTAAATTTGCTTAAGCATTATGACTGTACATGCTTACCTGCTAAATATAATGCCTTCACCTGAGGAGGTTGTAGTGGTTCATAAAAGATGATAACAGATCCTAGCTGACCCTCCAGAGATGTGGGACACCCCCATTCACTGTCTTGGGTTCCAGCTGATATCAATTTGGTAATCAATTTTGATTTTTCAATTGTTCCTCCCCAGGAGGCTGATGACAGAATTCCACCAAATGATGTCCGATGAGGGGTAATGGGAGAAGAGAAAGGTGGATCTGGGATTTGGGATGGTGGAGGAGTGGTGGTTCTTTGCCCAGCTGAACCAATGCAACAGGAAGTAAAGGGCTAAAAACAAACAAACAAATTACACAATTTTAATTAACATATATCCTCATATTTAACATAAAATTACACAATAAAATAGTACATAAAATTACACAAATAAATACATTGAAAATAAAAGTGGAAGCAGTTTTATTTTTACCAAATCATGAAGTGTAGACGCATGTGTATACTTAGGAAATTATTAGCAAAATTACCTTGGCCTATAGCATTTGGATGCATTACTTCTATGACTATTTTATATTCTTTGGTAATTTTTGAATTTTTAAAGTGCATATGATTATGAACTTTTTTAACTTCACTGTTTTTGAAAATAGAGAAAACTATTTTTTCTCTTTATGATGTATAAATATTAATCACAAACTATCCTGAAATGGTCACTGAGATGAAAACCAACAAAAAATTACTTGAATCCTTGGACTTGAGAAATAATCTACTCTATTCCACTATCTTCAGAAAAGGCCCTCTAGTGTTCTTTGAGAACCACTTCAATACATAAACTCTATTTTATACCTAACTAAAATATGAAGGTTTTAAGCTTCTTCATTATTGTTTCAATTATAATCAAGTTAGAAGAGTCCATCATAATATTCTCTTACGTAATTCACATACTTAGAGAGCTTTTATTAAACGATAGATTGATCTGCTCTATTCATTTCTTTGGCTTTCCTGTTATAAGTCTTTCTTTCTAAGCCTTTGTTTCTTCCTTAAATGTTTTCCTTTTTTCACATTGTCTGACTTCATCTAATAATGACAGGCTGACAGAATTGAATATTAATGTGTGGAGTCTTACTACATAGAAAACACTTTAAAATCTGGGGCCACATATTTACAATAAACATAACCTTCTACCTTAACTAAAACATTTCAAGAATTCTCAACCAATAGGGCCCGTAAAGAGTAGGTTGGATATACTTACTTCATTCATGGCAGGAAATCTGAGAGGGGCAGAAACCTTCTGTTGTCCATTGTCATAGATATAGACGAAGCTCTGACCAAAAGGCCTTTTTCCAGGCATGTGGACAACAGTTATGTTGTGCTGGTAAAGTGAAACACACATTTAAAGGATAAAATTACATTATGTCTTTGGAATGACAAATGCTTTCAGAAGTTTGCTCTATAATTTGTACAAATAGTAGAACGTTAAGATTAAACGTAAATGTTAAATTGATGTTCTCAAAGTAACAATTTTTTCCATAGTAGTACAAAAGCACGTAAGCATATTCTATAAAATATACACAATTGTAACAGTACCTTTTCTGCATTTCCAAAGCTTTAGTATTCCTTAGAATCATTTTTAAAAATGAGAAGCATTTTATATTTTAGAAAACAATACAAATGCATTATTTAAAACAACCTATCAGCTGGGCGCAGTGGCTCACACCTGTAATCCCAGCACTCTGGGAGGTGGGCGGATCAGGAGTTCGAGACCAGCCTGGCCAACATGGTGAAACCCCACCTCTACTAAAAAATACAAACATTAGCCGGGCATGGTGGCAGGCGCCTATAATCCCAGCTACTCAGGAGGCTGAGATAGGAAAATTGCTTGAACTCGGGAGGTAGAAGTTGCAGTAAGCTGAGATGGCGCCACTGACTCCAGCCTTGGTGACAGAGCGAGACTCTGTCTCAAAAGAAAAAAACAAAAAAAAACACAAAACAATCTATCATCTCATTTTATTTTATCATTGTTTTAAAAAACCTTTTTTAGAAATTGGGTCATGCTCTATAGCTGAGGCTTGAGTGCAGTGGCATAATCATAGCTCACTACAGCCTTGAACTCCCCAGTATCCTCCTGAATAGCTAGGATTATAGGTGTGTGCCACCTCACCCAACTAATTTTTCAATTTTTTGTAGAGAGAGTCTCACCCCAGGCTGGTCTTGAACTCCTGGCTTCAAGCAATCCTCCCATCTTGGTGTCTCAAAGTGCTGGGTTTACAGGTGTGAGTTATAGCACCCACCCCATCTCATTTTAAATTGAAATTCAAAATTAAATTTACTTATAGAGATGGGCGGATCACAAGGTCAAGAGATCAAGACCATCCTGGCCAACATGGTGAAATCCTGTCTCTACTAAAAATACAAAAATTAGCTGGGTGTGGTGGCACGTGCCTGTAGTCCCAGCTACTTGGGAGGCTGAGACAGGAGAATTGCTTGAACCCGGGAGGCAGAGGTTGCAGTGAGTTAAGATCGTGCCACTGTACTCCAGACTGGCGACAGAGCAAGACTCTATCTCAAAAAAAAAAAAAAAAAGAAAAAAGAAAATTTACTTATAGAAAACCTTAAGACATCCTAACGTTCTATATATTTATTTATTTATTTATTTATTTATTTATTTATTTATTTTGAGACAGGATCTCACTCTGTTGCCCAGGCTGGAGTACAGTGGCACCATCTCAGCTTACTGGAGCCTTGACTTCCTGGGCTCAAGCAATTCTCCCAACTCAGCCTCCCAAGTGGCTGGGACCACAGGCACAAATCACCATACCCAGGTAATTTTTGTATTTTTCAGTAGATAGCAGGTTTCACCATGTTGCCCAGGATGGTCCCAAACTCTTGAGCTCAAGTTATCTGCCTGCTTTGGGCTCCTAAAGTGCTGGGATTACGTACAGGTGTGCCACTGCGCCCAGCCTCATTTAAATTTTTTAGCAAAAAAATGACTGCTGTTGAATTTATGACAATGGTGGGAAATACCATTAACCATACTAGAAGTTAAATGTGATGCCCTAAAGCCTTACCCAGAGGGAATCACAGAAACTGTGGTCAGGAAGCATAACCGTTGCATATTCTCTTTTTGTGCACACTGCCACGACCAACATACCTGAATGGGTAATAAAGGCTTCAAAACCCATGCCACTTCCTGTAAAAAAACTAAAAAAAATACGTATTATCAGAACTTTTAAAGTTGGTTGTTCAGTTTCATCATCATTAAAGTACATAAAACCATAAAGCCATCATGAACATCTTTACCCACAATTCTGTGGCTTAAATTCTATTGCCACACAGAAGTCCAACCTTGTTTCAAAGACCCCTTTAAAATCCATTTTGGTCATAAGAGTTTAGTAAATAAAAGGCAGCCTTGTAAAGTGGAATTCCACTAGTAAAAGTAAAAAAGTAAAACTACTAATTTTCAAATCTTTAAAATTCTTCCAAATAAGATTCAGTAAGCATAAATAAAGGTCTTTAAAATCACAAGATATAGGCCAGGCGCGGTGGCTCATGCCTGTAATCCTAGCACTTTAGCAGGCCGAGGTGGGCAGATCACCTGAGGTCAGGAGTTCGAGACCAGCCTGGCCAACGTGGTGAAACCCCGTCTCTACTAAAAATACAAAAATTAGCCAGGCGTGGTGGCGGGCGCCTGTAGTCCCAGCTACTTAGGTGGCTGAGGCAGGAGAATCGCTTGAACCTGGGAGGTGGAGGTTGCAGTCGGCTGAGATCGTGCCACTGCACTCCAGCCTGGGCGACAAGAGCAAAACTCTGTCTAAGAAAAAAAAAATCACAAGACATATTAAAAAGTAGTAGCTACTTAAGTCTGGATGTACAGACACATAGGTCTTCTGTTCCTTCATATAAATATATACCATATTTATATATATTTATAGCATATTCAATGGAATAGAAATCATTACTCATATCACTACTCATTTGTTTTTCCTTTTTTTTGAAGCAGAATCTACTCTATTGCCCAGGCTGGAGCACAGTGGTGCGATCTCAGCTCACTGCAGTCTCTCTGCCTCCTGGGTTTAAGTGATTCTTGTACCTCAGCCTCCCAAGTAGCTGGGATTACAGGCATGTGCCACCACGCCCAGCTAATTTCTGTATTTTTAGTACAGACAGTGTTTCTCCATACTGACCAGACTGGTCTTGAATTCCTGACCTCAAGTGATTCGCCCACCTCAACCACTTAAAGTGCTAGGATTACAGGCGTAAGCCACCACACCCGGCCATTATTCATTTTCATAGTGTTTTTTCTGTGTGTGTGAGACAATCTTGCTTTGTCACCCAGGTTGAAGTGCAGTGGTGCAATCACAGCTCACTGTAGCTTCAACTTCCTGAGCTGAAGTGATCCTTTCAGCCTTCCAAGTAGCTGGGACTACAGGTATGTGCCACCACACCTGGCTAATTTTTATATTTTTTGTAGAGATAAGGTTTTGCCATGTTGCCCAGGCTGGTCCTGAACTCCTGGCCTCAGGCAATGCACCTGCCTCTACCTCCTAAAGTGGTGGGATTACAAGTGTGCCACCACACCTGGCCCATTTTCAAGGTTATTACTCCTTTTTCCTTTCACTTTTACACTACTTTTAAGAAGGAAACTTGTGGCTGGGTGCGGTGGCTCAAGTCTGTAATCCCAGCAATTTGGGAGGCCGAGGTGGGTGGATCATGAGGTCAGGAGATGGAGACCATCCTGGCTAACACGGTGAAACCCCATCTCTACGAAAAAAAAAATACAAAAAATTAGCTGGGCGTGGTGGCGGGTGCCTGTAGTCCCAACTACTTGGGAGGCTAAGGCAGGATAATGGCGTGAACCCAGGAGGTGGAGCTTGCAGTGAGCCGAGATCACGCCACTGCACTCTAGCCTGGGTGACAGAGCCAGACTCTGTCTCAAAAAAACAAAAAAAAAAAACTTAACCAGCAATATTTGAGATAAACAGCTATTACTATGAAAGCAATAAAGCACTTATAATTAAACTGTATAAAGCCTAAGGATGAAGAGACTTTAGATAAGCTGTATATCTAAAAGCTAGATGCTTGGAAACAGTTTTCCTGTTTAAGAATCACAGCATATATTGTTATGACAGTATTCATTTATATTCCATAATTTTTACCAATACCTGTACAATTGTTTCCTTTTCCCTCCTTTGTTAGCAATGCCAAGAGTCAACTGATCCTGGTCTAAGCAAAACCAAGCACTGAAAGAAAAGGCAGACCCTGGCCATTTCTGTATGGGAGGCACAGAAATTCCTGCCATACTATGTGACAAATTGAAATACTGGAGGGCACTCTCTAGACTTAGTTTTCGGGCCATTGTCAGGATTGCTCGAGTCACGGGAGTGACATAAGGGTGAACAGACTCAGATTCATCCACTCTCAGCAATCTCAGTAGTCGACGGATTTCTTCTGAGCTCACTGACTGACTCCCCAAGGAACCATGGATTGCAATCAAGTTCTCAGCACAAGTTTGATGGAGGGAAGAATGCAAGTCAAGGGTTTCAATGATTCTAATCCCCATGTTTGCATTGACACAAGTAGTTCGACTCTGTCTATTAATACAACAAATTCTTTTCAGCCAATCAGAGATGAAGATTTGCAGGTCATGGGATTGTAGTTCTGGAAGCCACTGGATAAGAAGCAAGAGAGGTTGGACATTACTAATGCCCAAAATCCCAACTGAAGTGTGGTCACCCTCTACAGCCTGAAAAGCAACATAAAAGATAAAAGGTTAGTTATCATTTTCAAAATGGATATTAACAGAAATTCTCTTAATAAAGGTTATAAACTCACCATATTCATAAGTTCTTTAAGTAATTCCAGTGGTGGCTGACCCAGGGATTTTAATACTTCAAGCATATGTGTATAACCAATTCTTTCTTTAAATACTTCCTAGGGGATGGGAAGACAATATATCAAAGTACATTTTCAAAGACTGAATATGTTGGAATATTAAAAATATTAAATAATACTCATTTATGCTAATTAACTTAATATTAAATAAAGAAAAAGACACGAATTCACTATTTGCCTTCTTAAATCATGTCTTCATTTTAAAATAGATTCCATATAACTTCTGCAGTAATGAAGTTATAATTATCTACCAAAATTCAAAATAAATGAAATTAACAATAACTGTGTTATAGAATTATTATATTATTTGCAGATTAGGGCATATGACAATTCTTGTATTTTCTTCACTTGATTTGTAATTACTATAGTAGTAGTTAAGTCAAAACAAAAATAGAGGAAAAAATGAGGAGACTGTAGGTAAGAGGAGTCAGATATCAGCCTAAAAAGACCCAATTAAAGAGTTCCTGCCAATTTTGAATAGTGGTCAGAAAGAAACTGAGTACAAAGAGTTTTCTCTCTGCTACTTGTATCTAAATGGTCTGAATTATCTGGAACATCAAGTTCATTTTAGGAAGTTCTATGTCACATGTATTTTTGAACCAGTAGGCACCCAAAGTCATAAAGTGAAATATAAAGACAACTGGAAAACCTAGAACATACTAAAGTGCCCCATTACCTTAGGTTGAAATATATACACTCACTACAAAATCAAAAAATTTAACAAAACAAGTAAAGCTGGTTTCCTTTAGGGAGAGAAATGGTTGAATGTGGGTCAAGAATAGGAAATATTTTCTCATGTATTTTTGTTATATAATCTTTTGAATTTTAAACATGCCAGCTATTATATGGACAAAAAAAAACAACTTTCAAGGAAGACTGGAACATCTTTTCTCATGTTTGAATTTCAGAATACAGTACAGGCAATCCATTATACTCATAAACCAGTTATTTAGGACTTAAAATGGTTTCCATCGTACAGCAACTAGTATTAGATGGAGATTAAGTCACAAGCCAGACTGTAAAAGTTGTAAAAGCCTATTCAATAGGAACCTAACCATGAGTTATGTCAACATTTCTAAGGCAAAAGTTAGAGTCTCCTAACACAAACCAATGTAATCTAAGGAATACAATGAAAGGCATGTTTCAGAAAACAGGGAGTAATTAATTCACTTCTGGTACCAGGAAGGTGAGGCATAAAGTATATTAGATGTGGCAGATAAGAGTGTAAAGTAATAATAAAAGTCACTGACATGTATTTAGCACTTATCATGTGCCTGGCACTATGCTTACCACTTCACACAGATGACCTCACTAATCTTATCAGCATATGAGGAAACTACCAGTATAACTGGACAGAAGAACAGTCAGTGGCAGTGAATGAGAAGAGACAGAAAACTCTAAGGGTTAGTGAATACAAGAAGCAGAATTTCCATGGCCATACAACCTGGAAAAACTAGTATCAAATTGATAGGCTATTCAAATGTGAAAAATGTCATATTTTAGGCAGTCATAAACTGACTAAATAAAGGGTCATTATTTTATTAATGAAGAAAAACTCTGATATAAAGCTTAATTTTTTAAACTCATGAACCACAGAACCACTTAAAAGTATCCTTCCAACACCAGTGCTCATGTCCCATTCTTTGCCAACACTGTAAATCCTATCAGTTTGCAGTTCAATCATTAATGTCTTTTAAAATCTTAAAGCAGTGCCTATAGGGGTTTGTCTTTAAAATTATCACAAGTATAGGCAAACAATAAATAACCTCATTCTTATATTAAGATATTTTGTGAATGATTTTATTTCAGGTGTTAAGCCACATGTATTACATACTTTCATACATCACTTCAGAATTTACATAGTGAAAATCGGCACATCTATTTAAATATTTTAAAACTTGGAGATACATCAGGCTAACAGCAGACCTTTCAACAGAAACCCATACAAGCCAGAAGCAACTGGGAGCATATATTCAGCTTTCTTTTTTTTTTTTGAGATGGAGTCTCGCTCTGTCACCCAGGCTGGAGTGCAGTGGCGCGATCTCAGCTCCTGCAAGCTCCACCTCCAGGTTTCACACCATTCTCCTGCCTCAGCCTCCCGAGTAGCTGGGACTACAGGCGCCCGCCACCATGCCTGGCTAATTTTTGTATTTTTTTTTTAGTAGAGATGGGGTTTCACTGTGTTAGCCACGATGGTCTCGATCTCCTGAACTCATGATCCGCCTGCCTCAGCCTCCCAAAGTGCTGGGATCACAGGTGTGAGCGACTGCGCCCATCCATATTCAGCATTCTTAAAGAAAAGAGGCTGGGTGCAGTGGCTCACACCTGGGATCCCAGACTTTGGGAGGCTGAGGGGGGTAGATCACGAGGTCAGGAGTTCCAGACCAGCCTAGCCAAAATGGTGAAACCCCACCTCTACTAAAATACAAAAATTAGCCAGGCGTGGTGGCAAGCACCTGTAATCCCAGCTACTCCGGAGGCTGAGGCAGGTGAATTGCTTGAACCCAGGAGGCAGGGGTTGCAGTGAGCCAGGATTACATCACTGCACTCCAACCTGGGCAACAGAGCAAGACTCTGTCTCAAAAAAAAAAGAAAGAAAGAAAAAAGAAAAAAAAGAAATTCCAAAGAATTTCATATCCAACCAAACTAAGCTTCATAAGTGAAGGAAGAATAAGATCCTTTTCAGAGAAGCAAATGCTAAAAGAATTCATTACTACCAGACCTGCCTTACAAGATATCCTGAAGGGAGTGCTAAATATGGAAAGGAAAGACCATTACCAGCCACTACCAAAACACACTTAAGTACATAAACCCATGACACTATAAAGCAACCACACACACAAGTCAACAAGTCTGTATAATAACTAGCTAATAATATGGCAGTAGGATCAAATATGCACAGATTAGTACTAACCTTGAATGTATATGGGCTAAATTCCCCAATTAAAAGGCACAGAGTGGCAAGTTGGATAAAAAACCAAGACCCAGTGGTATGCTGTCTTCAAGAGACTCATCTCACATGCAGTGACACCCATAGGCTTAAAGTAAAGGAATGGAGAAAAATCAACCAAGCAAATGGAAAATGGAAAAAAGCAGGGGTTGCTATTCTTACTTCAGACAAAACAGACTTTAAACCAACAAAGATCATAAAGACAAAGAAGTTACATAATGATAAAGGGCTCAATTTAACAAAACCTAACTATCTTAAATATATATACACACTCAACACAGAAGCACCTAGATTTGTAATTCTTAGAGACCTACAGTATACTTGGACAGATCATTGAGGTAGAAAACTAACAAAGATATTCAGGACCTGAGCTTAACACATGACCAAATGGACCTAGTAGAGATCTACAGGACACTTTACCACAAAACAAGAGAATATACATTCTTCACATCTGCACATGGGACATATTCTAAAATCGACAACACAATCAGACATAAAATAATCTTCAGCAAATTTCAAAAAACCAAAATCATACCAACTACACTCTCGAACCATAGTACAATAAAAATAGAAATCAAGACTAAGAAAATTGTTCAAAACCACACGCTTACATGAAAATTAAACTGTCTACTCCTGAATGACTCCTGGGTAAATAATAAAATTAGAGCAGAAATAAAGAAATTATTTGAAACTAATGAGAAGATACAACATACAAGAATCTCTGGGACATAGCTAAAGCAGTGTTAAGAGGGAAATTTATAGCACTAAACGCCCACATCAAAAAGTTAGAAAGACTGCAAATCCAACAACCTAACATCACAACTAGAGAACTGGAGAAACAAGAGAAAACCAATCCCAAAGCTAGCAAAAGGCAAGAACTAACCAAAACAGCGCTGAACTGAAGGAAATTGAGACATCAAAAACCATACGAAAGATAGGCCGGGCACAATGGCTCACATCTGTGATCCCAGCACTTTGGGAGGCTGAGGCAGGCAGATCACTTGAGATCAGGAGTTCAAGACCAGTCTGGCCAACATGGTGAAACCACATCTCTACTAAAAATACGAAAATTAGCCAAGCATGGTGGCATGTGCCTGTAATCCCAGCTACTCAGGAGGCTGGCAGGAGAACTGCTTGAACCCGGGAGGCGGAGGTTGCAGTGAGCTGAGATCGCGCCACTGGACTCCAGCCTGGGTGGCAGACAGAGACTCTGTCTCCAAAAAAAAAAAGAAATACAAAAGATCAACAATTCCAGGAGTTGATTCTTTGAAAGAATTAATAAAATAGATCACTAACTGAACAAAGAAAAAAAAGAGAGAATATCTAAATAAACACAATCAGAAATGACAAATAGGACATTACTACTGACCCCACAGGATACAAAAAACCCACAAAGACTACTATGAACACCTCTATGCACACAAGCTAGAAAACCTAGAAGAAATGGATAAATTCCTAGAAACATACAACCTCCCAAGATCAAACTAGGAAGAAAATGAATCCCAGTAAAGACCAATAATGAGTTCCAAATTTGAATCAGTAATAAAAAGCCTACCAATCAGAAAAAGCCCAGGACCAGAAAGATGCACAGCCAAATTCTATCAGATACATAAAAAAGAGCTGGTACCATTCCTACTGAAACTTTTCCAAAAAATTGAGGAGGAAGGACTCCTTTCTAACTCCTTCTATGAGGCCAACATCACCCTGATACCAAAACCTGGCAGAGACACAACAAATAAAGAAAACTTCAGGCCAATATCCTTGATAAACATAGATGCAAAAATCTTCAACAAAACATTAGCAAACAGAATCCAGCAGCACATCAAAGAGCTAATCCACTATGATCAAGTAGGCTTTATCCATGGGATGCAATGTTGGTTCAACATATGCAAATTAATAAATGTGATTCATCACATAAACAGAACTAAAAACAGAAACCACAAGATTATCTCAATAGAAACAGAAAAGGCTTTCAATAAAATTCAGCATCGCTTCATGTTAAAAACCCTCAACAAACTAGGCACTGAAGGAACATACTTCAAAATAAGAGCCATCTATGACAAACCCACAGCCAACATCATACTGAATGGGGAAAAGCTGGAAGCATTCCCCTTGAAAGCCAGAATAAGACAGGGATACCCTCTCTCACTACTCCCATTCAACACAGTACAGGAAGTCATAGCCAGAGCAATCAGGCAAGAGAAAGAAATAAAAGGCTTCTAAGTAGGAAGAGAATAAGTCAAACTCTCCCTGTTTGCAGACAATATGATTCTACGCCTAGAAAACCCCATAGTCTCTGCCTAAAAGCTCCTTGATCTAATAAACTACTTGAGCAAAGTTGCAGGATACAAAATCAATGTACAAAAATCAGCAGCATTCCTATACACCAACAATATCCAAGCTAAGAGCCAAATCAAGAATGCAATCCCATTAACAATTACCACAAAAAGAATAAAATAACTGGGAATATGGCTAACCAGTGAGGTGAAAGATCTCTACAACAAGAATTACGAAACACTGCTGAAAGAAATCCGAGATGACACCAACAAATGGAAAAATATTCCATGTTTATGAATAGGAAGAATCAATACTGTTAAAATAACCATACTGCCTGGGCTGGTGTGGGGGCTCACGCCTGTAATCCCAGCACTTTAGGAGGCCGAGGTGGGCAGATCATTTGAGGTCAGGAGTTCCAGACCAGCCTGGTCAACATCGTGAAACCCTGTCTCTACTGAAAATACAAAAAAATTAGCCAAGCATTGGTGCACACCTGTAATCCCAGCTACTTGGGAAGCTGAGGCAGGAGAATCGCTTGGACCTGGAAGATGGAGGTTGCAGTGAGCTAGGATCACGCCACTACACTCTAACCTGGGTGAGAGAACGAGACTCTGTCTCAAAGAGAAAAAAAATGACCATACTGCCCAAAGCAATTTACAGATTCAGTGCTATTCCTATCAAACTACCAGTGGCATTCTTCACAGAATTAGAAAAACCTATTTTAAAATTAATATGGAACCAAAAAAGAGCCTGAATAGCCAAGGCAATCCTAGACAAAAAGAACAAAGCTGGAGGCATCACATTACCTGACTTCAAACTACACTACGAGATTACAGTAACCACAACAACATAGTACTGGTACAAAAACAGACACATAGACCAGTAGAACAGAAAAGAAAGCCCAGAAATAATGCTGCACACCTACAGCCATCCAATCTTTGACAAACATGACAAAAACAAGCAATGGGAAAGGGCTCCTTTTCAATAAATAGTACTGGGATAACTAGCTAGCAATATGCAGAAGACTGAAACTGGACCCCTTCCTTACAATACACAAAAATCAACTCAAGATGGATTAGACTTAAATGTAAAATAGGACCTGGCAAAGATTTCATGATGAAGCCATCAAAAGTAACTGCAACAAAAACAAAAATTGACAAATGGGACCAAATTAAACTAAAGAGCTTCTGCACAACAAAGGAAACTATCAACAGAGTAAACAGACAACCTACAGAATGGGAGAAACTATTTGCAAACCATGCATCCAACAAAGGTCTAATATCCAGAATCTATAAGGCACTTAGACAAATCAACAAGTAAAAGCAAATAACCCGACTAAAAAGTGCGCAAAGGACAAGAACGGACACTTTTCAAAAGAAAACAGGGCTGGGTGTGGTGGTTCATGCCTGTAATCCCAGTACTTTTGGAGGTCGAGGCAGGCGGATCACCTGCGGTTGGGAGTTCAAGACCAGCCTGGCCAACGTGGTGAAACCCCATCTCTACTAAAAATACAAAAATTAGCCGGGCTGTGGTGGTGCACACCTGTAATCCCAGCTGCTTGGGAGGCTGAGGCAGGAGCATCACTTGAAACCAGGAGGCGGAGGTTGCAGTGAGCTGAGATCGTGCTACTGCACTCCAGCTTGGGCGACAGAGGGAGACCCTACCTCCAAAAAAAAAAAAAAAGAAAAGAAAACATGCAGCCAACAAGCATATTAAAAAATGCTAAACATCACTAATCATTAGAGAAATGCAAATCAAAACCACAATGACATACCATCTCACACCAGTCAGAATGGCTATTATTAAAACATCAAAAAGTAACAGATGTTGGCAAGGTTGTGAAGAAAAGGAAACACTTATACACTGCTGGTGGGATGCAAATTAGCTCAGCCATTATGTAAAGCAGTCTGGCAATTTCTCAAACAACTCAAAGCAGAATTACCATTCAACCTGGCAATCCCATTATTGGATAAATACCCAAGGGAATATAAATTGTTCTACCATAAAGACACATGAACATGTATGTTCATCATAGCACTATTCTCAATAGCAAACACATGGAATCAACCTAAAGCCAATTGTAGACTGGATAAAGAAAATGTAGTATATATACACCATGGAATACTACACAGCCATAAAAACAAAGGAGATCATATCCTCATATCCTTTGCAACAATGTGGATGGAGCTGGAGGCCATTATTCTAGGCGAACTAACACAGGAATAGAAAACCAAATACCACATGTTTTTACATATAAGTGGGAGCCAAACACTGAGTTCATATGGACACAAAGAAAGGAACAATAGACACCAGGGCCTACTTGAGGATGAAAGGAAGGAGGAGCGGGAAGATTGAAAAACTACCTATTGGGTACTATGCTTATTACCTGGGTGGCAAAATAATCTGTACACCAAATCCCCATGATATCCAATTTACCTATATAACAAACCTGCACATGTACCCCTGAACCTAAAATAAAAGTTAAGAAAAAAAAAAAAGCTGGAGGATATATGTTTCACCTTAGCAGCTGGAGATTTGTTCATTACTGCGGTCAAAGCCTGAATGGTTGATATGGCCAAACAATCCAATTGTCCCTGAAACACCTATTGAGGGGGAAGGGGAAACAAGAAATTAACAAATGTGCTCACGATTTTTATTGAGTTAGGAAACCTTTGGTCTGAAAACCTGAAAAAATAATTACTTAACATGCATTACATTCCTCTTCTGATGAAATGGATTTCTGAAACACTATAACCTGCAAGGAAAGTTACCTATTTAAAAGAAAAATAAACCACATGTCAAGGAGGATAAGGCAACATTCACTTATTACATTAAAATGTTTTGAGAAAAAAACAAGCTTAACACATGCTTTTTAAAAATAATGGACAATCTCAAGAGGAAGGGAGGGAGGTCTATCATTCATTGGAAATCCTATTACTTTTTTTTTTTTTTTTTGAGATGGAGTTTCGTTCTTGTTGCCCAGGCTGGAGTGCAATGGTGCAATCTCGGCTCACTGCAACCTCCGCCTCCCAGGTTCAAGTGATTCTCCTGCCTCAGCCTCCTGAGTAGCTGAGATTACAGGCATGCGTCACCATGCCCAGCTAATTTTTGTATTTTTAGTAGAGACAGGGTTTCTCCATGTTGGTCAGGCTGGTCTTGAACTCCTGACCTCAAGTGGATCCACCCACCTCGGCCTCCCAAAGTGCTGGGATTACAGGTGTGAGCCACCATGCCCAGCCAGAAATCCTATTATGTTTTAATTCCCCTTCAAAACTACACTTGAACCATCCAGGTTTAAATTCCATTTGCATGTATAAAAAGACAGCTAAAATAATCTTGTTTATCTAGTTTCCAAACCCTGTGTTAAAACTAAGATGGCATGTGCATATGCCAATCAATTATACTTATAAACAATTAAATATATCTATTTTTATATTAAATGGAAAATTTGAGGCAGACACAGAAAATGAAATAAGTATCTCTAAGTATTGTCATGTTTTTGAGAAGGCAACTTTTAATCCTAAAAGTTGTATGAAAAAATAAAAACTAGCCTAATTTTGTCTATTACTGTTTAAGTTTCATCAAAAAGAAGAGATATGTTAAATTCCAGGGCAGTGTATTTATAGCAAAAACAAAAACTAACATCAAGAATATTAAAAAACTGAACATGACTGTTATATCAGGCTTAGACAATCATGAAAGCATAGAATCACTTACAATTTGGAATTGTAATGTGAACCTCTAAGAGACTATAATAATTGTTTTATTAATCTACATTAAGTAGGCCTTAAGAGGGATTAACATTTATACAGAAATCTAAAACAATATTCTGTAAATTGGCATTTCACATCTAGAATAAAAAATAATTAGATGATAATGTGTCTTGTTATACAAAAATTCTATTTATAAACTTGGACATTAACACAATGTTAATAAAAGACAATATGTAAGTTTATTGGAAATATTTTGGAAGAGAAAAATAACGTCAATTTTTAAAGGTAGTTTTTTTTCAAACTAAATTACCTAATGTATTGAGAGAAGCAACATAAATTACATATTTTTGCTTTATTATACCTGTATAGACTTGAATTTCTAGAATACAAAAAGTCAAGTTTTATGCTAAATTAACAGAGAGTTCAGCATCTTCTTCCCTTCCTCCAAGATTCAGGTTGTCCATTGAATTATAATCATCACTTGTCAATAAGAAGCAAAGAATCAAGATATTAACAATGACCATACATATTCACAAAGAAAGCCCTAAGGTCCCAATATACCACAGTGCTTAGAAAAGTCACCACCAGGTGGACAGCATTGTACTGAGATCCCATTCCTGTACTTTATATCTCCTCAAATTGAAAAGACCATACACACGTAGAGGGAATGGAATGGTACTGATTGTTTGTATCAACCACCAAGATATTTATCCTTTAGATGAAAGCAATTTTTAACTTTTTAGTAATTTTCAAAAATAATTAATAAATATTAGAATTTGACAATGTTTGTGTATTTTAGGACATAAGAAGAAAAGCACAGGAATAGTTATTCCCATTGGCTGATTTTGGACTTCAGCTGAAACAAGATGCAGGCTTTGTAGATACCTGGTCCTCATTCATTTCTGTCAGTAATTTGTTGGCAAGGTCTTTCTCGTTCTTGTCTGCCACCTTATTGTTAGCATTTAAAAATAGCTGTTAAAAACAGAGACAAGAATAATGGAGAAAGAACATTAAATTGTTACCTATAAGCAGCAATGAAGCTTAAATGGGTTTCCATGTCTCTTGAAAATAAACCCAAGAATTCCCTTGTGAAATATACTACACTTTTAGAAATTAAAGATTATTCACTTTTTGGATTATGAACTAATAGTAGTTTAGATATTTCTCTCTTGGAATTCAAAGTTACTAAAATAAGAAACAATGGCAATAATTAGGACTAGTTAATATTCCTAAATTCTTAAAGAATCAGCAGAGAATGTCTCACAGTTGATATGGTTTGGCTCTGTGTCCCCACCCAAATCTCATCTTGAATTGTAGCTCCCCAAATTCCCATGTGTTGTGGGAGAAACTCGGTGGGAGTTCTCATGGTAAGTGAATAAGTCTCATTAGATCTGATGGTTTTATAAAGGGAAGTTTCCCTGCACAATCTCTCTTCTCTTGTCTGACGCCATGTGAGACGTGTCATTCACCTTCCACCATGATTGTGAGGCCTCCTCAGCCACAAGAAACCGTGAGTTCATTAAACTTTTGTAAATTGTCCAGTCTCCGGTATGTCTTTATGAGCAGCATGAAAATGGACTAATACACACAAAAAAGAAGGAAAGCTGTTACTGACACAAACCAAAGATACCGTAGTACGTAACACCCAGTATGGTTCTATAGTTAAGGAAGTTTGTGAAGTGCTATCAAACTAACTTTAAAAATGGTTCTTTCTAGAAGTACTTCCTCAGAGTCTCAAATATGCTAATGGATACTTTGACAAGGGAGGTCACGGTGCAGCATTTCCAAAATTTATCTGACCACACATTTTGTTAAAACATTAGTTTAAAAGTATTCTCCAAAGTCATCAAGAATTGAGCTTCATTTATATTCATTTGTATTCTGTAAAGGAAAATTGAGATTATCTCTAGCATACATGGGCATTACCCTCTTCTGAGTAAAATAAAGAAATCAAGTATTTTAGTTTCAGTATATAAAAGTCAGCATCCCAAAAGGCCTTCAACTTGCCCACAATTTGAAAAAAATTCAAATGATACTCAAAGGGAGAGACAGATTTATAAAGGAATTTATTAAGAGCATGCTAAGGAACAAGGTTCTTAGGAAGTTCTATTATTTCAGAAATGAGAAAACAAAAGGTCGAGTTACATGCTGAAATATGCAATATAAAATAAACTGCATAGAGGTATGGTATTATATGTTATGGAAGAGTATATGTAAGGCTTAACATAACAATAAATTGATATATACACTACAGGCCTTGGAATCAGAGACCTGAGTTTGAATTTTGGTTCTGCAGCTTACTGGCTGTCTGATTTCAAGGAAAACTACTTCTCCAAGCTTTTCTCAAAAATAGGGAGAAAAATACCTCATCAAATAGCTATACATATTAAATGACATAATCCACGCTAGCTTATTAGCATAGTATCTGGCACATAACAGAGACTTAACAAATGAAAGGTGTCAGCTGGGTGTGGTGGCTCATGCCTGTAATCCCAGAACTTTGGGAGGCTGAGGTGGGCGGATCACCTGAGGTCAGGAGTTCCAGACCGGCAGCCTGGCCAACATGGTGAAACCCTGTCTCTACTAAAAATACAAAAACTAGCCTGTAGTCCCAGCTACTTGGGAGGCTGAGGCAGGAGAATCACCTGAACCCGGGAGGTGGAGGTTGCAGTGAGCAGGGATAGAGCCACTACACTCCAGCCTAGGTGACAGAGTGAGACTCTGACTCAAAAAAACAAACAAACAAAACAAACAAAAAACAAATGAAAGGTGGTATTATTACAAGCAAAGGTTTTTAAAGGAATAATATTTCATATTTAGGTCAAGGGAAACAAATAGTCAGATAAAACTGGTCAGTGTAAAAATGAGTAAAATCTTTCCAGAAAGCAATATAGCAATCCGTAAGAAGAATCTTTAAAACAATTCTTGGGCCGGGCGCGGTGGCTCACGCCTGTAATCCCAGCACTTTGGGAGGCTGAGGCGGGCGGATCACCTGAGGTCAGGAGTTCGAGACCAGCCTCAACATGGGGAAACCCCGTCTCCACTAAAAATACAAAATTAGCAGGGAGTAGTGGTGCATGCCTGTAATCTCAGCTACTCGGGAGGCTGAGGCAGGAGACTTGCTTGAACCTGGGAGGTGGAGGTTGCGGTGAGCCGAGATCGAGCCATTGCACTCCAGCCTGGTCAACAAGAGCAAAACTTCGCCTCAAAAACAAACAAACAAACAAACAATTCTTATTCTTTAACCCAGTAACTGTATTTCTAAAAATCTACCCTAAGAAACAGTCAAAAACACCAAGATTTTAGCAGCTGTAAAGACTAGGTAATGGTTTTGAATTCTTCTCCTTGCTACTAAAGATAATAGTTTTCTTCTTTGCTTTTCTCTTCTTTTTTTGAGACGGAGTTTCACTCTCGTAGCCCAGGCTGGAGTGCAATGGCACAGTCTCGGCTCACCGCAACCTCCACCTCCTGGGTTCAATCAATTCTCCTGCCTCAGCCTCCTGAGTGGCTGGGATTACAGGCATGCGCCACCACGCCTGGCTAATTTTTTTGTATTTTTAGTAGAGATGGGGTTTCACCATGTTGGTCAGGCTGGTCTAGAACTCCCGACCTCAGATGATCCGCCTGCCTTGGCCTCCAAAAGTGCTGGGATTACAGGCGTGAGCCACTGAGCCTGGCCTATTCTTTTCATTAATTCAAGTATCTTTGGGCAGCTTAAAAAATTTACATTAATTCAAATCATATCCCTGTAATTTAGTAAAACAAAAAAACTGATAAATGCTTAAGGTTCATCATATCTATCATAAAAGTTAAATGTATGATTCCATGGAATTGTAAAGTACTCTATAGTTTGATGAAACTCATTTGCCAAGCCGAGAAGCCTTTACACAAATACTTACGGAAATCAACGCATACTTAAATAGGCTGACGAATCTCATACAAAAAGAAAGCATGAAAACAGCAGCCGCCAGCTTAAGGTTGTCCATCTGATTCATAAATTGTTTATGATATTTTAAACTTTATTTGCCAAAGTTTCCAATGGGTCTAAATAGCAAAACTGTCTTTATTCTATACTACTATATAAAAAGAACATAAAGGATTCATTTCTTTACTAACAAACAAATAATTTAAACAAAAAGTAATCGTGGACATCTGTGGCATCATGCGGTATATTTGGGGAGTTAGGTTTTCATAAGATTTCAAAGATTTTTATATATTCAGGAATCATATCAACTATGTCCATAAAATGTTTTTATATCAATAAAACCTTTGATTCTCCTATATTTAATATACAGAAAACATTTTTCCCTACTGACTAAACTGTGACCTTAAGTTCCAGTAATACAATTAGAAAATTATATATTACAATGGACTTAGGGTCAGAAAACCTGGGTTAGAAATCCTACCTCCATCAATTATTAGTGTTGACCTTGGGCTAATCATTTAATGCCTTAGGACATTTTTCCTTATTTGTATAATGAAGAAGTTTAGAAGCTTATTTCAAAGATTCCTCTTTGTTGTGAAGACTTAATGGCTTCAATGAATAGTGATAAATCTAAAGTAATTCTGACAAAAAAAAAATTCCAGAAATAAGGAAGACTATTACGGCCAGCAGGGAAGGCCCAGGTCCCAAAGCTTGGTTTTCCCTGTTTTTTTTATTGTTTTTGTTTTTTTGAGACAGAGTCCTGCTCTGTCACCCAGGCTGGAGTGCAGTGGTGTGATGGCTCACTGCAACCTTCACCCTCTAAGTTCAAACGATTCTTCAGCCTCTCTAGTAGCTAGGATTACAGAGGTGTGCCACCATGCCCAGCTAATTTTTGTATTTTTAGTAGAGACGGGGTTTCGCCACGTTGGCCAGGCTGGTCTCAAACTCCTGACCTCAAGTGATCAACCCGCCTTGGCCTCCCAGAATGCTGGGATTACAGGCATGAGCCACCACCATGCCCAGCTAGTTTTCCCTCTTCAAAGAGATTTCTTCTCCAGCATTTTTGTTTCAAAACAAAATGTGATAGGTGGTATCAAAGAATTAACTTTTAAAGGTCATGATTCCGGATGTAAATTTTAATAAACTTTGGCCTATAAAGAACAAATATTAGCTCACCATCATGATAGCTATGACAAACAGCTTTGTATTTTTTAAAAAGATATTCATATCAGAAATTTGTTATATCTGAGTTTCATATACTGAAGAAAAACCAATGCTAACAAATTTTAGTAGGAATTACATTGTATCCTAGAGATGACCCTATAAAGCAGATTCTTTTTTTTTTTTTTTTTTTTTTTTTTTTAGACAGAGTCTCCCTCTGTCGCCCAGGCTGGAGTGCAGTGGTGTGATCTCGGCTCACTGCAACCTCCACCTCCTGGGTTCAAGTGATTCTCCTGCCTCAGCCTCCCCAGTAGCTGGGACTACAGGCATGTACCACCACGGCTGGCTAATTTTTTATATTTTTAGTAGAGACGGGGTTTCACTGTGTTAGCCAGGGTGGTCTCAATCTCCTAACCTTGTGATCCGCCTGCCTCAGCCTCCCAAAGTGCTGGGATTACAGGTGTGAGCTACCGCATCCAGCGGATTAGCAGATTCTTTACACATGTGAGATGTTGGCTTTATCACTGAATTTGTCTTTATAACAATTTACTTCACCAATATATTCTTTACTATTTGATTTTGATGCTATTCTTTACTGCAGTGAAGTGACATAAATGCTTTCAGAAATATCCCTCAAAACAGTGTGAAAAAATTCAAGGAGGTGATACTAAAATCTTTATTCTGAATTACTCTCATAGAATTAACCCCTGGTATTCCTCAGCAGGAAATCAATGAAAAGAATACCTCAAATAGAAAGGTAAAAGCTCTTTGAAGTAGTTTCATTTACAAAGGCTTTATGAAGCTCTCTAAAAAATTTCTGATACCATCATGATACATGGAAATATCCTATATTCTTTTTTCTGTTTTTGAGACAGAGTCTCACTCTGTTGCCCAGGCTGGAGTGCAGTGGCACGATCTCAGCTCACTGCAACCTCCATCTCCTGGGTTCAAGCAACTGTTCTGCCTCAGCCTCCTGAGCAGCTGAGACTACAGGTGCGCACCACCACACCCAGCTAATTTTTTTTTTTTTTTTGTATTTTTAGTAGAGACAGGGTTTCACCATATTGGCCAGGCTGGTCTCGAACTCCTGACCTCGTGATCCACCTGCCTCAGCTTCCCAAAGTGCTGGGATTACAGGCATGAGCCACCATGCCCAGCTTAGTTATGTACTCTTCCACATTGCTGCTACATGTATAAATTAGTAAAAAAATTCAAAAGCAAATTGCATGTATATCAAGAACCTTAACCATATTTCTGCTATTTTTCTACTTTTCTATATTTTCCAATGAGTTACAACTTGTTTTTACACAATGTTCTGTTCCCTAATTTAAAAAAGAAACAAGAAAAGTGTACGCCCTATGACCTAGTAATTCTACTAGAAGTAAAATTCTATTTTGGAAATAAATTAAGTTCCTACTAGCAGGGTGTAGTTAAGTAAATTATGGTACATCCACTTAATACAATATTATATAGACATTAAAATTATGGCACATGAAAATAATGAAATATCTTAAATGAAACAAAAGTACAAAATTACATGCATCAAATGCTCACACTAGTGTTAATGCATAACAAAAAAGACTTTACAAATCAACAAGAAGACAATAACAAATCTGATTTTAAAATGGGCAAAGGACTTGAATAGACATTTCTCCAAAGATAGATATACAAATGGCCAATAAGCACACAAAAAGGATGCTCAATATCACTAATCATTAGAGAAAGGCAAATCAAAAGCACAATGAAATACTACCTCATACCCATTAGGACAGCCACTATCAAAAAAGAAAAAAAACAACACTACTGCTGGCAGGGATGTGTAGACATTGAAAACTTTGTGCACTGTTGGTATGAATGTAAAATGGTACAGCTACTATGGAAAACAATACAGAAGTTCCTCAAAAAATATTAAAAAGTGAATTACCATATATCTAGTAATCCTACTTCTGGGTATATACACAAAAGAACTGAAAATGGTATCTTGAAGAGATATTTCTATACCCATATTAACAGCAGCAGCCAAACGGTGGACGCAACCCAAATGTCCACTGATGGATGAATAAGCAAAATGTGGTATATACATACAATGGAATATTATTCAGTGTTAGAAAGGAAGGAAATTCTGACACATGCTACGACATGGACGAATCTTGAGGACACTATGCTAAGTGAAATAAGGCAGTCATCGAAGAAAAAATACTATATGATTCCACCTTTATGAGGTATCTAGAGTAGTCAAATTCATAGAGACATAAAGTAGAATAGTGGTTTCCAGGGGCTGAGGTGAGAGGAAACCAGGGAGCTGTTTAATGGGTATAGAGTTTTCATTTTACAAGATGAAGGGCTCTGGAGATGGGCTGCACAATAATGTAAATGTATTTAACACCACTGAAGTGTACACTAAAAAATGGTTAAGATGCTAAATTTTTATGTTTTATATATTTTAACATAATTCCTTTCCTTTCTTCCTTTCCTTTCTCCCTTCCCTTCCCTTTCCCTTTCCTTTTCCCTTTCCTTCCTTTCCTTCTTTTCTTTTCTTTTCTTAAGACAGAGTCTTGCTCTGTCACCCAGGCTGGAGTGCAGTGGTGTGATCTAGGCTCACTGCAACCTCCGCCTCCGGGGTTCAAGCAATTCTCTTGCCTCAGCCTCCCAGGTAGCTGGGATTACAGGCATGCGCCACGACACCTGGCTAACTTTTTTGTATTTTTAGTAGAGACGGGGTTTCCATGTTGGCCAGGCTAGTCTGGAACTCCTGAACTCAAGTGATCTGCCCACCTCGGCCTCCCAAAGTGCTGGGATTACAGGCATGAGCCACCGTGCCTGGCCCCACAATTATTTTTAAAAAGACTTTAAAAATGCCTACAGGCTAGAAATAATCATATATAATTTATTTTATTTTTCTCTATTTACCTTTTTTCCTATAAGAAGTAACATTTTCATAATGAAAAAATAAGCTTTACCTTAAAAGTAAAAAAATGCTACTTCTACTGGATGCTCTCAGTTGTAAGTGGGAGCTAATCAATGGGTACACATGAACATACAAAATAGAATAACAGACACTGGAGACTCCAAAAGGTAGGAAGGTGAAAGGAGGCTCGAGGTTGAAAAATTATCCATTGGATATAATGTTCACTATTTGGGCAATGGGTACACTAAAAACCTAGAGTTCATGGAATATATCCATGTAACAAAACTGCACTTGTACCTCTTAAATCTATAAAAAAAAAGTTTTTTTTAAAGACATCCTATTTCTTACATGAGAACTTATAAGGTGAATAATTACAGCCAAACATTCAAGCCAGTTATGTGGGTAATAATTAATTTAAATGTGCATTTAAAAAATCAATCCATATGTCATAAAATAAACTTCAATATGCCTATTTTAAAATTATGTCCATCAATAGCAGACGCAAGATATGTTCATTGTTAAAGAAAGATTTTTCTGAAATTTGACTTTAAAACATTTTTCTCAAAGTGGCAAAGGAAAATATTTCTAACCAATTAAATTTTATTCTTTTTAAGTTAAAACAGAAAATGAAAAGAATCACTTTCAAAAAAGAGACAAAAGCAGATATTTAGTAAATTTATTCATCTGAACACAAGCATTTCCTCTACTGCAACATCCACGATGTCCTAGAGAAAAATGGTGAAAATATTTGATTCTGCAAAAAGAACTAACTGTCTTTAAAATGTGGTTTCAAATTGTAACATAAGACTGACCTTTAAGATTTATGAAGCTGAATGTGCTTCTTTTGTATTTTAGAGCTTAGGTTTGTTAAACTGACCCCTAATTTTGTGGTGTGTGTGTGATCCTAGGTTCTCGTGTCTCTTAAATGCTACCCGCCTCTAGTTATTGTATTTGTTTGAGCTTCATAAGACTTCACTGAGTTGGTGATCGCTAGATGGCCTAGTTTGTGCAAATATGTGTTGGTTTCTCTCCATATTCCTTTAGAGTTTTATTGTTTACAAGTTTCTTTTTTGTATTGAGAGAAAAATAGCCAAAGCATCTTTGACATCTTTTCTGCGACAGGCAGAAAGACCTGGAACAAAGTGGGGATCTTTTTTTTTTTTTTTGAGATGGAGTCTTACTCTGTCACCCAGGCTGGAGTGCAGTGGGGTGATCTCGGCTCACTGCAACCTCCGTCTCTGAGGTTCAAGTGATTCTCTTGCCTCAGCCTCCCGAATAGCTGGGATTATAGGAGCATGCCACTATGCCTGGCTAATTTTTGTATTTTTAATAGAGACAGGGTTTTGCCATGTTGGCCAGGCTGGTCTGGAACTCCTGACCTCAGATGATCTGCCTGCCTCGGCCTCCCAAAGTGCTGGGATTACAGGTTTGAGCCACCGCGTCTGGCCTAAAGTGAGGATCTTGAACCACCCTTTCTTTTCTGTTCTCCTTACCCTATTACCTACTGGACCAGATGTTTTGTCCTGAAAACTTGTCTCCTACTCTGCCCTCTTTTACATTCCCCTCCTCCAAAAGAAACCTATACACCCACACACATACTTGGTTAATTCTTGGGGTATCTCTGCAATTCTTAAATGATTTATGCAAAAATCCAGAAGAAGCTAGGAACTCTCCATCCCTTGTTCCCAATCTCCCAAGTCAAGACCTTTTCTTGATGTGATTCATGTCAAATACTTAGGACACTGCTGTATTTTGGATGGATCAAACCTACTTAATCTTTCATCTTAAGCAGATAGAAACAAATGGGGGCCTTCCATGTAGAAAGTGGGGTCTGGAGGGCAAGAAAGGGAATATGAATATATATCCAAGTCACTCTGGAACTTTTATGTGGGTATAAGAAACTTATGTCAAAGTGGCCACAAGATTGTTTAATAGGAGATAGAAGGATATAACTCCATGTTTACTGCTAGAAACCAAAGCTTTGTGTGAAATCTTGAATTTATGGGGACAGAGCGAGGGTACCTGTGTGTTCTTTCCCTGATCCCTTCCCCTCATTCCTGAACTGCAGGAGACTGAGCTCCTTTGGGCTTTGGTGACCCCATCACTGAGGGGTTTATTTGATAGTTGATTTTGCTGTACTGGGTACTTCCTTTCCCATTTCCTAATCATTCTGTAATACACATGCTGACTCTTTTCCCTCCCCTCCTTCTTTCCCTGGGAAGATACAATCAATCAATAAAGACTTACTGGTAGTGAAAAAAATTGTAATGAATCCTAATTTTCAAATTAATCATATTCCAATATATATCATAATAATTTAAAATTTGTTAACATAGTTATACAGAAAAGGAGAGTAGTCTCCCATTGGAGTTTATATCATTTAATACATGTTGTAGCTGTTCTAATACTTTTAAAATAAGCCTGAGTTTTCGATTATAAAATACTAGCTATAGAGTAAACATGAAAAGGGAAGAGGAAAAGCATTTTTATGCCCCTTTTTTGGCAGAGAGTTGTGCAGCCAAGCAAATTTTTAAACCAAATACATTTTGCTTCTGATATTTATTCTGCTCCCTTACCCTAGCATAATCCTGTTGTTCTAGGCAACCAACTGCAAATTTAATCGATTTTCAACTTTATTTATTAAGCTTCTACTGTGTGCCAAATACCTAATGATGGGAGAGAAGAAATTAAAGTCAGCCTGCTTGCCTTCAAATAGACCACAGTTGAGTATGAAACACAAAAAGTTTAAGTGTCACCCCACAGACTTCTAAAAGATACTAATATGTATCTATCTAGACCCAGGAGCATCAGAAAATATTACGTAGTAATCTTTTTAAAAGAGCAGAAAAGAAATTATTTCAAGTAGCTATAAAAGCATCAAGGAGATAGATTTAAAAAGCATGAATAAGAAAACATGAAGGGTTTAATAAGGGTCTTTGTAAGAAAGGCTTAATAGGCAGGCCTTGAGTCAGATGTCTTAGAGCCTTGCACAAGTCATGGTATGGAGATTTAAAAATCACTAGAATATTTTCATGGTTTGGGAGAACATGTTAAGCAAAGGATTGATACGATAACATTGATGTATCAAAGAGATAGTTTTGGCTTCAATGTAGAAGGGGATAAGGGTGAAAAGGGGCCGGGCTCGGTGGCTCACGCCTATAATCCCAGCACTTTGGGAGGCCGAGGCAGGTGAATCACGAGGTCTGGAGTTCCAGACCAGCCTGGCCAAGGTGGTGAAACCCCATCTCTACTAAAAATATGAAAATTAGCCGGGCACGGTGGCGGGTGCCTATAATCCCAGCTACTTGGGAGGCTGAGGCAGGAAAATCGCTTGAACCCAGGAGGCGGAGGTTCAGTGAGCAGAGACTGCGCCACTGCACTCTAGCCTGGGCGACAGAGCAAGACTGTCTCCAAAAAAAAAAAAAAAAAAAAAAGAGTGAAAAAGGAGAAAACAAGTAAATGTTGCCATAATCTGGCAAAAAAATTAAAGCCTGAAATAAAGCAATGACAGTGAGAATAAAAAGCTGTATTTGAGAAATGTTTAAAAAACGAAATTGTCCACTTTGGTGACATAAGCAGATGTGGGAGATGAGAGATCAGGAAAAGCCGAGATTGATTTCCAAGTTCCTCCTTTGAGAAACTGGGTCGATAATGGTGCCTTTGACTTAAATTAGAAATACAAGAAAAGCAGGCCGGGCACGGTGGCTCACGCCTGTAATCCCAGCATTTCTGGGGGCTAAGGCAGGCCAATCACCTGAGGTCAGGAGTTCAAGACCAACCTGGCCAACATGGTGAAACCCTGTCTCTACTAAAAATACAAAGATTAGCCAGGCATGGTGGCAGGCACCTGTAATCCCAGCTATTTGGGGGGCTGAGGCAGGAGAATCGCTTGAACCCAGGAGGCAGAGGTTGCAGTGAGCTGAGATCATACCACCTCACTCCAGCCTGGGTGATTTAAGCAGCTGTAGGGATAAGATAAGAAAGGGGAGACTAAAGAGTAGGGGATGAACTGTTCCATTTTAGATGTGGCAAATTTGAAAATTTTGAGAGACATTCAAGTGGAATTCCTCAAGAGAGCTGAACTAACAACAAGAAATTTGGGTATTATAGATGATATCTAAAGCCACACATCCAAAGGTGAGACATCCAAAGGATAAGCAAATTAAGAAAGGTTGGAAAAAAGAGCCTAGAACCAAACAGGGAATGCCAGT
The DNA here is from genome assembly GCF_000001405.40 of Homo sapiens. Classification (NCBI taxonomy): domain Eukaryota; kingdom Metazoa; phylum Chordata; class Mammalia; order Primates; family Hominidae; genus Homo; species Homo sapiens. The sequence goes on along the minus strand of NC_000002.12, from coordinate 203,086,313 downwards.
ATTTTTAGAAAGGGTAATATTCCAGAAAGACTGAAGAGTGGCCACAGTGATACACAGTAAAAAAGATCAAGGTAGAAAAGAAGATGAGTGTGTTGACATTTCAGAAACAAATTTTTTTTTAATGTTTCAAGAAGTCTGTTCTCCATATTTCGTATTTTGGCATCAAAATTGTTTTGCAACAAAATATAATCGTACATTGTGCAAAATTCACTTACAAACATATTAAGGTTTCTACAAATCTGCATTAACTTCCACAGCCTCTGAACAACTGCAGAAAAAGTTAACACTGATAATGGAAAAGCTATCAAGTAGCTGGTTGCTTCAAAATTTTGTTTGTATTAATGTTATAATATGATTTTGAGCTATCAAAAATATATTTACAAAAGTATCCTATTGATATTATTCAGCTTGATGTGGGATCTTACTTTTTCATTAACAGAAATACATATTTTTACATTAGGAAGTATGGGAATTATTACCAGTTTTCATCTATGAGCAACAATTTTGGAATTCATATATTTATTATTGTATGGGAGAATCAATATGCTATCAATGTTTCCATTTACAATGAGTATGTATTACTTTAATTGTAATAAAAAATGTTATTTGACCCTGAAAGGGCACCAAATCATTTATGAATTTTATTTAAATTATACAAACATATCACATATTTGGAGAGAAGAATGGAAATAAACACCCAAAATCATCATTTAGGTCATTACATGGTGTAAAAGTTAGGAATAATGGCCATGAAGTCAAAAAGAACTAAACTGAAACTCTCGCTCTGAAACTTTGTGCCTAATTTATAAAGTAGTCATTATGAAGACAACATATATTTTGTGACCTCAAAAGAAAAGTGTCTGATACACAATTGGTACACAATAAATATTGGTTAGATAAATCATTTAATTAAAAAGCTATGTCTCGGCCAGGCACGGTGGCTCACGCCTGTAATCCCAGCACTTTGGGAGGCTGAGGTGGGCAGATCACAAGGTCAAGAGATGGAGACCATCCTGGCCAACATGGTGAAACCCGGTCTCTACTACAAATACAAAAAATTAGCTGGGCATGGTGGCGCCCGCCTGTAGTCACAGCTACTCGGGAGGCTGAGGCAGGAGAATTGCTTGAACCCAGGAGGTGGAGGCTGCAGATTGCACCACTGCACTCCAGCCTGGCAACAGGGCGAGACTCCATCTCAAAAAAAAAGCTATTTCTTATACAAAAACATTATTCAGTGAATGACATACAATTTGAGTTAGAGTAATAGGTTTGCACCAAGCAATCCACATGTTTTATATAACACTCCCTATAATCAGTGGCCTGTATTTACAGGGTATGTAACTTGGAGTCTACAAACTGTGGTAGAAGACAGTGTTTCCATGAGAAACAATTGTTTTTCAAAGACTCATCTTAGTATATTCAGACACAAATAGTTAGAAGAGCTCAGAAGCAACTAATTACTTAAAGGGCCTCAAGGATATTTCTGGATAGAATGAAAATAATATATGTCATGAACTGAAATTCTTCCCATACAAAGAAATTCCAGTTTGACTACCTTTAAAGTATTTAGACAATTACAAGTGATTTAATACTAGTTTCAATTCAAGATAAAACTTGGTTATGTAATTAAATGCAAACAGAGATTAAGTATAAAAATTAGTAAAAATATGTTCAAATGTGAATCAAAACAAAAACAAAAAATAGCTTCTTAAAATCAAAGACAACAACAATAATAGAAAAATACCTTGCAGTTCTGTAGCAGTCGTATGAGATGTTCAAAGCAATTGCTGTTAAGAAAAATGGCCTGAAGAACAGGTCTATCTGTACAATCTAACATGGCTGTGATGGTATCTAGGAAAATAAAAAGAAAATCATCCATGTAAAAATGAAAATTTGGGATCATACAAACATTTACTCTAATCATTTTTCTTTTTAATTTTTAAAACAACTTTGATGTTCAGTATTTTTAAAATGACACTAACACACAAAAGCACATAAAAGCATTTTTATGCCTTTAGAAGCTATACACCAAACAATTAATGTTCGTTATGAGTGAGTGGCAGGATATAAATAACTTTTCTTTTTACTTATCTGAATTTCCTAGTTTAGCTCTAATGAAAACGTTTTACTTCTAAAAGGAACTATCAGTTAATAATATTTGTATTTAACAACCTTACATGGGAACACAATAAGAAATCATAATATATTGGTGAAGGAGCTTGCAGAGCATAGAGACAGAGATAAATAAGCAGAATGACACAAAACAACCAACACAAAGAGAAGGGAAGAGAAACACACACACACACACACACACACACACACACACACACACACACAGGCTCTGAGGAAAAAAAGAAACAAAAACGGAGGCCCTCTAGAGAAAGGGCAGATTTTTGAAGCGACCTCTACAGAGATGTTATAGAGGCACATACAAAATTCACTGTATGTGACTCTTTACCATAGGTTACTACAAATGGTGCTTTCTGAAAATTTACTTTTCCTAGAATTTCAAAGTCTTAGCTAACTTTCTTTTTCACATTGATGCTTTTAGGAGATTACACTTTCAAAACAATATAGAGACTTGACTTTGTTATTGTTAAAGCAAAGAGGTTGTAACAAACACATCAATTCTATATAAATTATTTTGAAGTCAAAGTCTAAGCAGTCATATGATATCTGAATTAAACAATCAATACTTTCCATACAATGGCCTTGTATTTCAAAAGAAAGTGGTAGATATGAAAATAAAAAACAGACTCAGAAAAAGTTGTCATTATGTAATACTTACTCAGCATTTTGATCTGTAGAGCAATAAATCGGTTTTCCCACTGTCTGGACCTCCTTTGATTAGGTAAAGCTGAATGATCTGAATTTAGCAATTTAAAATAGTTCTCCAGAATAGTACTGGTTTCCACTTGACGCTGATCAGAGTTGCTACTGAGAAGGATATGTACCACTTCTGTAAGGCACTTCAGAGTTAGTTCTGCCTTCCTACCCACTTCTTCAGGATCTCCATCCTCCCAGGAATCACAATCTGCCAATACTCGCATAAGAACTTCCATAGTGGCTGGAGAAATTGCTTGCAAAGCATTCCTCTGAAACATTAGAGACAATAAAAATGAAACCTAAACCTAATGAAGTTGTGTATGTTTGCAATAATGAGAATTTAATACATCTGCAGGCAACCTTTTCTTTTAATAAAGACATAAAAATTTGTAACAGATACTCTGATAGCCACTGCTAGTGGTTCATACATATTAAATCTTCCCTTCCTCTCAGAAAACTCACTTTACACTCTCTCTTGTGGCTAAGGGTAGCCATGTGACATAGTTCTGGTCAAGGATATATGGTAGTAGACTATGAAGAGGGTATCATTTTATAAACAAAAAGGGAAGGACCCTTTGCTCTTGGGCCTTTCACCTTTTCCTGCCTAGAATGTAAACATAATGCTTGCAGCCACCTTTATATCATGAAGAGATAAGTCCATGATTAAAGTAGCAGGCTACAGAAAGAATAGGAATATTGAAGGACCTCAGTCCTTGATGTTCTTATTGAGTTGCTGTACCAGCTCAAAACTGCCTAACCCTGGATTTCTTAGGCAAAATGAAACATAAAAAACAACCTCAAATCGATTAAGTCTCTCTAAGGTTTTCAGGTTGGTTACAGAAAATCCATCACAACTGATTTAAACATGTAAGATGACTGGTTTGGTTTTGATTCTACAAACATATTTCTGAAATTCCATATACTAAGTAATTGGTAGTTATATGTCAAGGTGACCAGAAGAACACAGAAATAAACAATATGTATTGCCCTAAATTGTCAAATTACAACATAATGAAACAGAACATAGTCATGCAAAATTATCTGAATTAGCACTTAAGCCATTAGGACTGTTTTCATCAATAATTATCAATATAATACATAATATCAACAACAATAATTACTGCTATGGAAGAAACTGCTAATGGCCCACCCAATATTCAATTTCCTTCACCTTCCTTATTCAGAGAAACTGATGTTTTCCTGAACACATGGCCACCCAGAATAAATTCACATTTCCTAGCCGCCCCTGCTGCTAAGGAGGCCAAGGAAGCAAGTTTTATCACATTTTTTATGTGGACATATTTTCCTTCTCTATAGTCATATGACCAAGTTTGGCAAATGAGATCAAAAGACAGGGAGTGTCAGCTTTTCAGGACCTCTTTATTTTGTTTTTTATTTTTTCAGACAAGGTCTTCCTCTGTCACCCATGTTGAAATGCAGTGACATGATCATGGTTCACTGCAGCCTCAACTATTCAGGCTTTGGCCTCCTGAGTAGCTGGGACCACAGGTGTGCACCATCATACCTGACTAATTTAAAAAAACTTTTTTGTAGAGACAGGGTCTCCCTGTGTTGCCCAGGCTCGTTTTGAACTCTGGGGCTCAGAGATCCTGCCACCTCAGTCTCCCAAAGTTCTGGGCTTATAGGCGTAAGCCACCATGCCCGGCCTCAGTATGTCTTTAAAAGATACTTGACACATGCCATTTGTATCCTTCTTCCTTACCCCCTCTATCTTAGAGCCCCAAATGTGAACATAATGGCCAGAACTCTAGAAGCTATCTTGCAGCATGAAATAGAATAGTAAGCATGACAGATTGACATTCAAAAGAAAACTGAATCCCTGAAGATCCCAGAGGCACCAGATTAACTCTGAATTATTTATTACTTTGTTTTTAATTAGAAAAGTAACTTAAGCTGTTTTAATTTTATTAACTGCTACATAAAGCAAATCATAGATCTAACTGATAAAACTTTTATTTACTTAGTTTTTAAAAGTACAAGTACTTTGTTAAGTGCTGTACATATATTATGTCATTTAGTCCTTACAAATATCCCATAAATGTTACTATTTCCGTATCATAAATTAATAAACTAAAACATATGTAAATAGTATATCCAAAGTCACATAACTAGTTAGAGATGAACACTCAAACCTAGGTCAGTCTGGCTACAAAATCTTTGTTTTTAACATAACACAAAACAGGACAGGTTTCAAATATGCCAATGGGAAGCCCAGATATGATGCTTTGGGAAAGGAAACCAGTAATTAGACTTTGATTTTTCTGACCTTTATGACATGACCATTCTTTAGCTTTTATATATTCAATTCCTCTAAACACCCTTGTACTAATGCCATATTCAACAAACAACTTTCCAACTTTGATATAAATCCCACTATAGCTATGCCTGGATCACAAGGATTTTTGGTACATAAAATAATAAATTGGACTTCCAGTAGCTACTTGATTTTAGTGTTAGGTTTCATTATGGAGGTCTCCTGGGGTTTGACTACCCCTAGGCACTAACAAGAACAAGTCTCTGTGTTTTCGAAAAGAGAAGAGGATCCAATCAGCTTCTACATTAGTCATAACAATGCCACTTCCATTTTTATTCCTGTATACTTAATCATTTTTTCACTGTAGTAGAGAAATGATAGAAATGGGGAAATAATGATCCAAAAGAAGGAAATCAGCTAATACTGGAACGTGATTAAGCAAACTTACACTGAAAAATAAGATTCTGGTCACCATCCCTCTCACTACAAGGAGACTCTTTTCTTCTACTAGGGTGAAGAGGAGAAGGTCACACAGACCACCTGGAAACCTAACTAGGGACTCTGGCTAGGTGCCAAAAAAAGGACAGGACAAATAAAACAAAAGAAATGGAAATTTCACTAGTGCTCTGGAGGCTAACAAGGTACAAGAGTAAAAAGGAATAAAAATATATTTTTTAAAAAGGCCATTGAGCATAAGGGCCATGCAATGAAAAAAAACATACAGAGAGAAAACAAAACAGAGCAAAAACAAGGAGGAAAGGGGAATTGCATTAATACAAACAGATAAGAAACTTTTTTTTTGAGATGAAGTCTCGCTCTGTTGCCCAGGCTGGAGTGCAGTGGTGCGATCTCGGCTCACTGCAAGCTCCGCCTCCCGGGTTCACGCCATTCTCCTGCCTCAGCCTCCAGAGTAGCAGGGATTACAGGCGCCCACCACCATGCCCGGCTAATTTTTTTTTGTATTTTTAGTACAGACAGGGTTTCACCATGTTAGCCAGGATGGTCTCAATTTCCTGACCTCATGATCCACCCACCTCAGCCTCCCAAAGTGCTGTGATTACAGGGGTGAGCCACCATGCCCGGCCAGGAAACTCTTAAACTCAGAATGGTGTTTACAAAATTAATACTCAATAAAATATATCTCAATTGGACATATTAAATAAAAAGAAATCTCCCAAATACATAAAGTCAACTGTTTATGAAGTTCACTTGAGAAATGAAGATTACACTCTCTCAAATCTCCAAACAGACTAAGAAATGATAAATACATTATCAAACAAGTAGCAGTTGCTTACTGCTAGAAGATTAAAAGTTCCCTAGAGCTATAAGTTAAAAAGCCTTATAAAAAGGCTCTTGAACTCAAATAAATATCTAAGCATTAAACTTCATGATGCTGTCCTGAATGTAGACAAGGATTTCCTCCTAAATGCCAAAAATAATAAGGTAATATGCCTAGTGTATTATTGGCATAATTTTGTATCTTTAAATAAAATTTACTTAAGTTTTTAAAAATACAGGTTTCTAAGTTTTTTAAATTATAATTTAAATATGTAATTTGGTACAACAATATTAAGAACATAGTACACTGATGCTAGTAAGAGAATGTTTAATGTGAAAGAAAAAACTGATAGTTAAAAAAGAGAAGATAAAAACTTTCGACCTAAGATAGAGAAAGAAACAGAGGGAGGGAATTATAGAGATTTATAAACTTGGATGGAAAAAACCAGATATCTTAATTTCTACTAATTTCTAACTAAAATTTAGTATTTCCTTCAAGTTTAAATGTAAGCAACAAAACAACAGTAGTATAAATAATACTTGTGATTTTGTTGGCTAGGCACAGTGACTCACACCTGTAATCCTAGCACTTTGGGAGTCTGAAGTGGGCAGGTTGCTTGAGCCACGAATTGCTCAACCTGGGCAACATGGCAAAAGAGTGTCTTTACAAAAATACAAAAATACAAAAATTAGCTGAGTGTGGTGGTGTGCACCTGTAGTCCCAGCTCCTTAGGAGGCTGAAGTGGGAGAACTGACTGAGCCAGGAGGCCAAGGCTGCAGTGAGCCATGATAGAGCCACTGCACTCCACTCTGGGCAGCAGAACAAAACCCTGTCTCAAAACAACAACAACAAACAAAACAAAACAAAACAAACTTGTGATTTTGTCATCAGTAAAAATCATATGCATTTTCATTTATTACAGCTGTTACAGTCACTCAAAATATCATTTATGCTAATTTCTTCTTGGAAGTTACATTAGTTTCTAGACTTGCTGTTATAGCTTTTTTAGTTTAATGTATTATAAAGAAGCACATATTACTATGTCACAGATTTGTTTTATTAATATTTTAGTAACTGCATTTCAGTATAATTGGTTTCCTTTATTTCAGGCATTTAAAACATTCTGACAAAGGGCTTTATCAGATTGCCAAGGGGACGTGTGCTATAAAAAGTACAAGTGTTAGGAACCTCTGATCTAAACTGTGTGGTTTAAGAAAACACATGTTTATACATGTACTTTCTGAACTATAATCCTTTCGTCAACTAGAATTTATATTCAAAGTTTATGACAGTGGTAGGGCATGGGGGACTCACGCCCGTAATTCCAGTACTTGGGGAGGCTGAGGTGGGCAAGATCGCTTGAGCCCAGCAGTTTGACCCGCCTGGGCAATATGGCAAAACCTCATGTTTGCTAAAAATACAAAAATTAACTGGGCATGGTGGTGTGTGCCTGTAGTCCCAGCTACTTGGGAGGCTGAAGTGGGAGGATTGCTTGAACCTGGGAGGCAGAGGTTGCAGTGAGCCAATAGTCGCACTTCTGCACTCCAGCCTGGGAAACACAGCAAGACCCCATTTCAAAAAACAAAAACAGAAAAGTTTATGACAGCACTTAGATGCTTACCTTAAAAAAATACTAGAAATTCTTTTTTGTAAATTTTAAAACACTAGTTGGATTTGTTGAAAAAAAAACATATACACTTACAAAAATACATTTAGTATTATAAGTACACAGAAGAGTGAATAAATTCATGTCTTTAGAAACCAAACTACTAGACTTCGATTTCATCAAGTGGACTGATGAGGTTGACTTCCTCTATCATCTGAAATAAAAACTAGTGCTTGAAAGCTAACATAAATAAGAACTTACAATACCAAAAATTGTTAAATTTGTTTATTTATTCAGTAATTTTATTGTCAGTGCTAAATATTACTTAGGTTTTTTGGAAAATAAAAGAAGTAGATTAGTTACAATATATAAGTTCAATATTTGTATGGTGAATGAAATTATAAAAAGACAAAGAACATACTAAATCTATGGAAAGCTTTTTGCACTGTTAATTATAATTTTATTTATTAAATTTCAACACTTTCCTTACCTGCCCACCGGCTACAATGGCTCCAAAGAGATGCAATAAGCAACATTTAAGACTTTCCTTGAGATGTTCACTTTCCTGAAAACATTCTGTAAATAATAAATAAATAAATAAATAAATAAGATTTGTCTTTCACAGTATGATTTATCTCTAAGGAATGTCTGATGCAAACACGAAGAACTATTTGTGAAAAGGCTGATCTGTGTTAAAAGCCAAGGTTGATATGCATTTTGTCTTAGGAAAAGAAAAGAGAAGCCATCTACCAGATAGCATTTTAGGTATTTACGTCATCTCACTTAGTTCTCATAATTCTCCATATAAGGATGATATTTGGCCCCCATTTATAAATGAGAAAAAGGAAGGTCAGAAGTTAATATCTTGCCTGAAGTCACATGGTTACTAACTGACAGGGCTAGAAACTAACCCAAACCTGGCATAAAATTAGATGTCTCTCTCTTTTTTTTTTCCTTTGAGATGGAGTCTCGCTATATCGCCCAGGCTGGAGTGCAGTGGTGTGATCTCAGCACACTGCAATCTCCACCTCCCAGATTCAAGCGATTCTCCTGCCTCAGCCTCCGGAGTAGCTGGGATTACAGGCACCTGCCACCACGCCCAGCTAATTTTTGTATTTTTAGTAGAGACCTCAGGTGACCCACCCGCCTCAGCCTCCCAAAGTGCTGAGATTACAGGCATGAGCCACCACACCCGGCCCCTTGTCAGGTCTTTATGCTGCTTTTTCTTTGTCATATGCATGTATAGCCTCTAAAAAATAAAATAAAATAATTTATAATTTTAAAAGAAAGGTTACTATTGGTACCAGAATTTTAGAATATTAGTCCTGGAGTGGACCCAGGAAATGTTTTTGTCCAACTCTTTCATTTTCTAGTTGATTAGTGATGGTCAATTTTTACTAATGAGAGGTGTAATAGTCTTAGTAAAGAGACATCTAGGCTGGGCGCAGTGGCTCATGCCTGTAATCCCAGCACTTTGGGAGGCCGAGGCAGGCGGATCACCTGAGGTCAGGAGTTCGAGACCAGCCTGGCCAACATGGTGAAATCCTGTCTCTACTAAAAATGCAAAAATTAGCCAGGTGTGGTGGCGGGCACCTGTAATCCCAGCTACTCGGGAGGCTGAGGCAGGAGAATCTCTTGAACCCAGGAGGCAGAGGTTGCAGTGAGCTGAGATCGTGCCACTGCATTCCAGCCTGGGCAACAGAGCAACACTTCATCTCAAAAAAAAAAAAAAAAAAAAGTACATAGTACATATATGTACTCCTGCATCATACTTTTTTTGCTTTTTAACTTAATACATTCTGGACATTACTACATCTTTCTACTTTTTTTTTTGTTTGTTTGTTTGTTTTTGAGACAGGGTCTTACTTTATTGCCTAGGCTGGAGGGCAATCACAGCTCACTGCAGCCTTGGCTGCCTGGGCTCACGTGATTCTCCCACCTCGGCCTCCCAGGTAGCTGGGACTACAGGCACACGCTACCATGACCATCTAATTTTTTGTATTTTTTTGCAGAGACAGGGTTTTGCAATGTTGTCCAGGCTGGTCTCAAACTCCTGGGCTCAGGTGATCTGCCCACCTCAGCCTCCCGAAGTGCTGGGAGTACAAGGGTGAGCCACTGCGTCAAGCCTGGACATTACTACATCTTAACAGATACACCTGCCTAATTCATTTTTTGTAATGACTAGAGGGCATACACCACTACAATGTGTTAACTTCACTTATCCAGTTCTCTACTGATAAACTGCTATGCTTTTCCCCTTTCTTTTGATGCTGTTATGAATACCCTTTTGCACATGTCATTACACACTGGGACAAGACTGTAACAATAAAATTATTTCCAATAACAAATGTTACCAAAAAGAAACAGCTTTGAGGTAACCTGGATAGAAACTTATAATTAAAAAATTAAGAAGTTCCACCTATATCAGAATAACTGGTACTACGCATGGCTTTCAGCTATAAACAACTAGAAAACTGGAGAAAATCAGTTCCAGAAACTGGGTCACAGAACTGTGATACACACAAGAAGGAAAACAAAGTAAGCACAAGGATCACACCACAGATTCCTGTTTGGAGACACTTTCTGAACTGCTACATGGAAAGGAGGAACCCTAAAAGAACACAGCCATTTGCTGAGTTGAGGAGACAGAAATCAAAGTTCAGAGAGGCCCAGGCAACTGGAATTTGTAAAGCAGAGTACTGGAGTGGAGGAAGCTATACAGAGGAAGTGCTCCAGAAATATGCACAGGGCTCATTTTGGGTCTCAGTATCTATCCTCACACAATAGTGTGATAGCCCACAAGATCGGCAAAAAACTACAAAGAAACTGTAAGCTGAGTAATTCTCTGATTTTACACAGAGCTAGAAGATGACAGAGTTCCACTCAGCCACAGTGGACACACAGAAAGATAATACATAAAAAGGACATAAAAACATATACCATGCAAACTCTCATCATAAGATTGCTGGGTGGCTATATTAGTATCTGACAAAGTAGGCAAGAAATATAATCAAGGCAAGGAATGTTATTCATGATGAAAAGTGGAACTCAATAAATTTAAATAAGAAAATACAACTCAATGAGTTTAAGTTTATTGAAGTCATAAAGAGTATTTTCTCTTGCCATAAAGGAAATATATTAGAAAGTAATGAAAAAAAGATTATCTGGAGATCCTTTTCATGAAGATGGCATTAAAAGGAAGGTGGTCCCTGCCCCTCCCAAAGCCAAAGCCAAAGCCAAGGCTATGAAGGCCAAGCAGGCAGGGCTAAAAGGCATCCACCCCACCCCACACACACACAATCTGCACATCACCACCTTCTGGTGGCCCAAGACACTATGGTTCCAAACGCAGCCCAAACATCCTCAGAGGAACACTCAGAGAAGATACAAACTTGACTACTATGCCAGCATCAAAATCCCTTTAAGCCACTAAGTCAGCCAATGAAAAAGATGACAGCAAAACACTTGTGTTCACTGTAGATATCAAGCCCAACAACAGATCAGACAGGCCATGAAGAAGCTCTATTGACAATGATGTGGCCAGGTCTACACCCCAATCAGGCCTGCTGGAGAGAAGGCATATGTTAGACTGCCTCCTGACTATGATGCTTTCAATATTGCCTACAAAACTGGGATCATCTAAACTGAGTCCAGCAGGTTAATTCCAAATAGACACTTTTTTCACCATAAAGAAAAAAAGGGCTGGGGGTGGAGGCTCATGCCTGTAATCCTAGCACTTTGGGAGGCTGAGGCGGGTGGCTCACTTGCGGCCAGGAGTTCGAGACCAGCCTGGTCAACGTGGCGAAACCCCATATTTACTAAAAATACAAAAATTAGCTGGGTATGATGGCGGGCACCTGTAATCCCAGCTACTCGAGAGGCTGAGACATTAGAATCGCTTGAACCCGGGAGGCGGAGGCTGCAGTGAGCCAAGATCGTGCCACTGCACCACTCCAGCCTGGGTAACAGAGTAAGACCCCATGTCAAAAAAAAAAAAAAAAAAAAAAAAAGAAGAAAGAAAAAAGGATCTGTAAACTCCCCCAACATTTGCAGATTAAACAATACATGCCTTTTCATTTTATTAATGTAATCTTTTTTAATTGACAAATACAAATTGCATATATTTATGGTGAACAACATGGTATTTTGAAATATGTATACACTGTGGCTAAATCAAACTAATTAACATATACACATTACCTCACATACTTAACTTTTTTTGTGATGACCTCTCTTTTAGCTACTCTCTTAGCCATTTTCAAGTATGCAATGCATTGTTACTAACTACAGTCACAATGTTATGTAGTAGCTCTCTTGAATTTATTCTTCCTAACCGAAATTTTGTATGCTTTGACCAACATTTCCCCAATTTGAAAATATTTTAAACCAAACAAGAAAACTTCATTTTAATTTAACAAAATTAAAACAAACATATCAAAATCTGTGGGGCACAACTAAAGCAATGATTCATGTTCATTCTAGAAAAGAAGGTCGAAATAAAGATCTAATCAAAGACTGACCTTTCACTCTAAGAAGCTAGAAAAAGAAGAGCAATTAAGAGGAAGTTAATATTAAAGATAATAGAAAAAATAATGAAAAAGGAAACGAATAAACAATAGAGGAAAATCAATGAAATCAAAAGCTAGTTCACTGCAAAGATCAATATAATTTTTTAAGAGACAGGGTCTCACTATGTTGCCCAGGCTGGAATGCAGTGGCTATTCATAGGCACAATCATAGTGTACTATAGCCCCGAACCCCTGGGCTAAGGTGATCCTCCTGCCTCAGCCTCCTAAGTAGCTGGGACTACAGGCATGTGCCAGGATCAATATAATTTAAAAACCTCTAGCTAGACCAATCAAGAAAAAAGAAGAGAGAAAAATGTAAATTATCAATGTCAGGAATGAAAGAGGAGACATCAATTTAGATTCCACAGATTTAAGAAGGATACATGAAGAAATACTATGAACAACTTTATGCCAATAAATTCAACACAATTCATGTGATGAAAAACACAAATTCCTTGAAAGACATGAATTATAAAAACTAACACAAGAAGAAATAGAAAATCTGAGTAGCCCTTTACCTAGTAAATAAATTTATTCCATAATTTAAAACCTTTTCACACTGGGCATAACACACATGCCTATAGTCCCAGCTACTCAGGAGGCTGAGGTGGTAAGATCACTTGAACCCAGGAATTCAAGATGAGCCTGAGCAATATAGCAAGATTCTGTCTCAATGAAAAACAAAACAAAACCTTTCCACAAGGTAATCTCCAGGTCCAGATCTGCTGGTGAATGTTAAGAAAATCATAATAGCATTCTCAAACCAACTCTCACAGAAAACAGAGGAAAAGAGAACCCTGCCTAACTCATTTAATATGACCAGTATTGTTGTTTGAGCCACCAAATCAATAGTATTTTGTTATACCAGCCCAAGCAGACTAAGACAGATTTTGTTACAAAGAAATAGAGTGCTACTACAACAAAGACCTAAGAATACAGAAGCAGCTTTAGAACTGGGTAATGGGTAGAGGCTGGAAGAGTTTTGAGGTGCATGCTGGAAATAGGGACCTTCAGGGCAATTCTGGTGAGCTCTCAAACATAAATAAGGAGCATGTTATTGAAAACTAGTGGAAAGGGGATCCTTATTATAAAGTGGCAAAGAACTTGGCTCAACTGTGTTCTAGTGTTTTGTGGAAGGTAGAACATGCAGCAAGCAATGAAATTGGATATTTAGCTAAGGCAATTTCTAAGCAAGTGTTGAAGGAGCAGCTTAATTTCTCCTTCTGACTGCTTATAGTTAAAATGTGAGCAGACAGAAATAAACTAAAGAAGAAACTGTTAAGCACAAAAGAACCAGAAGCTGAAGATTTAGAAAATTCTCAGTCTATCCAAATTTAAAAAAAAAAAAACAAACAAACAAGAAAGCTTGTTCTAAAGAAAATACTGAGGGTGTGACTGATAAACAGACCATGGGTATAACTAGTGGACTTAATCAGCCAGCTCAGTGAGGCCAGGAATGGATACGGGATTATACCAGAAAAGACACTACCATTTTGAACTAAAGGGGACAGAGAAAGTGGGAAGGAATGAAGGTAGACTGTTGGACTTCTTGGATTCTATAGATCAGACCATAAAGCTATTCAGTTTGAATGTGTGATAAGAAAAACTCTGAAAGCAATTCAGAGATTATGAGAGCTGCCATTCCCACCAAAGATCCAGGAGGCAAGGCTGTTTCCTCTTCCTTGGTTTCAAAGGGTAGGACCACAGGTCAAGTTTCAGTGGGCCAGGATGACCTACCTAGTGCCTCAATGGTGGAGCTGCCCTCACAGACAGCATTATGTGTGGGGCCCTTGCAGAGACCTGGGGTGGGGGGTGACACTGGCAACCCAGTGCGCATGAAGTACAGAGTATCAACCAAAGAGGGCTATTCTCAAGCTTTAATGACTAATAGAATTTACCTTACTAGGTTTTAGGCTTACCTGAGACCTGTCACCCCTTTATTCCTTCCACTGTCTCCCTTTTGGAATGGGAATGTGTATCCTATACCTGTTCCAACATTGTATTCTGGTTACATATAACTTATTTGTTTTCACAGGTTTATAGTTGGAAAGGGATTTTGAGTCAGGATGAATTGTAACTTCAGTCTCACCAGTATCAGATTTAGATATTTAGATAAGATTTTGAACTTTAGACTTACAGAGTTGATGTGAAAATGAGTTAAGACATTTGGGGCTGTTGGGATAAAATGGATGTATTCTGTATGTGTTAAGTACATGAATGGGGGGGCAAGGACAGAGTGGTATAGAGTGAACTGTATACCCCCAAAATTAATATGTGGAAGCCCTAACATCTCCCCATATGACTGTATTGCAGACAGGGCCTTTAAAGAAGTGATTAAAGTTAAATGAGGTCATAAAACTAGAGCCTTGATCAAAGAGAACTAGTGCCCTTGTAAGAAGAGGAAGAGACAACAGTCTTTTTCCAACATGTGAGGACACAGCAAGAAGGTGACTATCTGCAAGCCACAAAGACAGATCTCAACAGAAAATAAACCCTGCTGGACTTTCCAGACTCCAGAACTGTGAGAAACAAATTTCTGTTATTTAAGCCACCCAGTCTACAGTATTTTGTTATGACAATCCAAGCAGACTAAGACAAAAACCATACAAGACATATAAGGCAAAAAATCCTAGAAACCCTTACCATCCTTGAACAGAGACACAAAATTTTTAAACAAAAAATCAATCAAATGCAGTATTACATAAAAAGGATAATATACTATAATCCTAGCACTTTGGAAGACTGAGGAAGGAGGGTCACTAGAGGCCAGGAGTTCAAGACCAGCCTGGAGGCAACACAGCAAGACCTTATCTACAAAAACATTTTGTTAAATTAGCCAGCTGATATGGTTTGGATCTATGCCCCCACTGAAATCTCGTGTTCAACTGTAATCCCCAGTGTTGGAGGTGGGGCCTGGTGGGAAATGACTGGATCATAGGGGCGGATCCTTCATGCATAATTTAGCAGCATCCCTTTGGTGCTGTTCTCATGACAGAGTTCTCATGAGATCTGGTCATTTAAAAGTTTATAGCACCTCCCAGCTTTCTCACTCTTGGTCCTGCTCCTGCTTTGCCTTCTGCAGTAAGTAAAAGCTCCTGAGGCTTCCCCAGAAGCAGAGGCTGTCATGCTTCCTGTATTGCCTGTGGAACCACGAGCCAATTAAACCTCTTTTCTTTATCAATTACCCCAGTCTCAGGTATTACTTTATGGCAGTGTGGGAACGAACTAACACACTGCTTATGATGGTGCATTCATGTAGTCCCAGCTACTCAGGAGGCTGAGGCAAGAAAATCACTTGAGCCCAGGAGTTTAAGGCTACAGTAAGCTATGATTATACCATAGCACTCCAGACTGGACAACAGAGCAATACCCTGTTTCTCAAAAAAAAAAAAAAAAAAAAGAGAGAGAGAGAGAGAGAGAAATACAAGTTAATTATATAATCACAACCAAAGGTAGTTTGGGCCAGAAATATGATGTTAGTTTAATATTTGAAAATCAATCTATGTATTTTGCCAATTAACAAGCACCTCAAATAGATGCAGTAAAAGTACATTAAAAAAAAAAGTCAATGTCCATTCAGTAATAAAAACTATTAGCAAACTAGGGTTAAAATAAGACTTCCTCTACTTAATAAAGGGCATCTATTTTTAAAAACACAGCTAATATCATATTTAATAGTGAAAGACTGAATTTTTTCCCTTCTACATGGGGGAACAAGGATATAAAAATCAATATACAAAAACAAATTACATTTCTATATACTAGTTTTAAAAATGAAAAATACAATTTAAAACAAATCAGGCTGGGCATGGTGGCTCTCACCTGTAATCTCAATACCTGGAGAGGCTGAGGTGGGAGGATCACTTGAGGCCAGGAGTCTGAGACCAGCCTAGGCAACATAGTGAGACTTTGTCTCCATAAAAAATTTTTTTATATTAGCCAGGCATGGTGGCACATACCTGTAGTCCTAGGTATTTGGGAGGTTGAGGTGAGAGGACCACCTGAGCTCACAAGTTGCAGGTTATATAGTGAGCTATGATTGCACTACTGCACTCCAGCCTGAGCAACAGAATGAGACCGCATCTCTCTCCAAAAATGAATAAGATACATCATTTACAAGCATACAATATACAATACTTTGGGATAAATTAACAAAATATGCGCACAACCTAAATATACAAGAGACAAAGGCTTTTATGGGATACTTTACTTCTAAGCCAAGTGGCTCCCTGACACACCAATTTGATTTTATAACCTCACTTGGAGGACCAAAGAATAGCCCTTGGATGGCTGTGAGGACTCCTGATGAATAGAAACACCTTATACTGTTCTACTGGCAGGCTGGGTTTCCTGTCCTATATCCTCTAAGTGAGGCCAGTTTCCAGAGATGGTCTACTATGGAGCTTCATTACCTAGCTAAAGCCAGTATCACTACTGGTGGTCAAGCAGAGTCAGCACTGCAGTCATCTTCAGCAAGCAATCAAAGGATTATTTCTGTCTTCTTTCATTTCACAGGGAAAAGAAAGAACTGAAGCAAATATGGCAAAATGTTAAGTTACAAATTTGAATGGGAAATACATACTCAAGGAACACACAGTGTTCCTTTTATAGTCTGCAAATTATACTATATTTTTGAAAGATGGCATATATAAGTCACATATATAGGGGCTAACTCTCTCAAGTTTCCTATTTTCAATAAAAATTCTGAAGTTCTAAAATATACCACCAGTGGCCAGGCATGGTGGCTCATGCCTGTAATCCCAGCACTTTGGGAGGCTGAGGTGGGTGGTTCACCTGAGGTCAGGAGTTCAAGACCAGCCTGGTCAGCATGGTGAAACCCGGTCTCTACTAAAAATACAAAAATGAGCCGGGTGTGGTGGCACATGCCTGTAATTCCAGCTTTTTGGGAGGCTGAGGCAGGACAATTGCTTGAACCCAGGAGGTAGAGGTTGTGGTGAGCCAAGATCGCACCACTGTACTCCAGCCTGGGCAACAAGCGTGTGACTTCGTCTCAAAAAAAAGTAAATAAATAAAATAAACTATACCACCATCATTAAAATATTCAGCTATTCTAAAAAAATTTTTTGAGAACAGCAAATTAAATAAAACCAAGTACAATAATTGCAGCCAAACACAAATCATGTAGCTTACTCCAGTGACATGTTCTTACAACCATTATTTTATAAATTAACAAAGCTGAATCAAGATCAGAATCAGAGTAAGAATAAAAAGTAATCAGAGTAAGATGATAATCATAGCAAGAGAAATTAGAGGTGTTACTTACGATAAAAGAAAGGGACGAATTCCACTGTGAGAGAAGCTGGTTTATATTTCTGTCTGCTCTTTTCCACAGTACTAAGGATTCGTCTATCATTAAAAAGAAGTTAATAATAAGTTACAACATGGGCAAGCAGACACGGCACAATTACAAAAACAATTATAAAACAAATTTAATATTACTTTTGATTTGTGTCTTGAACTATGTATCTCTAGGATCCGCATAATCTTGAAAAGGAAGTCTAGCCAGTAACTGAACTGTTCATCAATTAACAGATTTATTTTTTTGAATTATGCAACATGGTAGCTAGTTTAAATCTCCAAATAACTGGAAAATGAACAAGAAGCCAGACCTTAAAATTTCCAATCTGTAAAAGAATTTGTTCTGCAGTAATGCTAAACTGACAGCTCAGATTAGTAGCATATTATTACAGTAAAGTTGAAATTTATCAGAAATCCAGGCTACTCTGCCACTTTCTGAAACTTTATAATAATGGATAATGAGGCCATACATTAGCTTCTTTCATCTTGAGGATACAAATCCAGTATGGGCTGGGATTATTTTTGCTTTTAATGACAATTCCAGTAATTCTGATGGATGTTATGTTTTCTACAGGCTTTGGTAAAGCCAATACAAATTGCATGTGCTTTTAACAAGAACATTTCAATTTGATACAAAATGAATCTCTTAGATGGGCATAGTGGTGTGGAGATTGGAGAATAAAGAGTAGTGTTATGATGATACTTCCAACTAGTAGATGGTGAATTTTTTAAAATCACAGATATTTTTTCATTCCCTAAAAAAAGCATTTAAAATTACTAGATAAAGCCAACAAAAATAGAAAATATTTAAAGGACAGCCACATAGAAATTCTGTACGTCTAAATATGATGTACTGATAAAGCGCTGGTCTAAGATGCTTTCTTCTTAATGACCATAATTGAGCTATTGAAATTACTTTCCTTATAATTATTTCAAACCTAAGAAGAAATGTCAATTGATCATAGAACAAACCACATAGGATAAGCATAGCTGGACTCAGTGACAGCAAAATAGAGAGTTCTAAGATCCAGATCTACTATCCAAATTCATTAGAAATCATATTAGACCTCATTTGCTACTGCACTGCTTTCTAAATCTATGCCTATTTCCAGTGTGTGGAAGGCAGAACAGTGATTATACCAGCTGTATTTATTTTAATTTCAAACAAAACATGTTAGAACATTAATAGATCTTCCTATTTAATTAAGACCATTATCAAAGATTTTCATGTCTTTGTAACAGTACAAAATTCACTGGAGTTTCAAATAAAAAATTCAATCATGTGGTAGAAAAATTAATTTTAAAAGGATAAAATTTTGGCCGCCCCGCCTGGGAAGTGAGGAGCGCCTCTGCCCGGCTGCCCTGTCTGGGAAGTGGGTGCCTCTGCCCGGCCGCCCCTTCTGGGAGGTGAGGGGCGTCTCTGCCCGGCCGCCCCGTCTGGGAGGTGAGGAGTGCCTCTGCCCGGCCGCCCCGCCTGGTAAGTGAGGAGCGCCTCTGCCCGGCTGCCCTTTGTCTGGGAGGTGGGGAGCGCCTCTGCCCAGCCGTCCCATCTGGGAGGTGAGGAGCGCCTCTGCCCGGCCGCCCATCATCTGGGATGTGAGGAGCGCCTCTGCCCGGCAACCACCCCTTCTGGGAAGTGAGGTGCACCTCTGCCCGGCCGCCCCGTCTGGGAAGTGAGGAGCGCCTCTGCCCAGCTGCCACCCCGTCTGGTAGGTGAAGTGTGCCTCTGCCCGGCCGCCCCATCTGGGAAGTGAGGAGCGCCTCTGCCCGGCTGCCCCATCTGGGAAGTGAGGAGTGCCTCTGCCAGGCCGCCCCGTCCCGTCTGGGAAGTGTACCCAACAGCTCCAAAGAGACAGCGACCATTGAGAACGGGCCATGATGACGATGGCGGTTTTGTCGAAAAGAAAAGGGGGAAATGTGGGGAAAAGAAAGAGAGATCAGATTGTTACTGTGTCTGTGTAGAAAGAAGTTGACATAGGAGATACCATTTTGTTCTGTACTAAGAAAAATTCTTGTGCCTTGGGATGCTGTTAATCTATAACCTTACCCCCAACCCCGTGCTCTCTGAAACGTGTGCTGTGTCAACTCAGGTTTAAATGGAAAAAAAAAAAAAAAAAGGATAAAATTTAATTTAGCTTTCAGTTAGGTTTTTCCACGAGATTATTTCCAGTTTGTGCATTCATTAAAAATTATGGTATTAATAGATTGCTTATATCCTATCCAAACAACCTATGCTACAAACAATAAACATCCTCACCTGATTAACATAATAAAAATGTACTTCTACAATTTGTGATCAATGACTCATTCTAAAGTTCCTGTATTAGATGTAACATATGAACATAATTTCCAATATATTTGTGGTAAGAATTTAATATGCTAACATAAACAAAAGGGGTGAGAACTATTACATATATTAGAACACAAAAATTAAAGCACAAGTAGTTTGTACTGCATGTTTTCAATAACTTAGTAGAGCTAAAAATGAACTTTAGTCTTATACCATTTGTAGAATATAGCATAGTTAATTGCTCCATTATTACTTGATATTTGGGCCAAGCATCTAGCATTTAGCAGATGCTAATACATATCAACCAGTTTCTGAGAGGGCTGTAAAACGCTTATTTGCATCTCAGTTTTCTAAGTTTATGTTTTTGGTTGATTTAACCAGGCTTCTTTTTTTTTTTCTGAGACAGAGTCTCACTCTGTCGCCCAGGCTGGAGTGCAGTGGCGCAATCTCGGCTCACTGCAAGCTCCGCCTCCTGGGTTCACACCATCCTCCTGCCTCAGCCTCCTGAGTAGCTGGGACTACAGGCGCCCGCCACCACACCTGGCTAATTTTTTGTATTTTTAGTAGAGACGGGGTTTCACTGTGTTAGCCAGGATGGTCTCAATCTCCTGACCTTGTGATCCACCCGCCTCGGCCTCCCAAAGTGCTGGGATTATAGGCGTGAGCCACCGCGCCCCAGCCACCATGCTTCTTTTTTGTACTCACATCATACCTAGGACATAATCATTGTACTCACATCATACCTAGGACATAATCATTATTCTTAATTTTATTTGGAAAAAGTTCAAGTTCTGGCAAAAGATGCAACAATAAGAATAGATCAAAGAACATCAAAATAGAGTTTACCCAAGTTCACTGTTAACACTTTATCCCAAATTTTTTTTTTCTTTTAGAGACAGTGTCTTGCTCTATTGTCCAGAGTGGAGTGAAATGGTGCTATCCCAGTTCACTGCAACCTCTAACTCCTGGGATCAAGAGATCTTCCCACCTCAGCCTCCTGCAAAGCTAGGATCATAGGTGCAAGCCACCATACCCAGTTAATTTTTTTTGTTTTTTGTGAAGATGGGGTCCTGCTATGTTGCCCAGGTTGGCCTCGAACTCCTGGGTTTAAGTGATCCTCCTACCTCAGCCTCCCAAAGTGTTAGGATTACAGGCATGAGCCACTGTGCAGGGCCCCATTATATATAGGAAATTACATATATCATGGTCCTTCCTCTCTTAATATTTTAGTGAATATTTACTAATAGGGATATAGTTTTATATAATACCACAGTATAGTTATAAACTTCAATAAATTTAACACTGGTACAATACTTCTATGTAATCTACCAACCATATTCCAGTTTTGTCAGTTCACCCACTAACATCCTTTGTAGCATTTCCCTCTTCCAATACAGCTTCCAGGCCAGGGTCAGGTATTGCATTCAGTGTCTCTTTCGCCTCTTTTAATCTGAAACATTTCCATAACCCCACTTTGTGATATTTTTAAAGAAAGTTGTCCTCCAGCCCTCCTTTTTTTAAAAAAATTAGAATGTTCTTCACTTGGGATTTGCTTGTTTTCTCACAATTAGATTCAGATTATGCATGCTTGGCTGGAATAACACATAAGCAATGAAGTGTCCTTCTTAGGGTTATCACATGTGGAGCACATGATACCCACTACTTCTTACTGATGATCAGTTAATTTTGATCATCCAACCAACTGGATTATTTGGCCCAGTACTGTCCAAAATAATTACTGATTTTTCAATTACAAGTAATAAGTAATCGTGGGGAGACATTTTAAAACCATACACATGGCCGGGCGCAGTGGCTCACACCTGTAATCCTAGCACTTTGGGAGGCTGAGGCAGGTGGATCAACTGAGGTCAGGAGTTCAAGACCAGTCTGGCCAACATGGTGAAACCCTGTCTTGACTAAAAATAAAAAATTTGCTGGGCATGGTGGTGCACGCCTGTAAACCCAGCTACTTGGGAGGCTGAGGCAGGAGAATTGTTTGAACCCGGGAGGCGGAGGTTGCAGTGAGCCAAGATCACGGTACTGTACTCCAGCCTGGGCAACAGGGCAAGACTCTGTCTCAAAACAAACAAACAAACAAAAAAACCATACACACATCATGCTCCCAACTAAAACTTCCCCCTAGGTTTAACACCCATGAATGATTCTTGCCTGATCCAATCTTACAATGATGTGTGCAAAATGTGTTTTTTTTCCCCAACTCCAGCATCTCCTCTATATTTACTAATTGGCACTTGGAATTTTACTGTAAGCAACACCCTTCACTTCTCCCTTATCTATCTATCACTGGTATGAACTCATAAATTTTCTTCCTGAATGGTTAAATAATTCATTACTATAATTATTTTGTGCATATATTGTTCCAGGTTTGACAAGTAGGAGGCACAGGGCATACCTTAACATAATTAAATTATTTTTCTCTGTGGCAAGGCAAGGAATCCTACTAAACTTGCACTAGTCACAAAGTAGAAACTCAATAAGTATATTTTTGAATCAATGTTTAAATGAATGAACAAGTCATATTGAAGGAAGATTTCTTTTTTTCTTTTCTCCTCTTCTTTTCTTCCTTTCTTCTTCTCTCACTTCTCTTCTCCTTCCTTCCCTCGCTCCCTCTTTCCTTTCCTTTTTCCACTCCTTTCTCCTCTCCTCTCCTTTCCTCTCTCCCTCCCTCCCTCCCTCCCTCCTCTTTCTTTCAGGTTTTGCCATCACCCAGGCTGGAATGCAATAGTGTGATCATAGCTCACTGCAGGCTTCAACTCCTGGGCTCAGTGATCCTCTCACCTCAGCCTCCCAAGTACTCAGAACTAGAGGCACACATCACCACACCTGGCCAATTTTTTTTTTTTCTAGATGGGGTCTTACACTCCTGGCCTCAACCAATTCTCCTGCCTTGGCCTCCCAAAGTGCTGGGATTACAGGTGTGAGCCACCATGCCTGGCTGATTTATTTCCCTACACTTATTTTAGTTCCACTTGAGAAAATCTTTCTAACTTTCTGAGATTCTGTAAGTAGAATCAAAATTGATAACAGATTAATCAAATCTACAAAAAGCATCTATTTGTTGTCATCAAATAAGAAAAGAAATAGTTTTACATGGCTCTGTATTTGGAATTATGTTAATTTTAATTAAATCTATTCTAACCTGCTTTCGCTATTTTGGTAAGCATTAAACACAATGAATAAGAAAATATATATCTTCTAAATTTCCACTTAATTTCAGAATCAGATTAATAAATAAGGTGTAAATTATTGCTGTAGATCCCTTTGTATAGGTCTTCCATGAGCAATGGATTTCTCCTAATTCCATTTTTTAATCTCCCTGTCAAAGTCAAAGAAATCCAAGTCTGAATTCCCTGCTTTACCATTTGTCTTTGAAGCAGTTCTTACATTACTGGCAAGATTGTTGTGTATATTAGAGATAACACATACACAGCTTCTAATGTAATTCCTGGCAAATATATGCATACATTCATTAAATGCTGCTACTCATCCTCTACTTTGCCCCCCTTTCTGTTGCCATCTTACATATGCAGAATTATCTTCCTATATTATATTAATAGTATATAAAATTTTCTTCTTTTTGGGTCTCTGGGCTGCGCTCCTAGCTTGGGCTCCCTCTCCTCAGCTCTGAGAGGCCTTAGGTGGTTCTGGGGCAGCCTCTGTTGCCTGTGACCTGCAGGCCCTGCAAGATCCCTGGGCAGGATGCTGGAGCATGCTGGAAGCTGGAACATGGACTCAGTGACTTTTGAGGATGTGGCTGTAACCTTCACCCCTCAGGAGTGGGCGTTGCTGGATTTTTCCCAGAAGAAACTCTTATAGAGATGTGACGCAGGAAACCTTCAGGAATTTGGCTTCTACAGAAAACAAATGGGAAGACCAGAATGTTGACGATCAAGTCAGAAAATATGGGAGAAATGTAAGTCATATGGTAGAGAGACTGTGTGAAGGTAAACAAAATAGTCAAGGTGGAGAAACCTTCAGCCAGAATTCAAATCTTAATCTGAACAAGAAAGTTTCTACTAAAGTAAAACCATGTGTATGCAGAATGTGTGGAAAAGTCTTCATATGTCATGCATCTCTTCACAGGTATATTATATCTCACTCTGGACACAAACTATTTGAGTGTGAGGACTGTGAAATGAAGCCATATAAATGTAAACAATGTGGGAAAGCCTTTAATTCTCTCACAGGTGTTTGAAGACACATGGTAATGCACAGTGATAATGGATTTTATAAATGTACAGTATGTGGGGAAAACTTTATTTTCCCCAGTTTATTTCAAATGCACCAGAAAACTCACACTGGAGAAAACAACCCTATAAATGTAAACATTGTGGTAAAGACTTCAATTATTCCAGAAACTGTCACAAACATGAAATAACTCATAGTGGAGAGAAACCCTATGCATGCAATAAAAGTGATAAATTATTAGCTTCTTCCTACGCCCTTCGAGAACATGAAATGATTCATACTGGAGAGAAACCCTATAGATGTAGAGAATGTGGTAAAGCCTTTACAGCTTCCAGTTTCCTTCATAAGCATACAAGGGCTCACAGTGGAGAAAAGCCTTAGGAATGTAAAAAATGCGGTAAATCATTCACATTTTCCAGTTCCCTTTGACGACATGAAAGAACTCAAACTGAAGAGAAACCCTTTGGATGGAAGTAAAGTGGTAAAGCCTTCACTTTTCCCAGATCCCTTCAACAGCATGAAAGAAGTCATACTGGAAAAAAACCATGTGAATGTAAGAAATGTGGTAAAGACTTCAGATGTTCTAGTTCTATTAGAACAAATGAAAAAACACATAGTGGGATTGTGAGGAATATTGGAAAACATGCAATTTTCCCAGTTCCCTTTGAAAACTAAGAAAAACTCATACTGGGGGAAAAATGAATGTAAAAAAACTGGTAAAGTCCTCAGTTTCCCCAGTTTCTTTCAAGGACATAAAAGGGTTCACAATAGAGAAAAACCCTGTAATTCTAAGAAATGTGGCAAAGCCTTCAGTTTTTCCATTTTTCCTTGAAATATGTAAGAAGTCAGTGGAGATAAGCCTTATAAATTTAAATGTGTAGTAATTTCTTTAGTTCATAAGTTTCATTTGATACTTAAAAGAACTCATTTTTGAAAAATTCCTATAAATGTACAGAGTGTGAGAATACCTTCATTTGTCTAACACATGTTCAAAGACACATGGTAACAAACTGTAGATGGACCTTATAAATGTGAGAGCACTCTGGATTGGAAGCACAGTGGTCTGGAAAATACAGAAATGTTTTCAAATTTAACAATTACTTCAAAAGTTTTGTAAAACTCTCACTAGTAAGAAATTCTATAAATGTTGGTAAATTGGAAAGCCTGATGTAAATTAATGCTCACAAATGCACGTAAGTGGAATGTTATTATAATTATATTTTGCTTATCAGCGGTTCATTGTTAAAGAGGGTCTCTGTGCTTTTGATTTCCACTTTCGCAAGAAAACATCGATGTGAAAATTCCGTAGATACTCTTAGCAATGCTACATGAGTTTAATAGGTAGTGGTTTTTTAAAAAATTAAATTAGTAAAATTCTTCTCTCTTAAGTGTGTTGGATCTCTGGGTGAATTAAAATGTATTCCTATACGGAGGTAATTTTAATTTTTATGTAATTTTTAAAGTTCTCTGATTAATGGGCCAGTGAAAAATGTGTTTTTGTTAATATTTGGAATTTTCTGACTGGCCTCATGTGGCAAGTTTTGGTTATCCGTATATGTTTTCTACTTTATATGGGAAAATGACTCTTTTTTGGTGTAATAATCTTTATTATATTTTCCTTTTTAATAGTTATTATCAAAAAAATTTTCTTTTTGACTTTCAAAAACTGTTTTTAGCTACCAATTTTATTTAATTTGTTATCAGAGCTGCCTTTTTATAAATCTTCTCTCCCCATCTTTAAATTCATTTTGCTCTTATTATTAAAGATTCCTTTAAAAGCCTCTCTTCTGCCATTTTCAGACTGATTTTATGTTCCTCTTTCTGTATCTGTCTTGCTGTCTATAAAGAAAAATTATGTCATTGTTTCAAAACTTAAAATGTTCTCTTAGATTTGCCATTGCTGACAAGTCTAAGGCGGAGGATAGAGAAGTAGCAAGAGTAGGAGGAAGAGGAGGAGATATACTTTCCTTAGAGAAATCTCTGGCATACATGTCAAAACAGGGGGAACACTGATTAGTTAGAACCAAAGTGCTAATGAGTATAAAGGCTACAGATGAAGCACTGTTAAGTGTCTCTTTGTACTTTTTTTAAAAAAAGACAGGTCTCTATAGCTAACTGAAGCCTTGAACTATTGGGCTCAATCAGTCCTCCCACCTCGGCATCCCCAGTAGCTGGGACAACAGGCATGAGCCATCACATCCGGCTCCCTCTTTGTATCTTTAAAGACTCATAAGCAGGGCATAAGCAGAGATAAAAGGTAGTCACGGCACTAACTGACAACTATTTCTACCCGTTCTAGTCACATGGTAGATTTTAACTTGGCCCCACTGTAGTAGATGGGGACATGTAATCACAGTTCTGGACAATGAGTTCAGAATGAAAATGACATGTGTCATGTAGCATGACCAGACAAGACAAGAACATTAAATTGCCAATTTGACACCTTTCAAAACTTTTTCTCTCACACATGGTGACCAGCAAAGGCTAAAATGCTGGCTGCTCTGTTAGCCTGGGATCTTTAGTAGCTCTGATGAGTAGAGGCTCTCTGCCTATTCACAAAAGACAGACAACATGAAAAAGTAATAAATCTTTTGTTATTCTAAGCCCCTTGTTTGTTACTGAAGCATAATTTATTCCTCCTGTCTAACTGAAATTTTGTATCTTTAACCAACATTTTTCCAATCTCCATCTCCCAGGATGTATTCTGATTTCAATAAAATATTACATCACTATATAGAACATACAAAAGGTGTTACCACATAGTATATATAAATGTTCTCTCAGTTATCAATTCTTCACCATCATCTAATGGTATGGTGGCTATACTACCATGGGAACCCTGAAAAGCCTACAAAAATAATTTAGTAATGAAATGCTGCAATCGTGTTGCAGGAAGTAGAAATTATTTACAAATGGGTCATGTTAAGTTGAAAATGAAAATGGAAAATCTTGAGGAGATTTAGGAGATTTAAAAAAGAGGTCTGATTGAGAGTGATGAAACACTTCTTTGTAATCTGTGCCCACAGGTAAGAATGATATGTGACTTTAAAATTCTTCTCTTTGAGTTCTGTACTGGTAATTCAGCTATTGTCACTAAGCTACCAACCCACCCTTCTATATTCTCTCTGCTTTGTGATGCTGCGGCAGGCATCATGCAAACTTTCTTTTTCCAGCTGCCTCCCTTTTGGGCTCCCTAATAGAGGGTACCAGATGAAGCGTGGAAGAAAGAGAGCAACAACTGGTTCCACATTGCTCTTTTTCTCTATACTCATCAGCATCACTCCAGCAAGAATTCTTAATTGTAGTAATGGCAGTTGGTTCCTGTCTTCAGCTTATTTTTGGCAATCCCAGAATGAGCCTCTTGACTGCTCAAGAGATATCAGCACCAGCTGTGCAATGCTCCTTCCTCAGAGGTCTGAACCTCAGTGCTGTAGGGCCTCTTCTCCAAAAGTCTAGATTCTGATAACTCCATTCTCTTCCCTTTGTTCCCATAACCCCAGGGAGAGTAGCTGTTTCCTAAAGTCAGTGTCCCATCTTTGCTTTGTCAATTCTCTAATATTTATCAATTTCCTTGTATTAGATCCTCTCTTTTAAAATACCAAGTGTGAGGAGGCTGGGTGCAGTGGTTCATGTCTATAATCCCAGTATTTGGGAGGCTAAGGCGGGAGGATTACTTGAGCCTAGGAATTCAAGACCAGTCTGGGCAACATAGTGAGATCTCGTGTCTAAAAATAAAAATATTTAGTCTCGTTTATGTTTTCCTTATGGGATCCTGATGACAGAAGCTCTACAGTTAAAAATAAATGGACAAAGGCCGGGCACGGTGGCTCCCAGAACTTTGGGAGGCCGAGGCAGGCAGATCATGAGATCAGGAGATCGAGACCATCCTGGTCAACATGGTGAAATCCCGTCTCTACTAAAAATATAAAAATTAGCCGGGCGCAGTGGTGCACTCCTGTAATCCCAGCTACTCGGTAGGCTAAGGCAGGAGTACTGCTCGAACCTGGGAGGCGAAGGTTGCAGTGAGCTGAAATCATGCCACTGTGCCACTGCACTCCAGCCTGGCAACAGAGCAAGACTCTGTCTCAAAAAGACAAAAAAACAAAAAAAAAAAAAAGAAAAAAGAAAAAAAATGGACAAAATACTGCTAGAAAGCATTTTCGAATTATAAAGTATGTTTTTTAAAAAATAACTTTTCTTGAAAAATATGTATACTGTATTTGATGCTACTATGCCTTTAACATTTCTTATCAGATTATTAGTATTCAAAATTGCATTGCAAAATACAAGTTCAGGGCATATGTAATTATTCAGAAGCAGAATTTATCACTAATTCATTCCCTCCAACATATTTCTCTAGCTCAGAGTTAAATCTGTGGGTCTTATATACTTCTTTCCAATTGCTTTCATAGAGAAGACCTGCTTTGAAGAATCAAATATATTATGACATTCAGGTTTTAAATGAACGTTATTATTTATAAGACATACCCTGAAATTCTATGTCTCCAATTCCGATATGGATCATATAAGCTTTCACAAAATGCCAATGCGTGGATCACAAATTCTTCAATACATGTCTGATCTGCCATTTCCTTCTCTTTTTTTTTGCTTTTTAACTGAGAACAAAGTTAAACATAAATTAAAGACATGCCTTACTTATCATCTAACAATAAGTCATTTGTATTCAAACAAGCCAAACTTTCCCTTTGAGACTAAGAGTCATTTAATCATATGGACTGGATACAGCCACTAAGATTTTAAATATGTCCTACGATAGCTTTAAAATAAATAGCCAAACACCTTTTGAAAAAGTAATATGTTTTCAGTAAGAAGGATATGTGATAAATAAATAATACATAAAAATCACAAATTGTATCATTTTAAAAGCCATTTATAAAACACTTAAATTTTTAAATTAAATAACAGTATATATAATAACTACTTGTCTATATTTAGGTAATATGTACAAGATTTCTGAAATATGCATTACCCAACAATAAGTTTAAGTCTCTTCTCAATTATTACCTCGTCTGAAAATATTTAACTATACTAACTATAATATAAAAAATAGTAGGCCAGACAATGGTGGCTCATGCCTGTAATCCCAGCACTTTGGGAGGCCGAGGCGGGCAGACCACCTGAGGTCAGGAGTTTGAGACCAGCCTGACCAACATGGAGAAACCCCGTCTCTACTAAAAATACAAAAGTTAGCCGGGCGTGGTGGCACATGCCTGTAATATCCAGCTACTTGGGAGGCTGAGGCAGGAGAATCACTTGAACCTGGGAGGCAGAGGTTGTGGTAAGCCAAGATCGGGCCATTGCACTCCAGCCTGGGCAACAAGAGCAAAACTCCATCTCAAAACAAACAAACAAACAAAAAGTAAAACCTAGTTGTTCTCAGTAAAGTGACAAAAAAGATTAGTTCACACCTACTTGCTGAATATAGAGTGTTGTCATGGTGATGACATAATTAATGTACGAGCAAGTCCCAATTTCTTCCACATTTGATAGATTTCTGTGAGAAAAAGAGACTTTAATTTTTTACATAAGAATGGTGAACAAAACATATGTTCATGAATTCAGCTTGAATTATGAGAACACATGCTGGCAAACAAAATGCAAATGACATTTATTAAAACATAAAAATCAATATGGTTATATAACTGCTTTCCCACCAACTGTGAACTATAACTCAAGCAGCATTTAACTACTATAAACAGATAATGTTTAAAAAGTATATGCTGATTAGCATCTATTTATTATTGAAAATTGGAAAATATCACAAAGTAGAAACAGAAGAGAAAAAATAAACACCAATATCTTGCAATCTAAAAATAAGCAACTATGTACATCTACATTATTTCCTTACAGATTTTTGTCCCTATGCAGATTCTTAGTTTTCTTTTTTGTACATACTGTTTTCATTATAACATGTGCACTATAATCATTTTCACTTTGCTTTTTGAATTACGGTTTCCTTTTAAGGATGTCATATTTCCTCAACTACATTAAAAGTCCTTGAAAAAGGGCTAACAGCATCTTTACTTACTCTAAGACGGCACAGTATCATATTTTGTTTAAAGCAGTGGGTTCATAAGTGCTTAGTGTTTAACTAAAATATGGTCCCTCATTTTTATTCCCTTTTTATAAGACTGAGGTAAAACAAGACAATATTTACTATACCTAAAATCTTTCCCTTGACATAATAAAAAAGCAACGTTCATTAATTTTGTTATGAGATATTGTGATCTTGTAAAACATATATCTTAAAATCCAGTAAATGCTAATTTTAGAAAAATTAACAGAATTAACAGACTTCTTCTGGTTTTTTTTTTAAGAGATGGGATCTTGCTCGGTTGCCCAGACTAGAGTGCAGTGGTGCAATCACAGTGCACTGCAGCATCAAACTCTTGGGCTCATGCAATCCTCCCACCCCAGCTTCCTGAGAAGCTGGGACTACAGGTATGTGCCACTAGGCCTGGCTACCTTTTTACATTTTTTGTTGAGATGAGGGTCTCACTTTGTTGCCCAGGCTGGTCTTGAACTCCTGGGCTCAAGCAATCCTCCTGCCTCAGCCTCCCAAAGGTCTGGGATTACAGGTGTCAGCCACCACACCCACCCAACCAAAAGACTTCTTAATGTAAGAAGTCAGACTGGCATGACAACTTGGAGAAAACAGGGTACAGGCAGAGGCAAAATTGGAAGCCTCTGCAAGAATTCTGCTTCCAATAATAGTGGACTAAGATCAGTCCTCTCCCTGAGAACAACTAGAAAACATGGACAAAACTTTTTTTAAAAATCTGTTTAAAGGCATGAGAAAATTAATAAGGAAGTGAAAAATTACAGATCCAAGATACAGAACAAGGAAACACAGAAAGAGATGAGACCTGCATTTAGATCCATTTTTGCACTCATGACTTCTACCAGTCCTGACAGAGGTAGATGAAACAATGAGAAGCTGCTGATTGCATCTGACAGTCTCACAATGTTGAAAAGGGACAAAAACTAGAATTCAGAGCCTGAAAATGACTGTCTCTAAGGCTGTGGTTTAAGATCCCAAAAGACAACACTCAAGAAGTAAAGGTGAAATGAAAATAGATTAGTAGTCACAGAGACTAAGTCCAAGTCAGCTCAATCATTCACTGTATTAGAGGGATCCTACTTTTCCAAAAACAAATGTATATTAACTGAGAAGAAAGACAATATTATCCTAAAAGTATCTCTATGATTTTTCAAAAACAATAACCAACACTTACTCAAAAATAACAACTCACATGAGAAGGCGACACAAGTTTGAAAATCAAAAGAAACAATACACAAAAGAAACAGACCCACAATTTGAGCAAAAGAAAAAGAAAAAGAAAAAGAGGTTGGGTGTAGTGGCTCATGCCCGTCTGTAATCCCAACACTTTGAGAGGCAGAGGCAGGAGGACTGCATGAATCCAGGAATTCGAGACTTAGCCTGGGCAACGTAGCAAGACAATAATTTGAAAAAAAAAATTTTTTTTTTTTTTTTGAGACTGAGTCTTGCTCTGTCACCCAGGCTGGAGTGCAGTGGCGTGATCTCGGCTCACTGCAACCTCCGCCTCCTGGGTTAAAGCGATTCTTCCACCTCAGCCTCCCAAGTAGCTGGGATTACAAGCATGTGGCACCATTCCCAGCTAATTTTTGTATTTTTAGTAGAGACGGGGTTTCACCATGTTGGCCAGGCTGGTCCGGAACTCCTGACCTCAAGTGATCCACTCGCCTCAGCCTCCCAAAGTGCTGGGATTACAGGCGTGAGCCACTGCACTCCGCCAGCAGGACAATAATTTTTTTAAAACAATTGGCCAGGCATGGTGGTGTGCCTCCCAGCTACTCAGGAGGCTGAGGCTGAGGTGGGAGGATCACTTGAGCCAGGGAGGTTGAGGCTGTAGTGAGCCATGATCATGTCAGTACACTCCAGCCTGGAGTGTACAGATGGAGCAAGACTCTGTCTCAATTTTTTTAAAAAAGCATAATCCATGAAAGAAAAAAGTTAAGTCAAACTTCATTAAAATTAAAAGCTTCTGTTTTACAAAATACTATTAAAAGAATAAAAAGGCAAGTCGCAGACTATCAAAAAATATTTGCAGACCAGATACCTGCCAGACACAGTGGCTCATGCCTGTAATCCCAATATTTTGGGAGGGTGAGGTGGGAGGATCGCTTGAGCCCAGGAGTTAGAGACCAGCCTGGGCAATATAGTGAGACCTCATCTCTACAAAAAATTAAAAAAAATCAGCCAAGCATGGTGGCATGTACCTGCGGTCCCACTTACTTGGGGTGGGGGGAACTGAAGAAGGAGGATAACTTGAGGCTGCAGTGAGCTGTGATCATGCCACCGCACCTCAGGCAACAGAACTCACTGCACCTGGGCAACAGAGTAAAACCCTGTCTCAAAACAACAACAACAACGACGACGACAAAAAAAACCCAGATACCTGATAAAGGAATTACATCTCAAAACAGTCAAAGATGTCTTAAAACTTAATAAGAAAACAATTCAATTTTTAAAAATGAGCAAAAGATCTAAATAGACACTTCACCAAAGAAGATACAAATGGTATATAGCCATATGAAAAGATGGTGAACATCTTTTGTCATTAGGGAATTGCAAATTAAAACAATAAGATACTACAAACACCTATTAAAATGGCTAAAATATAAAAGAATAGTATAATCCAGTATTGGAAACCATGAAGAGCAACAGGAACTCTCATTCATTGTTGGTGGGAATGCAAAATGGTATAGCCATTTTGGTAGACAATTTTGCACTGACAAAGCTAAACATAAGCTTACCGTATGATACAGCAATTATACTCTTCAGCATTTACCTAAATGAGTTGAAAACTTATGTGTATGCAAAATCTGCACACAGATGTTTTTAGCAGCTTTATTCATAACTTCCAAAAACTGGAAGTAACCAAGATGTCCTGCAACAGGGGAATGAATAAACAAACTGTGGTATGTCCATAAGTAGAGTATTATTCTGTGACAAAAGAAATGGGCTATCAAGCTACAAACACATGGAGGAGGACCAGGTGCGGTGGTTCATGCCTATAGTCCCAGCACCTTGGGAGGTCAAGGCGGAAGGATCACTTGAGCCCTGGAGTTTGAGACCAGCTTGAGCAACATGGCGAAACCCCTTCTCTACAAAAAATACAAATAAATAAATAAATAAATAAATAAATAAATAAATAACTGGGCATGGTGGCATGTACCTGTAGTCTCAGCTACTCAGAGGCTAAGGTGGAAAGATAAATTGAGCCCAGGAGGTCAAGGATGCAATGAGCCCTTATCAAGCAGCTGCACTCCAGCATGGGTGACAGAGTAAGACCTTGTCTAACAAACAAACAAACAAACAAGAAAAGTCATGGAGGACCCTTAAATGCATACTGCTAAGTGAAGGAAGCCAGTCTGAAAAGGCTACATTCTGTATGATTCTAATTATGACACCCTGGTGAAAGCAAAACTAAAGACACCATTAAAATATCAGTGGTTAAGCCTCATTCTAGATGAGAATGGGTACTGCTGATCATGGTGTCCAAAAAACTTTATGTGGCTAAATTGAGACACAGGCTATGCTTCCATCACAGTACACATATTGCAGTGGTGACAATGAAACCTGTAACATTTGGTATGCTTATGATTAAAAAAAAAAAAAATCAGTGGTTGACAGAGGTTGGGGCGGGCAGGGGTATGGGGTGTGTGTGTGTGGGTGTGTAAGGAATGAATAGGTGGAGCACAGGCCATTTTTAGTGTAGGAAAACTATTCTATATGATCCTATAATGATGATTATGTCAAATTTATATATGACAACATAAATTAGTCAAAACCCATGAAACTATACAACACAAATAGTGAACCCTAATGTGCACATGGACCTTAGTTAATAATGTATAAATACTGGTTCATCAGCTGTAATAAATGTATCATACTAATGTAAGATATTAGTAATAGAGGAAACTGAGGGGTATGGGAAAGGAGTATGTGGGAATTCTAGATTTATATAAAAACAGCTCTAAAACATAAAGTTTATTAAAGTTTTTAAATGGAGCTTTAAAAAAGTAAAGTGAGGTCTCTGGAAATAGAAACATGTTCTGTGACTGGT
Source organism: Homo sapiens (assembly GCF_000001405.40). NCBI lineage: Eukaryota > Metazoa > Chordata > Mammalia > Primates > Hominidae > Homo > Homo sapiens. The sequence goes on along the minus strand of NC_000002.12, from coordinate 203,051,808 downwards.
AGCTATTGAACATTAAATTTATCATAAGAAACTATCTACTACCCAAAAAATTTTTTTTCAACCAAAAAATTTGTTGAGCATTTCAGTGCTTCCCTCTATTACCAAAATCTAAACATAATGAATTGAAAACAAATATCTGTAGGATTTTTGATTTCAGCAAAATTGTAGTAGGTAGCTAGCAGGAAAATATAGCAAATTATCAGAGGTCAACTTATGTCTTACTACCTGAATAAACCCTTTCCCTTTAACCTTTTTTTTTTTTTTGAGAAGAGTCTCGCTCCGTCACCCAGGCTGAAGTGCAATGGCATGATCTCGGCACACTGAAACCTCCGCCTCCCAGGTTCAAGCAATTTTCCTGCCTCTCAGCCTCCTGAGTAGCTGGGATTTCAGGCACCCGCCACCATGCCTGGCTAATTTTTACATTTTTTTGGAGAGACAGGGTTTCACCATGTTGGCCAAGCTGGTCTCAAACTCCTGACCTCAAGCGATCCACCTCCTCGGCCTTCCAAAGTGCTGGGATTACAGGTGTGAGCAACTGTACCTGGCTGCATACTTCAACCCTTATAATTCTTGTATTATTTTTCCAAATTTTAAGGATGAGGAAAAACACACAAATAAAAACATGTCTAAGGCTCTGGGAGAGCATAAATTAGGGGTGAAATGTTTTAGCAATTATTGATCAATCATTCCATAATTCCTGCAAAGGCAATGAGAAATTAAGCCAAAGGTGACTAAGAGGTAAATTAAGTCCCTATTCATCCACTAATTAATTATAAAATATTTATAAAACAAATAATGTATGTTTTAGAAAGTGGCTTCCAAAAAGAAAATAGATTTAAAGCTATAGAATGTAGCTTCCGAAATGAAGATAGGTTTCAAGAGGAATATGAACCAATAAACCAATGGTTCTTGAATTCTTATATGCAGATGCCCCTAAACCAATGGTTCTTGAATTCTTATATGCAGTGCCCCTAAACTAATGGTTCTTGAATTCTTACATGTAGATGAATGTGGAATGCCTGAAAAATCCAGATTTTGAGCCCTTTTGAAACAGAATTTCCATAAGCAAGGCTCAAGCTCTATATTCTACTAAGTTTCCTTGTTGTTATTCATGCATACCAAAATGTAAGCACCACAGACCTAATTTATAAATGTGGGAAATATGATAACCTACAGGATAATTATACTTTATTTGATAAAATAATAAAATGAAATATCTGAATGATTTATTTTCACAGATAATAACACAGAGTAATAAAAATGCATATACATTTACAGGTGAGAACCATATGAAAAATACTGGTACAGTAATTTCTTGCTGAAGAAAAACTGTCATTGACTTTAATATAATTTTTTTAAATGTTGGCTAATGTTGCTATAACTAGGTATAGTAACTAAAAGGATTTCCAACATACTAACAAACCACAAGCCTATTCCAAAAAGTGCACTTACTCTTTAAAGCTCCATATCAACTACAAACATCACTAATAATAAACAAAATTAATTATTATTTTGGTAATGTAACAATTATATTAAAACAGATAATTAGCTTATTTTTTCTTTTTTTCTTTTTTATTTACTTAATTTATTAAAGTTCTGGGATATGTATGCAGAATGTGCAGGTTTGTTACATAGGTATACACATGCCATAGTGGTTTGCTGCATCCTTCAACCCATCATCTACATTAGGTATTTCTCCTAATGTTATCCCTCTCCTAGCACCCTACCCACCAATAGGCCCAGTGTGTGATGTTCCCCTCCTCATCTCCATGTGTTCTCATTGTTCAACTCCCACCTATGAGTGAAAACTAGCTTATTTTTTCTACTAGATACCTGCAAAGAATAATGAAGAACTTGACAAGCAAAATTGACAAGGCTTGCTGTTGTTCCTCTAACCCATCTGCCATTTTCTGAACACACTGTAGAAGCTGGATCCTCAGAACCTGCAGAATATTATCAGGAAGCAGAGATATTCCTGGAGGCATATCATCTACCCTACAACAGAAAGGGAAAAAAATAAGAAGCCTGTTGAAATACAAGAAGAAAATCTCTGGCATTTAAATGAACTTCATTTTCAGCCCAAATCCTAAAGAAGCTCTTTTATTTATTCCAGATACTCTGTGCCTTCTCGTCTGCAACACAGATGTAGCACATGATGATTAGTAACTAGATTAGTAACTAGAAGTAACTAGAAGATTAGTAACTAGAAGATTATTAGAGCAGAGTGGTTTTTCTTATTTCAGAAGAGGCTTACTAAAGAGAGAGACAGACTATTTGATATCTTCAATTGTACTATTTTTAATGAAAATACTTAGAATAAATTATGTTCCACTTAAAAATACTATGTATACTAAATACTGTGTATAGCAGTGTGCATACCATTTCTAAAAGAAACAATAACTGTAAAGTAAAAATGAAGTATCTACATAACTAGTTTAATATGTCAACTGTTGGCCAGGTGCAGTGGCTCACGCCTGTAATCCCAGCACTTTTGGAGGCCGAGGTGGGTGGATCACGAGGTTAGGAGCTCGAGACCAGCCTGGTCAACATGGTGAACCCCATCTCTACTAAAAATACAAAAAATTAGCTGGTTTCATTGTATCATTTTACCAAATGAAGTGTAATTATCCTATAGGTTATCACATTTCCCACATTTATAAATTCGTCCCAGCTACTCAGGAGGCTGAGGCAGAAGAATCGCTTGAACCCGGGAGGCAGAGGTTGCAGTGAGCCAAGATTGTGCCACTGTACTCCAGCCTGGGTGACAGAGTGAGACTCTGTCTCAAAAAAAAAAAATTTGTCAACTGCTTTACTAAACATCATTGTTTTAGTATAGACTCCCCAAGCCATGTGATCAGAAGAGGGAGAAAAGATAACCAGTAAAAGGAAAGAAGAGAGATAAAAGGGTATTAAAAAAAAAAAAAAAGGAAATGTAGAGCTCTGAGCATGGGCATCAACAGAAGACTTTAAAAAGTAATATATCAACATTTTGTGACAAATGGTTTCTATGTAAGACTATATGGTTCTTTAAGGGCAAATGCCAACATCAGACATGAGTGGTTCCTCTGGTGTTTCTTTCATAATAAAAACCCATACCTGGATTCAACGTCTAAAGACATGGGTACTAAATCTCACCTCTGTAACATAGAGCTGATCATTTAACCTTTGAAGTTCCCTATGGACGCTGAAGTACCCAACCTCATGAAATAATAAATCTGTGTTCCGAGAGGAGATGGTTTTAAGTGGGCTACGCAGATGAGCACAAGAGATGTATGGAAGGTCACTCCTGTGGTCACACAACCAAAACCAGAGAATACCTCCCTCCCTCCCCATCAAAAATCAGTGGCTTAAATAAAACCCTATCATCTCTGGGGATGGCAGAAAATCCAAGGCATAACAAAGCATGGATTTTTTTTTTTTTTTTTTTTGAGATGGAGTCTCGCTGTGTTGCCAGGCTGGAGTGCAGTGGCGCGATCTCAGCTCACTGCAACCTCCGCCTCCTAGATTCAAGGGATTCTCATGCCTCAGGCTCCCGAGTAGCTGGGATTACAGGCACGTGCCACCACACCCACCTAATTTTTGTATTTTTCGTAGAGACGGGGTTTCACCATGTTGGCCAGGATGGTCTCAATCTCCTGACCTCGTGATCCACCCACCTTGGCCCTCCAAAGTAAGCCACCGTGCCCAGCTCAAAGCATGGATATCTTACCAGCCTGAAAGATGTGGGCTTAGAATCAAGGCATGTTGAGTCACAGATAATGAAAAAAATGCAGTATTTCTTATAAACCTGTTTCTGGCCTGAGGTCTATACCTGGTTGAAACCTATGCCAAATCAGCTAAGAAATAGAAAATTGGCTGGGCAACATAGCAAGACTTCATCTCCACTGGAAAAAAAAAAATTAACCAGGTATAGTGGTATATGTCTGTGGTCCCAGCTACTTGGAGGCTAAGGCAGGAGGATCGCTTGAGCCCAAGAGTTCGAGGTTGCAGTGAGCTATGATCATGCCACTGCACTTCAGCCTGGTTGAGACAGAAAGACCATCTCTCAAAAAAAAAAAAAAAAAAAATAGAAAGAAATAGAAAATTGTGACTGCAACTTCTCTCACTATTATAGAGTGTTCAAAGAGATTTTTACACCATACTTAAAAATTGCTCCTAACCTGAATGGGTAGACAATTCCTGTGCTGCCACAGAAGGCATTACAGCAGAGGGACCTGCAGAGAGAGGTTAATATTTCCAGGGAAATGAGAGATAGGAAATATCCTGGCAAGTCCAAAAGACTTGTGGAAGACCTGAAGACATTGACCTAAGGAGAAGGACAGTAGAAACACAACTGAAGGGGCCAACATCTTAGAGTTCATCTAAAAAATGGAAGTTATCATACAAGTAGTATGTTCTATCAATATTTAATATTCTGTTAATATTTTAATAAAACAGATACAAAATAAAATTTTAAACATGAATGAAAAAATACCCATTCTCATGTAGGTTGCCAGTACATGACAGGTGGTTGCCAATACTTCTACAGGCAACTACATGTCTACTTGTATGTGTTTGTTTTTTTTTTTTTGAGATGGAGTTTCGCTCTTGTTGCCCAGGCTGGAGGTGCAATGGCGCAATCTCAGCTCACTGCAACCTTGGCCTCCCGCATTCAAGCGATTCTGCTGCCTCAGTCTTCTGAGTAGCTGGGATTACAGGCATGTGCCACCACGCCCGCTAATTTTGTATTTTTAGTAGAGACGGGTTTTCTCCATGTTGGTCAGCCTTGCCACCACGCCCACTAATTTTGTATTTGTAGTAGAGACGGGGTTTCTCCATGTTGGTCAGGCAGGTCTCGAAATCCCGACCTCAGATGATCTGCCCGCCTCGGCCTCCCAAAGTGCTGGCATTACAGGCAGAAGCCACTGCATCCGACCTATATGTCTACTTTTTAAGGAATGGTAGAGCTTTCAATGTGAACTGCTGTGGTCTGAATGCTGGTATTCCCCCAAATTTCATATGTTGTAAACTAACTCCCAATGCAATAGTATGAAGAGGTGAGGCATTTAGGAAGTGATTAAGCCAAGAAGGCTCTGCCCTCATGGATGGGATTACTGTCTTTATAAACAGAGTGAAGGGAGTTGCCCTGCCCCTTCCTCTGTGTGAGGACACAGTATTCATCCCTCTGCTGTGTAAGGACACAGCAAGAAACAGAAGACAGGCCCTCACCAGACACCAAATCTGCTGGTGTCTTAATCTTAGACTTCCCAGCTTCCAGAACGGTGAACAGTAAATATCTACTGTTGTTCTTGGCCGGGTGCGGTGGCTCATGCCTGTAGTCCCAGTACTTTGGGAGGCCGAGGCGGGTGGATCACCTGAGGTCAGGAGATGGAGACCATCTTGGCTAACACGGTGAAACCCCATGTCTACTAAAAATACAAAAAAAATTAGCCGAGCGTGGTGGCGGGTGCCTGTAGTCCTGGCTACTCGAGAGGCTGAGGCAGGAGAATGGCGTGAACCCGGGAGGCAGAGGTTGCAGTGAGCCAAGATCGGGCCACTGCACTCCCGCCTGGGCAACAGAGTGAGACTCTGTCTCAAATAAATAAATAAATAAATAAATATCTACTGTTGTTCCTTAAAAAAAAAAAGTTTCTAGTTCTGTAATCTGCAATTTTTTTTAAGAGATAGGGTCTTGCTATATTGTCCAGGCTGGTCTCTAATTCCTGGCCTTAAGCTAGCCTCCCACCTTGGCCTCCCAAAGGGCTGGGATTATAGGCTTGAGCCATTGTGCCCAACCTATAAAATTTGAGTATCAACTGCCCTATTTTACAGGGGTCTCAAACCAGAAGGTTAATATGCATTTTCAGCTGTGAAATATAGAAAGATCTATAAAAATGTAATATATTTTAAACATGCTATCACTAAAGCTTCAGAATCTTTTCATAAGCCACTGTATACTAATTTCCTATCCCTTTAAGAAAAATGCCCAAATCTGAATGGAGCTCCCTAAAGCATGCCTATGATTAAATGACAATTATACTTTATAGTTACCTCTTCTTCAGCTTATGCTTAATATGAAGTATTGCTAGTATTTTTACACTGAGTAAAAGGCTGTTTAATTAACTATATGCAGAAAAATCTGAAGCACATAAGTAGTCACATGTAGAATACAGTTAGCTTCTTTCTGAACCATCCTACAACATAAATTAAGAAAGTGTTTTATAAAATGAATACCTGATTGTAATTAAATTACACAGAAAAAAGCCACAAAGCATATTATAAGGAATGCCAAATTCTATAACCCAGTTACAAATATTTCATTTTAGTTGGGGCACCATTTCACTTGTAGCTTTGGATTCTTTCATTCTCTTATTTATAGGTAGTACCAGAAAATATCTCATTAACATACATATATACATATTTTTTTTCCTGCTAAAGGGCTAAAAAGAGGTAATCTAAAAATAATATACAAAGATTCAGATATAACCAATTTTCAAAATTAAGCAAAGCTATTCCTCCTCACTTTTCCAAAAACATATGTCAACAAGAAAGAAAACATTCAATTTTCCAGTATTTTATCCTACTTATTTAAAAGAGTATTTCCTTGTTCTTGGTCATCCCATTCTCTATATGCACATTGGTTTTAATAAATAATTAGTCAAAAAATCAGCTTCTAAAAAATGACTAAAGAGGACAAAAATTAGCTCCTCAGAAAGATTTTTTTTAATTATAAAATTGGGGCTTGGTTGAACATGCCTTATAGATAAAGTTGAAATTTTTGGCCATGTTCCTAACGTTATGAGCATTTAAGGACTTGGAAGCATTTTCCCACCTCTAGGACTTTACTGTTCAAAATTCTATGCTTCTTTTGTTGCAGTTTCCCAAATTCCACAAATCTGTTCCTCTGTTTGGCTCTTGAATGTCTACTGTAAACCAATGGTTGTCTGTGTCTACTACAGGAAGCAGCCTAGGTTGAAGTTCAAAGGCTTTATATTCTAGTAAAAGCCATCTCTGCTTTACATTATGAATTCTCTAAGGTCAGTTTACTTTATATGAGGATTAGCCATATGTCCCTTATCTTCAAGGTGATTTGACTAATTTCATAAAATATCTTGTACGTAGCATGTACTTAAAAATCTGAATGTTTTCTATTAGAAAAATTAAATTCATGTTTCAGTTTTTTGACAAAAACATGAAACACAGTATTAAGTAAACAAACTATATCACAAATACAGCAATGCTCTTGGCGTTCTTCATGTTACTTTAAACATAGTGGCAATATAAGTCTACATAATGTTTTTGGAAACAGTGTCCCAAGAAAAGAGACACTGGTAATGTATGGATGATAACAACTGCACCTTAGAAACTTTAGAAGTCTTCATTCTAATATTCCAAACATTTAAAGGCTCAAATCCTAACTCTATAAAATTCTTAGCTCCATGATTTAAAGCAAGCTATAAATTATTAAAACAGAAGTCCTTCTAAGCACAAATCATAAGAATATTATTTTATTGGTAAAAAAGTAGTAATAAATAATTTTATTTTGAGAAAAGGTCAAGAGTTAATACTCCCTAAACTTTATAAACCTAACATGAATAATAGTCTAATGAGGAAGACATCTGAAACTGGATTTATAAATAACGAAGTACTAGTCTTTTTTTAGTACACTCACATCCTTACTTGAGTTCAGTATCTTGGTCCAAAGCTCTGGCCACATCTCTGGATTATCACAATTATCTCTTAACTGGGCTCCTTGCCTTCAGTCTCAACCCTCTCCACCAGCCACTAAAGTGACTTTGAAACACAAACTTGATGATCAAGACACTCTACACAGAAAATTTTTCAGTAGCACTCTTATTTTCCATAACAACAACAAAAAAGTCAAAGTCCATTTGTATTGCATGCATGGTACTTCATGATCTGGCCCCTATTTGATTCTCTAGACTCAATTCTCCTTTACTACTTCTGATTGCCTACCTCTATCCCCAAAATGCAAACACTTTTCCTCCTTGAAGATTTAAGTCTCCAGATACTCTTTCTCATCATCAACCACCATCCATTCCTCCCTTCTCCCCTCAACACACTTTTTTTTTTTTTTTTTGAGACAGGGTTTTACTCTGTCACCCAGGCTGGAGTGCAGTGGCACGATCACAGCACACTACAGCCTCAACTCTCTGGGCCAAATTGATCCTCCCACCTCCGCCTCCCAAGTAACTGGGACTACAGGTGCACACCACCATTTTTAATTATTTGTAGAAACGGGGTTTTGCCATGTTGCCCAGGCTGGTCTCAAACTCCTAGGCTCAAGTAATCTGCCTGCCTCAACCTCCCAAAGTGCTGGGACTACAGATGTGAGCCACTGCACCCGGCCAACACTTATCTTAAACTGGCACTCCTTTTGTGGCTAGATGCCTCTCTCCATTTTTCTTGCATTTTACCCCAGCCAATCTCTCTTACTGAACAACTATTAGGCCTTCAAGATAGCTTAAGATATAGAAAAAACTTTATCTAAAAAGTGGGCCTGGGAAATGGTATGGAACTGGGGAGTGGTGGTGGGTGGAAAAATGAAAGATTTGTACTTTCAGTAGTACTTTTCCATAAATTTGAATTTTTTCATTTTATGATTTTTAAATCTAGTTTCTAAAAATCTAAACACTTCACCTCCTCTAAGATGTTTTCTAAGGTCCTACTGTAAGGCCAGGAATGAAAATAAGTTTCAACTCACATGCCTATTGTATAATAAAGAATATATATCTGGTCTTTGTCCCAGTTTTCTGGCACATAGCTTCAAAAACCCTTGAGATTTTCTGAGTGATATTCAGAATGTCTTTTGTTATTCATAATAAGCCCTATGGATTACACCTGAGTCTATGCAAATGAAGTGACTCAAGGTAAGCCCTTAGTTTCAATAGAAGGCTGCTCCTATCAGAAAGACCAAGCATTGGCCAAGGGGCAGTGGCTCACACCTATAATCCCAGCACTTTGGGAGTCCGAGGCAGGTGGATCATGAGGTCAAGAGATCGAGATCATACTGGCCAACATGGTGAAACCCTGTCTCTACCAAAAATACAAAAATTAGCCAAGCATGGTGGCGTGCGCCTGTAGTCCCAGCTACTTGGGAGGCTGAGGCAGGAGAATTGCTTGAACCTAGGAGGTGGAGGTTATAGTGAGCCAAGATCGTGCCACTGCACAGCCTGTCGACAGAGCAATACTCCATTTCAAAAAAAAGAAAAAAAAAAAAAAAGAACAAGCATTAATTAGAGGGCTGGAACTTTCAGCCTCACCACCACTTATACTTCTAGGGAGAGGGAAATTGAGCTCAACCACATAATCAATTATGTAGTAAGACTCCAATAAAACTCTGGACACCCAAAACTTGAAGAGCTTCCTGATTAGTGAACACGCTGATGTTCAGGAAGGGCAACACACCTGACTCCATGGGGAGAGGGCGTGGAAGCTCTGCCTCCAGACCCTTCCACACCTTGTCCTATGTGTATTCATTACAATAAAGCCGTAATCACAAGTATAGTGCTTTCAGTGAGTTTTTCAAGTCAGTGTAGTGAGTTACTGAACTTGAGGTGGGGAGGAGGTGTGAGAACCCAGAATTTATAGCCAGTTGGTCTGAAGTATGGGTGGTCCCGAAGACTTGTAGTGGCTAATGTCTGAAGTGAAGGCAGTCTTACAGAGGACTTTGCCCTTTACTTGTGGGATCTGGTAGTTAGTGTCAGAAATGAAGTGTGTTGCAGAACACCAGCTGGTAGTGTCCTAGAGAAGCAGAGTTTTCTAGAAGCCAGGTCTGGCATCATCAAGAAAGACTATTGTCATCAATTAGCTATGTCTCTATGAGAATAGGGTTATTCATGAGTATCAAGAGGGTAACATAATTGCCATCCTTGTAATATGTCATCAATGAAATCTTTGTGCCAAAAATGAAAAACTCATCCAGGGGTTACAAATTAGCGTTTCTACATACCTGGTAGGCAGCTTTTCAAAGTCAACGTCTAAAAATTGTTCATAGCTAGAAACAAAAGTGTCCAACCACAGCTTCAGGTAATCTGGATCTTTCTGAAATAACAAAACCATTATAATATTAAGTATGCCTATCAGGAAAAAAAAAATGCTTCTACACCTATTAAGCAGATACCTAAAGAATCAATACTATGAAATCTCCAAGTGATATTTAGGAGTACATATGTGCTGTTTTAAAATGTACATTAAGTATATGGAACTCTCAAATGGCTTCTCATGTCACTCAAAGAGCTAAAATCTTAACAATGTTCTATAAAAGTTTAAACAATTTGCCCTCCCATATCCCTGTAACCTTGTCCACTGTTACCCTGTACTATACTGGCCTTCTGGCTGTTTCCTGGGACATGCCAGACATGCTCCCACCCTAAGGACTTTGCACTGGCTGTTTTCTCTACCCAGAACACTCTTCTCCCAGGTATCTGAATGGCTACTCCCTCATCTTTTTTTTCTGGACAACTGAACATTTATTTATGTGCCTTTCTTCTTATGTGTATTTCAAGTCTTTTCAAAACAAGGCCCCAGGACTCTCCAGATTAAATTATGTCCCTGGGCTTGGTCCATTGCTGTGGGAGTCTTAGGGAACCTTGTACAAATGCTTGAGTTACTCATTTACCAACAATAAACCCTAGGATAGAAAATGCAACAAAGCAGGACTCCTTCCATGGCATGTGCTGATTTCTGACGAGGCAGCAGCCAATACAGAAAACACTGGACTTTTTCCTTAGAACTGGACTGTGATGAGAGGTGCTTGCCATGAACATAAGCCACTATATTTTAACCCTTCCTTTCCGATTTTTGAAGATAAGGCAGGGAATAATCTTCTCTGAAGATACCTGATGATAATTCCCCCCAAAACAAAAACACATGCTTCCACTGCACTGTGCTTTCAAATATTCTGGGTCTTGTTCAGCTGGCAGATGAGCTGACTGATGCATTCACCCCGATAGCCATGTGAGCCCATCTCCTTGAGGAAGCCCACTATATTTTTGGTATATAGTGGAGGTTGCAGTGAGCCAAGATCACACTACTGCACTCCAGCCTGAGCATGATGGGTCACCAAAAGGTGGAAAGGGAGCAAGAACTATGAGATCTCCTGGAAATACTTCCCTGGGAAGGCAATTTCATGAATGAGGTCTTCCAAGCAAATGTCACCAAACTTCTCCAGGTGCTCCTCAATCACTGTGTTGTCTGTCAGAGGGATGGTCTTATTCTTGACCTTGGCTTGTTCATGTTTCCAAGTGAGTTCCCGCACAGACTTCAGATTTGGAAATCCCCAGGTCACATAAGTTTCCACTATAAGCAGCATTTTTAGGTTCTGGGGGTTGACTTTTACAAAGACACCACTAAACATTTTCTTCAGGCGAAGTCTTACAACGGTTCTCTCCACCGGTAAACTCATGCCATTAATCCTTTTGATGTGTACAACAAAGGCCATGGCATGTTTATCTGGCAATTCCAAGGCATGAGGTCTCATTTCTAGTCGTCTGAGATGCACCTTGTCACATTTCTGCCTCCAGGAATCATGTAGGAATGATTCCAGTCGCTTAAACCTGAGCCTTTTTCCTTTCCTCTGCTCCTTCTTTGCCAAAAGTGCCTGCTTTGCCTGAGTGGCTTTGAGGGCTTGATAAGCCTTCCTCTTTTTCAGGAGATTTTCTGGAACCAAATGGATTTTTCTTTGCTCTTGCTCTGCCATCTTTCTAGTGTTGAAGGACTGATCATGCACAACCCCACCCCAAGTCATTTTTTAAATGACATATTCTCAATGAGGCCTATTTTTACTCCTTCTTAAAACCAGAAACCTCACCACCCCTTTACCTTACCTTATCATGTTCCCTCCACCATGGTCCTTTATCACCTTTCATCTATAATTTACTTATCAGTTTATTTTTTGTCACTTCCCCAGAATACAGGTTTCACAAGTGCAGAGATTTTCATTTGTTTGTTTACTAATGAACACCAGTACCTTAAATAGTGGCTGGTACTGAGACAGTGCTCAATAAATATTTGTTCCATGAATTAAGAGTAACATGCATAAATGAAATCAAATTGGAAATGGATCATTAACGTAAACATAAAAACTGAAACCCAAATTTTCTAGAAGAAAATACACCAGGCACAGTGGCTCATGCCAGTAATTCCAGCACTTTGGGAGCCCGAGGCAGGCGGATCACCTGAGGTCAGGGGTTTGAGACGAGCCTGGCCAACATGGCGAAACCCCATCTCTACTAAAAATACAAAAATTAGACAGGTGTGGTGGTACAAGCCTGTAGTCGGGGGGCTGAGGCATGAGAATTGCTTGAACCCAGGAGGCGGAGGTTGCAGTGAGCTGAGATCATGCTACTGCACTCCAGCCTGAGCAACAAAGCAAGACTCTATCTCGGAAAGGACAGGACAAGACAGGACAGGACAGGACAGGAAAGGGAAGGGAAAGGAAGGGAAGGAGAAGGGGAGGGGAGGGGGAAGGAGGGGGAGGGGGAGGGGAGGGGGGGAGGGGAGGGCCAGGGGGAGGGGAAGCGAAAGGGAAGGGAAGGGAAGGGAAGGGAAGGGAAGGGAAGGGAAGGGAAGGGAAGGGAAGGGAAGGGAAAGGAAAGGAAAGGAAAGGAAAGGAAAGAAAAGGAAAGGAAAGAAAAAAGACAGGACAAGACAAGACAAGACAGACAAGAAAGACAACACTAGACTGAATCACTTTTCTACCTGGGGATAAACAGAGGTTTCTTAGCTAGGACAAAAAAATCATAAACTGAAAAAGAAAAAAAAGATAACTGGTATTAATCAAAATTTAAAACTTCTACTCATCAAAAGACACTATTAAGAAAATGGAGGCTGGGTGCAGTGGCTCACGACTGTAACCCCTGCACTTTGGGAAGCTGATGTGAGAGAATCGCTTGAGCCCAGGAATTCGAGACCAGCCTAAGCAACATAGTGAGATCCCATCTCTTCAAAAAATAGAAAAAAATTAGCTTGGTGTGGTTGCGCATGCCAGCAGTCTCAGTTACTCAGGAGGTTGAGATTGGAGGAATTCTTGAGCGCAGGAAGTCAAGACTGGGGTGAGCTGTGATCGTGCCACTGAGTGACACATGCCATCAGCAAACAAAAAGATGAAAATCTCTGCACTTGTGAAACCTATATTCTGGTGCCAGAGTGAGACTCTAAAGAAAAAAGAAAATGGAAAGACAAACCACACTGGCTGAAAATATTCTCAGGGACTTGTATGAAAAACATAAAGATCTCCTACAAATCAATAACAAAAAGACAATTCGATTTAAAAATGGGCAAAAAGCTTGGACACTTCACAAAAGGGAATATACAAACGGCCAAACAGCATCCTAATCTGTGATCAATATCATTAGTTATCCAGAGAAATGCAAATTAAAGCCAAATAAGGTACTATTATATACCCACTAGAATGGCTAAAAGTAGAAAAACTATATCATGTTAGTGAAGACGTGCAGTAACTGTAACTCTCATACATTACTGGTGGCAGTATGAAATAGGATCACCACTTAGAAAAGTTTAAGTTAAATATACACATATCAAACAGCCCAGCCATTCCTCTCCCAGATAAATGAATACAAATATCCACAAAAACACTTGTACAAAAATGTTTATGGAAACTTTGTTTATAATAGCCCAAAGCTGAAAACAAAAATTCTATCAAGTTAACGGATAAACAAATCGTTGTACATTCGTACAATGGAATACTATTCCAGGAATAAAAATGAACTATTGATACTTACAATGACAAAAAAATTTTTCAAAAATCTATTGAGCAAAAGATGTTAGGCATCAAAGCACATACTACTTATTTATTTATTCATGTATTTATTTGTGTATTTATTTATTTATGAGACAGGTTCTCACTCTGTTACCCAGGCCGGAGTGCAGTGGCACAATCACGGTTCACTATGGCCTCAAACTCCTGAGCCCAAGGAATCCTCCTGCCTCAGCATTCCAAGTAGCTGGGATTACAGCTATCATGCTGTATTTTTTGTATTTTTGTATTTTTTGTAGAGACAGGGTCTTGTTACGGTCTCAAACTCCTGGCCTCAAGTGATCCTCCCACCTTGGCCTCCCAAAGTGCTGGGATTATAGGTTGAGCCACCTCGACCAGCCTGATATCACTTATATGAAGTTCTAGAGCAGTCTATGGTAACAGAAATTAGACAACATGGCTGCCTCTGGGAGGACCGACTGCAAAGGGGCACAGAGGGAACTTTCCCAGGTGATGGAAATTTTCCATTTCTTGACTAAAGTAGTGTTTATACAAATGTTTGCATGTATCAAAATTCATCACATTTGACACTTAAAATCTGTGCATTTTAATGCTTTGTGACATTTCAATAAAGCTGAATTGAAAAAAAACTATGATCCCTTGGAAATTTTTAAGTACATTAACTGTATCTCAAAAAATGATGCTCAATTCTTTTCCTTTGCCTCCTCAATACTTCCTTATGTCAGTCAGATTTCAATATGTGATTTAGGAGTCTCAGTTATGTAGTCATTAAATATCATTGCTTAAGTACTGCTCTTGGTTAAAGGAAACTCAAGGAACTTATTTCCCCGAAATAAAAGCATTACACTACAAATCAAAATCTAAAAGAATGTTCCCAGAATATGCAGGGACTACTGACCTTTTGTCTATTTGCTTTTTCTATTAATATACGGTTCTAAAATCAGCTTGTAAACTACAGCTCTCTACATCATTACTGAGAAATCAGAAGGAAATATTTTAGAAAAAGAGCTACCTTTTGTGAGAATTTTCTCAAGTTTCACTACTTGCTTTTTACATGTCCAACTAGAATGTGATTCATTTATTCATTCATTTATCCATTCAAGATAGAACTCCAGAAACACAAGAAGCTGAAGTTTTCCTTACCATTGTTCCTCTCCGATACAGCAGAGAATTACCTCTTGGCAAAAGACACAAAACAGTCACACAACACCATAAAGAATTAATGCATTTCTCTTCTAATGCATATTTTATTTAGGAACTCTATAGTATCTGGTTCAAATTCTAAAGGTCTGGCTACCAAGTGTTTGGCAAGCACAGAGTTCACCTACAAAATTGAGCAACTATAAGGGAAAAAAAAGTACTTAAATTTGGAGGTGTTTCATTTATTAAGAAGTAAAGCACTCACAATTTTTTGAATATCTGCCATACAGTAAGTAGTACAGCAGGCATTTAAAAAATATATCATCCCATTTACTCCTTACAACTATCCAATGAAGAAGATTTAATTTCCCTCATTTTACAGGTTAGAAAAGGGAAGTTCTAAAGATGTATAATTTGTCCAGTCACACAGCTAGTAATGGATAATGCTGGAATTAAAATGTAAGAACACACAAATCCAATATGTGCTGTTTCCACTACACTACAATGGCTTTAACTGTGTGCATAAATAAAATGGATCTTTAGTGGGCAAAAAGAGGAAAAGAGGAGCTTCGTCAGGATCAGTAAACTCAAGGTCATAAAGTATTTAACACACAAAAAAAGCCACATTTTATACATTCTATAAAAACGCTTAGATCATTTTACTGCCAAAGGCCATAAAAAGAAAGATCCTCACACATAGAAACAATATTAATTAAATCTCAAGCTGAGTCACTTTCATGGTTAAGATGAGTTTGCTTTATTGAAACACCAGCGTCTGGCCTATCTTGCCATTTGTACAGTATTTATTTACTAACACAACACACAAATGTATTAAGTAGTGCAGGAGTGCTGGAGCCAAATTACTTGGACTCTAATCCCTGCTCTGTTACTTTCTTAAACAAGTCAGCCTATGTTTGTACATGACTTTCTTCCTCTATAAAAATGAACATAATGATGTCTCACAGGACTGTTGTGAAAATTAAATAATTTAACCCATATCAAGGGCTTAGAATGCCTAGCACATAGTATATGCTCAATAAGTATCAATAAAAATTATTTTCATAATCTACTATGTGCCCAAATCAGGAAACTCCCACAAAACAGTAATGTTCTATGCTACACATATCTAAATGTTTCATGATCTCCTTTGCCACCTGATTTTAAATTTTACTCTTTTCATCTCAAATCTCTTTGCATTTACTATCTGTGTGACTTTCAACAGGTTACTTCACCTCTCTGAGCTGTTCTTTGTCTGTAAAATGAAGATAATACTTCCTACCTCATGGGCTGTTGAGAGCACTAAATGAGATAATGCACAAAAGGCACTCAACAGTGCCTTCCATTTAGCAAATGCTCAAAACATGTTGGTTACCACAATTATTATAATATAGACTTTGCCATCAAGTTGGTCATGATCCAATATAAGAAAATAAGCAAAATAATTACAAAATCAAGTTCATTGATTCTGTACTTAAATATTCATCCAATCGTCCCATCTGCCATTAATTAAGACAAATAATCTTTCTTTTTGGACTGTCAGGTAGCTCCCTACAATTTCTCCCACCTATACACACCTACTAATGAGATGTGTTAAATTTAAATCCAGTCATCTCCTCTGTCCTGCCCAAATACTTTCAATGGCTCCCTATTAGTAAAGGATGAAGTCTGAACACTTAACTTAGAGCTGTGCTATACAATATGGGGGCCACTAGTCACATGTGATTACTTAAATTATGTTAAAGCACAGCAGACGTTTAGCTTCTCATAACACCCACTAACCTTTTGGGAGGCTTTAGAGAGGATAATGGAATTAAATCATCCATGCAATTTCCCCTAGTTCTTCAGAGACAGGGTTACAGCTAAGAATAGGGGGAATGCTTTATTTGCTCTATGCAATGATATTTGGATTACAGTACTCACTCAAGTTTTAAAACTATCAAATTCTAGATGCATATAAATATTTCAATCATATGATGGGCAGTTCCTAACTTAAATATGAATTGAATTTTAAAAGTTCATTTAAGTCAGTTATATTTATATTTTCTAATATCCTACCAAAAGAAGATAAATTCCCCCCACAGAAACATTGTAAAAGTGACTAATCTTGCAGGTCAGCCCTCAAGTTTTTCTGATACAACCTAGCAACTATTTAAAATGTTTAATAAGTACAGGCCAGCCAGGCACAGTGTCTCAGGCCTGTAATCCCAACACTTTGGGAGGCCGAAGCAGGCAGATCACCTGAGATCAGGAGTTCAAGACCAGCCTGACCAACATGGAGAAACCCTATCTCTACTAAAAATACAAAATTAGGAGTGGTGGTGCATGCCTGTAATCCCAGCTACTCGGGAGGCTGAGGCAGGAGAGTTGCTTGAACATGGGAGGTGGAGGTTTCAGTGAGCCGAGATTGTGCCATTGCACTCCAGCCTGGGCAACAAGAGTGAAACTCCATCTCAAAAAAAAAAAAAAAAAATGGCCGGGTGTGGTGACTCACACAGGTGATCCCAGCATTTTGGGAGGCCAAGGTGGGCGGATCGCAAGGTCAGGATATCGAGACTATCCTGGCCAACATGGTGAAACCCTGTCTCTACTAAAAATACAAAAAATTAGCTGGATATGGTGGCACACGCCTGTAGTCCCAGCTACTCAGGAGGCTGAGGCAGGAGGATCACTTGAACCCGGGAAGCAGAGGTTGCAGTGAGCCAAGATCGCTCTACTGCACTCCAGCCTGGAGACAAAGCAAGACTCCGTCTCAAAAAAAAAAAAAAAAAGTACAGGCCAACCATGTACGAACTAGGGACCATGCTAGACCATGAATATAAAGACAAATAAAATAGAGTCTTGTCCTCAAAGTGCTCATTGTTCAAGAGAAAAGAGGTATAAACAAGTAAATGCAAAACAGCCTGTGAAGCAACAGTTGTGAAAAATACTGAAATAATACAAAGAAGGGAGTTATTGATTCTGTCAAGGGTGGGGGGGTAAATGTGTAGTCCCAAATGCTCAAAAAAGTTTTCAAAGAATCATAAACAGATACTCTCAGGGAGGGTCGGGGGAAGAGAGGAATCCAGACAGAGAGAAAACAGCAAGATATGTTCAAAGATGTATAACATTTGGTATCATTCCAGTGTGGAAATGATAGGAAACAGTGGATAATCATAATAGGATTATAAGACTGGAGAAGTCAGCATTTCCTAACCAAGTATTCATCCCAACACTTTTCACTTGGATGATAATAGATACAATTGGAAAAGTTTTTTAAAAAAGGGTGGTGGGGGTTGTGACACTAGAAACTACTGATCATCATTTCCTAGATCTGGTATTTCATTATGAGTAATTTCTGCAAAAACCTGACAATTTCCTCATAATAACACCATTACTACTAGAAAGATTTGCAGAAGAAAGAGCTATTTATTATTCTCAATCCCACTTCCAGATTCTCAATTAAAAGTATATCCAGATACAGACTGTGTTTATGCTACTAATCCCAAGATGTTATGTAATGGATAGTGGCCTGTTCAATATAAATCTATTCCTTAGTACATGCCAACTTTCTGATATATGTATATTTCCCACAACAACTGAAAATACATACAATAAATTTGGGAACTTTCACATTTAAAAAGGTACAACTGGCTGGGCGCGGTGGCTCACGCCTGTAATTCCAGCACTTTGGGAGGCCGAGGTGGGCAGATCACGAGGTCAGGAGATCGAGACCATCCTGGCTAACACTGTGAAACCTCGTTTCTACTAAAAATACAAAAAATTAGCCATGCGTGGTGGCGGGCACCTGTAGTCCCAGCTACTCGGGAGGCTGAGGCAGGAGAATGGTGTGAACCTGGGAGGCAGAGCTTGCAGTGAGCCGAGATCGCGCCACTGCACTCCAGCCTGGGCGACAGAGCGAGACTCCGTCTCAAAAAATAAAATTAAATTAAAAAAATAATAATAAAATAAAAAGGTACAACTTCCAGATGGGCATGGTGGATCATGCCTGTAATCCCAGCACTTTGGGAGGCCAAGGTAGGTGGATCACCCGAGGTCAGGAGTTCGAGACCAGCCTGGCCAACATAATGAAAACCTGTCTCTACCAAAAATACAAAAACTAGCCAGGCGTGGTGGTGTGTGCCTGTAGTCCCAGCTACTCGGGAGGCTGAGGCAGGAGAATCACTTGAGCCCAGGAGGTGGAGGTTGCAGTGAGCCAAGATGGCACCATTGCACTCCAGCCTTGGCAACAGTGAGACTCTGTCTAAAAAAAAAAAAAAAAAAAAAAAAAGCTACAATTTCCTTCACTCTTTCTTTGGGTTTTTGTTCTTATGCACGATCTCAGCTCACTGCAAGCTCCGCCTCCCGGGTTCACGCCATTCTCCTGCCTCAGCCTCCCAAGTAGCTGGGACTACAGGTGCCCGACACCACGCCCGGCTAATCTTTTTTTGCATTTTTAGTAGAGACGGGGTTTCACCGTGTTAGCCAGGATTGTCTTGATCTCCTGACCCCATGATCTGCCCGCCTCAGCCTCCCAAAGTGCTGGGATTACAGGTGTGAGCCACCGTGCCCAGCTGTTCTTATCTTCTTAAACAGATGATGCAATAGTTATCTATTCCTGCATAACAAATTACCCTAAAATTTAGCAACTTAAACCAACAAACATTTATTATCTCACTGTTTCTTATGGTCAGAATTCAAGAGTGGCTCAGGTTGGTGCTTCTGGCTCAGGATTTCTCATGATCTCATAATGAACATGCCAACTAAGGACACAGTCATACCAAAGCTTGACTGGGCTGAAGGAACCACTTAAAAGCTCACTCATATGGTAGTTCGCAAGAGCCTTCTATTCTTTACAAGATGGGCCTCTCCGTAGGGCTACTCATTACTGAACTTCTGGATTCCCCCGGAGTAAGCAATCAAAAAATAATAAAGAACAACTGAGGTGAAACAGTAGTGCCTTTCATAGCCTAATTTCGGAAATGACATACTATCACTTTTGCCAAATTCTACTGATCACACAGATCAACAATGGTACAATGTGGGAGGGGATTGTATACAAGAGTGTAAATACCAGGAGGTAGAATACCAGGAGGTAGAATCTGAAGACTGGCTACCACAAATGACTAGTTCATTAAGTTTTAGTCTTTTTTATTTCTAACATATGTATTTAAATTTTCCTAAGTAATTCTGTAGCTACCAAGTTCTAAAATGTACTTTTATCGTTCAATTTTTTAAAATTCCAATTTTTCCCCCATTTCAAGATAGTCTATTTCTTTTTCAAAACTGCCAGGTCACTTTTTTCATATTTCTATGATTCTAAGATTCTTAACATTTGACATCTTTGAAATTAAAATGCATCTCAAAATTGCCCTTAGAGAAGTAGCTGACATTTGCTCTTGCCTGTTCATGTGCAAACCTGGTAGTAGACTTCATATTGACATTCCTTCACTAGATTAACATGTATAGTTAGTACTACACATAAGTTTAACTACCACTCAAAATGTCTTCAAAAAATTATACTGTGATTAGGCAATAAAATGAAATTGTATACAAAGAAAGGCATTGAGAACAGAGCAACAGGATATAATTTGACATTAACGAAGCAAATATTCATTACCATAGGAACGATCACAATTGTATGTTTTCTGACGAAAAGCTTAGTGCTTTATAAACTTGAAAATGAGAGATACTCTCAAATAGATGAAAAGGAAATACATGTGTGGAAAGATTATCTATCATAAGCCAAACAATGCAAACGAAGACAAGAGAAACTGCCAAATCACTAGGAAAAGATGAGAGAAATTTCAAAACAATGAGAACCTGGTATGGTCAATTCATACATCAGGAAATAAGTTATAAATCTGCAGTTTAACTGCCAGCATTTTTCTAAATGTTACATAAAGTAATGGCATATCTTACAATCCATGTTTTCAGATTCCGTGATATATAGAATCTGTTCAACTTTTTTTCTGAGATAGCAACAACAGCTCACTGCAGCTTCAACATACTGGGTTCGAGTGATCCTCACACCTCAGTCTCCCAAGTGGCTGTGACTATAGGCATGCACCACCATGCCTGGCTAATTTTTGAATTTTTTTTGTAGAGACAGGGCCTCACTATGTTGCGCAGTCTGGTCTCAAGTGATCCTTTCATCTCAGTCTCCCAAAGTGCTGGGACTACAGGTGTGAGCCACTGTACCTGGTATATTTATTTTATAATCTCTGCCTTCTAATATCAACATATGAAGTCTTTCTAGATCCATGTTTACTGTCTACTTCTGTTGGTTCTCACTCATGCACTTTCCCCTGAAGTCCTAGTGGAGGGAGGAGAGTTAAGTGTGTTTGCTTAGAATCTAATTGATCCTTATGCCAAAGTTGTAAGCTTTGGGAATCAGAAGGGAAATTTTCTTAGATTTCTCATTCCGGTTAGTCCCTTGGCTTTACATTTGATATTTGTTATTATTATTGTAAATTGTTCTTTATTATTATTATTATTTGATCACTTACTCTGGGGGAATCTAGAAGTTCAGTACTATGGAGAGGCCCATCTTGAAAAGAACAGAAGCCTCTTCTAACTCCTACCCACTTACAAGGCCATGAAAACAAAACCTCAAGTTCACCAGGCAAAAGAGACTTTCATTTACCTAAGTTTCTGCTTTCATTAAGATTTGGTTTCATGATGTCTTACCATGTTGCCAGTTTTTCAATGCTTTTAAGATGTTTCTTAAATTTTATCCAGAATTTCTAGTAATTTTCAGAAGGATAAGTCTAAACAACCTAGTCTACCTTATTACCAGAAATGAAAATCTATACTTAAGGACCACTCTTCCTTTGTTCGGTCATGCCTTACACTTGCCTGGAACATCTTCTGTAACTATTAAGCTACTATAGATCCTTTAAAACCTTGATCGATGCTACCTTTTCCACTAAGCTATACCTGATGACTTCATCCCTCCATCTTGCTTTAGTTTACTTATTATCTGGACCTACAGTCTAAGTGGGAAACTGATTCTAGCTGGAAAAGCATGCCCTCAGATGAAGTCATAGTCAATTAAATAGAAGAAGGCAAAAATTTTAATGAAAGGAAAACCCATCACATCCAAGAGAGGTTTGGAAGCCACTTTAACAAAAACAAAAGTAGTAATATTGTAATAGAGGTGTATATATACAAAATAGGCTTAGAATACACCAATTCCTAGTGAGAAAGGTTTCAAATTTTACTTTTTGTATGTTTTTATTAGCTTTTTTTTTTTTTTTTGAGACAGGGTCTCACTCTATTGCCCAGGCTGAAGTACAGTGGTAAAATCATGGCTCACTGCAGCCTCAACCACCTGGGCTTAAGTGATTCTCCCACTTCGGCCTCCTGAGTAGCTGGGACCACTGGCACATGCCATCGTGCCCGGCTAATTTTTGTATTATCTGTAGAGGCAGGTTTCATCATGTTGCCCCAGGCTAGAACTTCTTAAAAGTTTATGTAACTATCCATTCAGATAACTAATAAAGTTCCAGGTCTGAACAATATACTGTAGAAAAATCACAGTTAAAATCAGCAGAACTGGCCCACATCTGCAATGTTAGGTAAAATATGTCCTCTTGCATGAATTCTGTGTTTATCTTGGAGTTTCACACATGGTGGTCAGGTAAAGAAGCTTCTGATGCAGGCTGGGTGTGGGGGCTCATGCCTGTAATCCCAACACTTTGGGAAGCTGAGGCGGGCAGAGCACTTGAGGCCAGGAGTTTGAGACCAGCCTGGCCAACATGGTAAAACCTCATCTCTACTAAAAGTAAAAAAATTAGCCAGGCGTACAAAAATTAGCCACCCTATAATCACAGCTACTCAGGAGACTGAGGCACGAGACTCACTGGAACTCGGGAGGTGGAGGTTGTAGTGAGCTGAGATCACACCATTGCACTCCAGCCTGAGCAGCAGAGCAAGACTCTGACTCAAAAGTTTCTGATGCAGGTGTTTCTGGGAAGTCAGTCGAGTTATCAAAAGGGCGCATTGTGGTCCAGGATATAGATGGTAGGGAAGGTTGTGCATGTGTGGGGACAGGGGGTATATGGGAATGCTCTATACTTTCTGCTCAATTTTTCTGGGAACCTAAAACTGCTCTAAAAATACAATTTATAAATTTTTAAAAAATTAACCAAATAAAAAAATAGGAAAATATAAAATTCAAGGGACATGTGCATACAGCAGGCACCCAATAAAAATGAGTCAAACGGGACTAAAGTTAATTCTTTAGGAAAGAAAAATATTATTACTATAAATGTATTAAATATATTAACATGTATATATTAATATATAGACATATTAATATAACATTGACACTTGTCAAATGGAGTTTAAAACATTCCATGAAACTTGAAATGATCTTCAAGTTTCATGTCAAGTTGAAGTTTTTCAAATTAAATATATTAATAATTTGTAGTAGTAAATGTAATTAATTTACACATCCATAAAGAACTAAAAGTCTCTGAATAATGAGATTTTCTGTAACTGACCTCCTGCATACCTGTATTTTTCAAATATTCTACAATTAAGTTATATATCTTAATTAAAAAATTAAAGCTCAGCATAAAAGTAAAATATTACTATTTTTTCTTAGAACATAAATCCAATCAAAAAGTCAGGCCAGGCACAGTGGCTCACACCTATAATTCCACCATTTTGGGAGGCCGAGGCATAAGGATTGCTTACAACAGGAGTTCAAGATCAGCCTGGGCAACATAGCAAGACCCTGTCTCTTAAAAAAAAAAAAAAATTGGGCCAGGCTCAGTGGCTCACACCTGTAATCCCAGCACTTTGGGAGGCTGAGGTGGGCAGATCACTAGGTCAAGAGATCAAGACCTTCCTGGCCAACATGGTGAAAAACCATCTCTACTAAAAATACAAAAATTAGCTAGGCGTGGTGGCACGTGCCTGTAGTCCCACCTACTCGGGAGGCTGAGGCAGGAGAATTGTTTGAACCCCAGAGGCGGAGGCTGCAGTGAGCCAAGATCACGCCACTGCACTTCAGGCTGGTGACAGAGCGAGACTCCATTTAAAAAAAAAAAAAATTGTTCAGAAAATAGCCAGGTGTGGTGGCACACACTTGTAGTCCTAGCTGCTTGGAAGGGTGAAATAGGAAGATCACTTGACCTCACGAGTCCAAGGTTATAGGGAGCTACTACGATTATGCCACTGTACTCCAGCCTGGGTGACAGAGCAATGCCCTGTGTCTTAAAACAGAAAGTCCATATATTTTTCATTTTTCTCCATAAAATAAAGTTCATTCACTAGAAAGGTTAAATTTTGTATTTTGAACAGACAAAAATCACTCAATAAAAAAGAGGTATAAATTCACCTCACAGTGGCATCATAAATTACACACCTTTCCTACCATTCAAATGTTCAGTGTCAGTAAAAATTATGTAGCAGTTAAATGCATCAAACAACATTTTTTTTTTTACAGAGGTAAACTGTTTTGAAATGCTTGACTTTTGTGTGAAATGGGTATATCATTTAATCTTCTTTAAATCTGGGTAGATACCACTACCAGCCTGAAGGTAAGTCACAAAACATCAAGAAAAATGTTGATATCTCTTAGATATGGCTAAGTTATTTTTTCATTTTTTAAGACAGCAGGGTCTGTATAAAATATATTTGAGTAGAGCTCATTTCCATTAATGAAAACAAAGTGGCACATTATAATGTAAATTCCATTATTTTAAATAAAAGCTGACAAAGGGATGAGGAAGCAAGTGTTACTAACCCTTGCCTGAATTCTGATACCTTCAAAGGATTTCAAATATGGCTATGGCACATTTCATAGTCAGTCTACATAGTTCCCTATATCTTAATAGATTTTGAATGACCAGGACAAAATTGTCACAAAAAAACTGAATTATATTTCCACAAAAGAAATCAAGAGTTGGGGGTGGAGGAGTTAAAAATAATAAGAAGAAATCAAGGGTTTTTGTCAACAGCCAGGCTGAACGTATATTAAAACACTACAAGGCATTAAACTTTGACCTAGAAGCATTTTACTGTACGTCTTTAACAATGAAAGACTATTGAAAATTAAGTGGAACACCTGATTCCAAATGAACCTACTTAAAATGCATAATGAGGATTCTACTAAAGGAGAATATTTAGGCCAGTGGCTGTGGCTCACGCCTGTAATCCCAGCACTTTGGGAGGCCGAGGCAGGCAGATCACAAGGTCAAGAGATTGAGACCATCCTGGCCAACATGGTGAAACACTGTCTCTACTAAAAATACAAAAATTAGCTGGGCATGGTGGTGCACACCAGTAGTTCCAGACACTTGAGAGGCTGAGGCAGGAGAATTGCTTGAACCCGGGAGGTGGAGGTTGCAGTGAGCCGAGATCACACCACTGTACTCCAGCCTGGAGCCTGGAGACAGAGCAAGACAAAGACTGTCTCAAAAAAAAAAAAAAAATTTAAAATGGCAACTACTGAATACCAATAATTAAAGCAAGTAATAACAGTGATTCTTTTCAATTATGTGAAGTCTTAAGAATATCATTTCTCTACAACATAATAGACTAATTATCCACATCTTAATGTATACACACATAAAACTATTCTTAGTAATTGTATAATATATTCTAAGAGGTGCAAACAGGTAATATGAGAAATATCAGCAGACCTAGAAAAAAATGAATAAGGTAATAAAATATCTAACATTATAAATTACACTGATCTATGATTTAAAGTGGTTATACACAAAAAAACAGACATAAATATACATGTCTCAGCCCCAAATTCTGAAGCTAACATAACAGGAAAACCTAATCTTTTTCCTGCTAAAATGAGGAGCAAGACAAGTATATCCCTTATTTCCATTACTATAGAATATTATGTAGGAGTTATAAGATAATATAACTAAACAAAAGAGAACTAGAAGCAGAAGAATTAGAAGGGGAGGGAAGTCCTCATTTTCTGTAGGGGACTTCCTAACACAGAAGGCAAGCTGCTGAGAGAGCTGCTCAGTCACAACAAAGTGTAGTCTCCAATGCCCACTTCAGATACAGCAAAAGGAAAATGATGGGATAAAAAAAAAAGAACCTCCAAGAAAACACAGCCAAGAGCAAGAGAGAAGAGTAGCCAGGGCAGGTACTGACTCATATCATGGAACATTTCTTCCCTGAGGATAGAGAAACCAGGCAATATTTGCCCAACTGGATTTGCAGAGGACAGATACCAAGTGTCCTCTGAGTTCACAGACCATAATATCAAGAAAAACCACAATTGGATCTATATATACCACAGATCCCATGTTTCAAGACTGGTGTCATGATTGGATGAGAGTTTTGGAGTTCTTGAGATAGATATGAAGTACATTTTGCATATAGGAGAAATATGAATAATTGTGCCTAGAAAGAAGACTGCAGTAGATTGGATCTTTGGTCCCAATTCTTTACTTGCTTGTAACAAAACTTGCAACGTAATTTTGCAGAAAGGAAAAAAAAGCTGTAGCAAATGTAGAGCAATCAAAGTATTTCAGATATAATAATTGTTCAAGACTTGTTTCTAAAACTAAGGTCCGAGAATGCTCGGAGTTATCAGAAATATTTTCAGAGGTCTATAAGCTCCATATAGAAATTTTTAAAGTTTGCACTCCTGTTTTTATTAATTTTTAAATTACTTTAAGCATATTAGGGAAAACTACCTCGCGACTAGTATTGCTACTCGATTTCAAAGGTCACATTTGGATTGCTACCAAGGGATCATCAGTGACAGTTCAATTTATAAAGCAATATGTTTCAAATTACAGATCTCTGGATTTACAGATGGATTCTAAGGTATCTGAGAATTTTCAGATGTTCTACAGCAGTGCCACACAAAGTGTGGTACACAGACCAATAAAGGTCCTTGGCCAGGTTAGTACAAAGATAAAGAGGAAACATCTATCTACAAACTTTAGTAGCAGTTTGGTAGTAATTTTAAGTCTGTTGAATTTAATAATAAAAAATTAATAATATAAGGACTTGCATTTTTAACTTTTTCATTCTTTTCAGAACTGCTTTTGGAAAAGCCATCAATTTATGTATGTATGTATGTATTTATTTATTTATTTATTTCAGACAGAGTCTCGCTCTGTTGCCCAGACTGGAGTACAGTGGTGCGATCTCGGCTCACTACAGTCTCCGCCCCCCAGGTTCAAGCGATTCTCCTGCCTCAGCCTCCTGAGTAGCTGGGACCACAGGCCTGCACCACCATACACAGCTAATTTTTGTATTTTTAGTAGAGACGGGTTTCACCATTTTGGCCAGGCTAGTCTCGAACTCCTGGCCTCAAGTGATCTGCCCACCTCAGGCCGCCAATAATATGTAAACTGTCAAATCCAATACATGCTCCATAATGCTTTTCTTTTTTTCTTTTTTTTTTTTTGAGACAGAGTCTCACTCTATTGCCCAGGCTGGAGTGCAGTGGCACAAATTTGACCCACTGCAACCCCGGCCTCTTGGATTCAAGTGATTCTCTTGCCTCCTAAGTAGCTGCGATTACAGGTGCATGCCACCCCACCCAGCTAACTTTTGTATTTTCAGTAGAGATGAGGTTACATCATGTTGGCCAGGCTGGTCTCAAACTCCTGACCTCAAATGATCCTCCCACCTTGGCCTCCCAAAATGCTGGGATTACAGGTGTGAACCACCAGATGCGGACCGTAATACTTTTCTTGACTGCCATGTTGAATTTGACACCCCTGACTACTTTTTTCTTTTTTTCTTTTTTTTTTTTTGTGTGAGAAAGAGTCTTACTCTGTCACCCAGGCTGGACTAGAGTGGCATGATCCCAGCTCACTGTAGACTGAAACTCCCGAGCTCAAGCAAATCTCCCACCCTGCCCTCCCAAAGAGCTAGAATTATAGGCATGAGCCACTGCACCCAGCCAATATCCCTGTACTTTCTGAGGCAACCCAGTCACTCCTGGCTCCTCTCTCATTTAAACTTACAAACTCTTCTTCCTCTGTCACCTATTTATTTATTTATTTAAATAACAGAGACGTGATCTCACTGTTTTGCCCAGACTGGTTCCAAAACTCTGTCTTCTTCTTAAATGACAATGTTCTTCAGGGCTTCCTTTTACCTTCTTCTCTTCTTATTCTCATAATAACCCTCCAATAATTCCCAATATGAGAACTCTCAAATCTTTATTTCCAGCACAGACCTCTCTTCTGAACTCCACATATTGAGTATTTCTACCTGAATGTCCCACAAACATGGAAAAGTCAGCATGCTTACCTGAAAACCTAGTTAGTGATCTTGTCTAGCTAACTGTGCATGGGAAGACCACGGTGTTTTTTTTTGTCCGAAACAAACAGAAAAAAAAAAAACACACAAGAAATTATTTCAGACTCTTACACATCTGCACATTATACTCCACACTTACACTTAAGTACTATCAATTTCACCTTCTTCCAGGGAAATTTAAAGTTTGATGCTCAAAAGGAAAGAATTTAAAAAGTTAATGCATCTTAACAACGTTTTTCATTTCAGGTCCACTGATATAAACTATACATTTCTTGCTTTCATACCTAAATTCTGAAAATAAACATGTAAGTGGTAACTACTAGTACTAGGCTGTCAATGATTTTGTTTTCTTTTCTTTAGAGTCAAAGAACATTACCTTCCTTACATACAAAGCTGTTATTAAGCCACAGAAAATCAAGAGCCATTTTCACACTTTGCACATACCAGAGACTTACTAAATGTGGCTTAAATTATAAGGGTTGATATGTATTGGTCCATCTTACTAAAAACTTATTTAGGATTATAACCAAAATTGTACTAATAAGTTAATAATTTTCTCATTAAACAGATATTCACTAATTCCATTTTTCCAAATCTATGTATAAAAAGAGATACTTGCCTTTTAACTGAATAAAACACCTCTAAATTCTATTTTCTTTTTGAAACAAAACTTTTATTCTGAAAAGGAAGTTTACTCTGAGCTCACTGCAAAACTATCTATTTCAGTCATATTCCAGATTTAGCAGGACAAAGGGCAACAGCAGGAAATGGAGCATCATCAACATCCAAAATAAATTTGGTTTAGAGTAGGGAGGACCCTCAAATCATTATTCAAGATAATTAAGCACTATCCTTGAAAGCAAAAATAAGTACAGATTTAAAATCAGTTAAGACATTCTCGGTTAAGACATTAATGAATACAGCTTCATTACTACTGATAAAATAGTAAGAGAATATTGCCCTCTATTATTATATTAATACAAGGGCAAATGGAAGTAATCCTGATACACACATGTCCACACCCACACATCTGCAAAATACTTATAAAGATTACATTTTTATCTCTCTTCCTCTTAAAATACATTTAAATAAAATCTCTTTTCTAAAAAATTTTGACAGATATGTAAAATAGTTATGTTTTTCCATTTGACAGATGAGAAAACTGAGATACAAAGAAACTAGGTTAACCTTTTAGGTCCTTAAGATCAGACACAGAATTGGGACTAAATATCACCTCTAATACTGCAGCT
Organism: Homo sapiens; assembly: GCF_000001405.40. Classification (NCBI taxonomy): domain Eukaryota; kingdom Metazoa; phylum Chordata; class Mammalia; order Primates; family Hominidae; genus Homo; species Homo sapiens. The sequence goes on along the minus strand of NC_000002.12, from coordinate 203,022,438 downwards.
TCACAAAACTGTTCAGGGCAAAATTCAATCTCAATAAAATAAAATAAAATAAAAAATTTTTTAAAGCTAATGACAAAAATGAACCATGGTTTTCAATCTACACTGCCACATTTCAAAATGCTGTGCTTTTGAGTCACTTTGTATGTTTTTACTCAGTTAACGCATTTGATACTTTACACCAGACAGAACAAAAATAGCTTAATCTTATCTAAGACTTTGAGAGGCTCAGTTTCTTTTTTCTACATATTCTAGTGACCAACTAACTGCAGCACTCCCAAAAGGCTAAGTGTCTAATAGAAATACGTCCTTAAGTCTGTCCAAGGGTTGCAGTTGAGATAGGGAATTTATGATACATGTCTTTTTCTTTTTCTTTCTTTTTTTTTTTTTTGAAACAGAGTCTTGCTCTGTCGCCCAGGCTACAGTGTAGTGGCGAGATCTCAGGTCACTGCAACTTCTGCCTCCCGGATTCAAGTGATTCTCCTGCCTCAGCCTCCCGAGTAGGTGGGATTACAGGTGCCCGCCACCGTGCCTGGCTAATTTTTTTTGTATTTTTAGTAAAGACGGGGTTTCACCATTTTGGCCACGCTGGTCTCAAACTCCTGACCTCATGATCCACCCACCTTGGTCTCCCAAAGTGCTGGGATTACAGGCGTGAGCCACTGTGCCCAGCCGATACATGTCTTTTTCTACACACATATGAGTCTCAAAACTTTGTATATAATAATATAGAAACAAAAATTGTTCTCAGCACCATCTCTCTTACTGTATGTTAAAAGTGAATTATCAAAAAATACAGTGAATAACATGGTGCCTACTACATATATATAAACTAATTTTTTTTTTTTAAATGGGGTCTCACTCTGTCACCCAGGCTGGAGTGTAGTGGCACGATCTCAGCTCAATGCAACCTACACTTCCCGGGTTCAAGCAATCCTCCCACCCTATCTCCTGAGTAGCTGGGACCACAGGTGTGCACCATCATGCCTGGCTAATTTTTTTGTATTTTTGGTAGAGATGGGGTTTCACCATGTTGCCCAGGTTGGTCTCAAACTCCCAAGCTCAAGTGATCCACCTGCCTCAGCCTCCCAAAGTGTTGGGATTACAGGCATGAGCCACCACACCTGCCCTGAAATCTTTAGACATTAAAAAAAATACTGGGCTGGGCGCAGTGGCTCACGCCTGTAATCCCAGCACTTTGGGAGGCTGAAGAGGGTGGATCGCCTGAGGTCAGGAGTTCAAGACCAGCCCGGCCAACATGGTGAAACCCCATCTCTATTAAAAACAGGAGTTCAAGACCAGCCTGACCAACATGGTGAAACCCCGTCACTACTAAAAATACAAAAATTTAGCTGGGCCTGGTGGCATGTGCCTGTAAATACCAGCTACTCGGGAGGCTGAGGGAGGCAGGAGAATAGCTTGCACCCAGAAGGTTGGAGGTTGTGGTGAGCTGAGATTGGGCCACTGCACTCCAGTTTGGGCCACAGAGTGAGACTCCGTCTCCAAAACAAACAAACAAAAAACTGTATACTTAAGTACTAGTATTAAAATACTTCTATACTTAAGAAAAATACACTCAGACAAGAAGTAGTTAACTACTGAACTAAAATCCAGATACAAGATTAAACCTGTTCAAATTAATGTTTAACTTATAAGAGCTATAAGAAATGTGCTGTTAATCAAATCCTTGACCCTGGGTGGGGACAACCATTTGAAGGCAAGAAGAGTTCAGACTATATAATTTGGGGTTTTTCTTTTTTTTTTTTTTTTTGAGACAGAGTCTCACTCTGTCACCCAGGCTGGAAGGCAATGGCGTAATCTCGGCTCACTGCAACCTCTGTTTCCTAAGTTCAAGCGATTCTCCTGCCTCAGCCTCCTGAGTAGCTGGGATTACAGGTGCATGCCACCATGCCCGGCTAATTTTTGTATTTTTAGTAGAGACGGGGTCTCACCATGCTGGCCAAGCTGGTTTCAAACTCCTGATCTCAAATGATCCATCCACCTCAGCCTTCCAGTGAGCCTTACAGACATAAGCCACTGCGCCTAGGTTCAGACTATACAACTTGAATTAATAGTCTTATACACTGGTGAAAGAATCTTTAGAAAGCAGGACTGTTGGGTGATTAGAAATCATCCTGCTTGTATTATACAATAACAACATAAGGTTTACAAAGTAACCTTTTAGGAAGAAGACACATGTTTCTAACAATTTAATTAAAGCCTATTCCTAGAAGGAGAAAGTGAAGTTAGACCTGAAAAGTTTGGTAAGAAACCAAATTGCACATCACAAAGAAATGGTAAGTATGTGAGGTGACAGATATGTTAATTAGCCTGATTTGATGATTCCACAATGTATCAAAACATTACATTGTACCCCATAAATTATTATCAATTAAAATTATTATCAATTAAAATTATTTATCAATTAAAATTATCAGATAAAATTATTATCAATTAAAAATAAAATCAAATAAATTGCCAAGTTTTATACTCAAATTCTTTCAAATATTGGGACTCCATCTGCTAAAAACTGAAACTGGTAATTTATTTTAATTCTACTTAAAGGACTTTAGTCACTAGTATTTAAGCTTACAATTGAACCCAGGCAGAAGACATATATATTCCATTAGCGTTCTTTTAGCATTGCTGTGACCAAGCAGTATTACCCAAGGGTTATTTCTGAGGTAGTACTACTACTAGACCTACTGAACTTTTGCAATGTTCAGGGACAACTTTAAAACCTGACAGAAACGCTGTGATGGTAGGTACCTTAATATTGACCTATTGTTAATACACTGTGGAATATCTGTGCCAAGGTTAGCACTGTGGCAAATACGGAGGAGGTCTTAACCTTACTGCCCGGAAGCAGTCCTTCATAAATCTTCCAAGGTGTCTTCTTTAATCAGGTATGTATACAATGTTTTGTGTAGACATCAAACCAAGCAGGGCAACAAAACAGCAGACACTTTAATCATTAAAGATGGACTTTATACTCAAGAAAAACAATTGATCATCTTGGGAGGATGCTAGTAAATTAAGTCATTGTGAAAACTGACAAAGAGAATCAAACATATATGCCACCTGCCTTCCCTTTAAGGAACTGTAATCAAATGCTGATAGAGACAGTTCTCAATATAAATTATACAGTTTTGCAAAATCCTAATAAAATAACACATATAGGCAAAAATCACAGATGGCCGCTACACTAATAAATTATTCTAGCCCTTCACACCCAAAACAACCCAAATCAATCAGGCCTCTGTTCGGTCAGTTTCCAGATACCAGAAGAGAGGAACAATTAAATAAAATCAAGGGAATTCAATGAGCAAAACGTTCAAACTGTAGAAAACTCTAAGGTCAAAATCTGGTTTCTTCAACACATAAACAGCAAAGAATAAAAATATGGTGAAGGGGAGCCTATACATGAAAATGTTTAGCAGATATTTTCAACAAAATACATGTATACTTTGTTTTAAATACTGAGCCAAACAGTGGGAAAATACGAATATTAAGAAACTAGGAGGAAAGTAAGAACATTGATCACATATTTGATAATTTTAAAAATTGTGTCATGATTGTTTTTAAGAGGAGTTATTACACATATTTAAATATTTACAGATAAGATCATAAATTGTCTGGGATTTGCTTTAAAATAATTAGGAGATAGGGCAAATTGACAGTTATACATAAACTGTGACTGAACATGAGCTGGTAATAGTCAAAATTGGGTGACAGACACAAAAGAGTTCACTATAACATCTCTACTTGGTGCATGCTTGAGAATTTCCACAATAAAAGTTTTAAAAAGAAAGAACTAAAAAGTTCTACATAACCATCTACAGAATAAGAACAACAACAACAAAAAAAACTGCTTGTCCCTCAGAGGTAAAAACAAACAAAAACCTGAATACTGAGTTAGATAAGCATTCTCCCTGTATATACATACATGCACACATGCTTACTCAACAAATGAGAAAAACTGAGACCCAAAGAGTAAGTCTTGTTCAAGGTTACAAAACAAAGCAGCAGCAGAGCCAAAACTAAACTACGATTTCAAGCTCACAAAGAGGTCTAAGAAGCTTTTGAAACTAAGTGGTAGAAAATATTTTCATAAGAAGATCTGAGTCCTCAAGTGGTCTGAAAGCTCATTAAAAGTGTGAAAAAAAAAAGCCTTAAAAGTTTGTCAGCTGGGAAAAAAAAAAAGTCAGCTGGTTTGAGAGGCTAAATGCTAGAGTGAGAATAATAAGGCAAAAAGTATAGAGAACAACTGGGTACAGTATTTGGTAGTCATCCTCATTAGAAAGAAGACTTAAATCTATGAGGTATATTTGGTAGCTACCTGATTCAAGGTGTCTGCAGAAGAGAATGTTGTCTACCTTACAAAAAGCTTATCCGTTAACTGGTAAAATATAAAATCACGGTTTTAAATAAATATTCTTTGAAAACAAGTGAAAAAATTTTAAATCGTATTAAGCACACAAATTATTTAAATATTAAACCTAAAAATGAGATTTATATTCCTGTCCAAGAAGAGATAGGCTTCAAAATCTGACAGTGAGGGGCCTTCATTATTGAGGATTAACATTTCAAAGGAGAAGGGATGCATGTTTATATTAAAAGCCATTAAGAATAAAATTCAGTGTATGCCAATGAACTATACTATCTGTTTAATAAGCTTTAATATTAAATTTAATAGTAAATATACCTAAAAAGAATGTAACTTATTAATGAGACACGTAACCCCATTCACCAATATCATTTTGAAAACAGTAAAACCTAGTAAGTTTGATGTATTTTTAAATAAATCATTTTCAAACTACTAGGTATTCATACTAAAAATTAATTTTAATTTTTGGTTAACGTGTTAGTGACTATTTTCAAAAGTGGTGAATTGGATTCCTTTTTTATTGGAAGCGTCTATTTTTAAAAAGACATTTCTGGTATTAAATTATGCAAGACTAAAAGCTATTTTAAAAATTCATATTAAGCATTTCAAAGTGTATGTCCTTTAGCAATTATAATATATATCAAACCAGGAAGTCAAAGAAAATTCCAGTGTAATCTCTAAATTTAATATGACAGATAAATGAGACCACTGTTAAATAATAATCTGCCTTTTAAGGAGCATGAAAGGATAATGCAGAAACAGAAGCTGTGACTTGAGAATTTCACCACACATACTTAAATTAACTCAAATAGTACATTAGGGGTGTTTCTCTGACCCTTGCCAGTATCTTCAAAGTAATAATGTACCTCCTCACTTGAAAAACATGTTTTTAAGGAGTACTCTTCTCAATAACCTAAAATCAAAGCTATCAAGTAAAAATTCACATAAAGACAAGGAGGGGAAAGAACATTATTTCTGAGTGACAAAAATATTAAGGAGTAAAAATGGATAAAAGTACGCACTTGAGTCAGGTAGTACTGTGTTTCTCGGCTACTCAGTACTCCTGTAACCCTTGCATCAGTTTTCCCATCAGTAAAAGGGGATGATCACAATATTCACCTCACAGTATTGTAGTGAGAAGGAAATGAGACAATGCTCAAAGAGTGCTAACTTAGTGGCAGTCACACAGCACGCAGTTCAATCAATAACCTTGTGATGCAATTTCAAAGGTTCATTCCAAGAAAAATGCTTAATGCCCTTCTCATAAAAATGTCTCTATCCTACACTCACTTGTGGGAGAAAATGAAAAGCACAAACAAAAATAAAAATATTTTATTTTTCTCTTAAGGGCATAATTTTACTTATATAATTTTAGGATCATTTGGGGATAAGTATCAAATAAAAGCCGCACCCTACAGTTTTTAACAGTATGCCAATATTGTATGTGTGTTCAAACCTGAAAAAGAGGAAAACAGAAAATCCTTTAAACGCTTTTAAGTTTGGGGTTATTCATTATGACTAAATACACTATTATCTATTAAATAAAGTGTTACTACTGCCAGTCACAAATTTTATAATAAAGTATTTTAAAACATAAAAATAAAAAGGAAAGCAATTACCTTTGTACAATAAAGCATCCAAAGTTCAAAGAGCCTCTCTCTGGATGCCATTCTGGCTTTCACTCTGGCACTTTAAGTTTTCCTTAAAAAAATTATGTTCAAGACTACAGCATGTCCATTTTATTTTCCAAGTTTTTCAGCCGTTCAGTAAAGCTCATAGCAGTAAAGAAAGCAAAAAGAAGTGAAACAAATGGACTGTCCTCTGGTTAAAAACAAAAAGGCAATTTCAGCAGTCACTCCAATATATCTTCATCAGTGGTAGTTGGGCAATTAAATAAATCTGTGAAAGAGAAAAACATCCACAGGTTAGAAAAAGAGGCCATACTAAAAAATCTAGACTTATCAAAAACTAAAGATGTATCTTCTTCACTTCCCACAAACAACCCGCTATACTTTCACATGGACTGATTAGATTTCATAGAAACTTGTGTTTCAGGAAAACATCACAGCTAACACAGTATGTCCACCATAGAATCCTCTAGGGCAGACAGACTCCTAGAGATGGGTACATGTTCATAACCAAGAATGCGTCCAGTGAGAATAAGGAGCAAGACTCCCTTCCCACTCATACCTTTTGTACAGATACAAGGAAAAGGCCCACATCTCAGACATTTCAAATACATCAAAGCTCTTAGAATGTTCTTGTTCTGGTCTCCTCTTCAAAGTTGTTGGGGCCAGGCGCGGTGGCTCACGCCTGTAATCCCAGCACTTTGGGAGGCCCAAGTGCGTGAATCACCTGAGGTCAGGAGTTCGAGACCAGCCTGGCCAACACAGTGAACCCCTGTCTCTACTAAAGAAATACAAAAAATTAGCCGGGCGTGGTGGCGGGCACCTGTAATCCCAGCTACTCAGGAGGCTGAGGCAGGAGAATTGCTTGAACCCGGGAGGCAGAGGCTGCAGTGAGCCCAGATCACGCCACTGCACTCCAGTCTGGGCGACAGAGCAAGACTCCGTCTGGGGTGGGGTGGGGGTGGAGTAGTTGGGACTGTTTGCTGTGTTGCAGGGCAGGGCGTGGGGGCGGGGGAGGAATTCCCAGTTCGTTTGTTCTAACAATCCTCGGAGAGTGGAAGTCCACCCGCCCACCTGGCCTCTCCACCTTTCCATCCAAGAGAAGTGGGCACGCACACACCGGCGAGGAACTTCCCAAAGAAGCATCCAAGTGTTTGGGGGAATCTTTTAATTTCCTCCTCACATCCCAAGACAACCCAAACAGAGGCAAACTTAAGGTGTGCCGAGCTGCCAAGAGAAGCTCTAGAACTGAGGAATGCGGACTCGGCGTCTCCCGACCGCGATCCCAGCCTGCACTACAGTATCGGAACACTCCCTGACAGCCTAGCCCACTCAAAGCCGCCCCTCACTCTGCAGCCCCTCCACCACCAAGCACCGGGGCCCTCCCATTTCTTGCCATGCCGCCCCCTCTTCCCAACGGCCCGCTCCCCATCACCGGGCTCACATTGTGTGCCGCGCGGCAGCCGCCGCCCGGCAGCCGTCTAACTGCTTCCCTCGACCCCTTCCCAAGGCGAAGCCCCGTGTCACCCCGCAGCCAGGCAGACGAGCGGGCGGGACATGGGGGCGGGGCGAGAGGCCGGGAGGAGCAGGGGGCGGGGCTGCCCCCTGGGCTAATCATTTCGGCCGCTGAGGATTTACCCAGCCGTTGGGCGGCAGCTGTTCAATGGTCGCGTAGGCTGGGGATGGGCGGGGTGACCTGAAGCCCCGCCCCAGCATACCTGCGCAGCCGCAGTCGACAGGCTCTGGCTGCCCATCCCTTGGCGGGCGCCGGCCGCGGCACTGAAACGAGCCTTCCCTCAGCTGGACATGGAGGAGGGCTGACGTGCTGACGTCTACGCCCGCCCCGCTTTTCGCTGATGGCGTCATTTCCGTGAGTCATCTGAGGGCGTGAGACCCTACGGTGTTAAAGGGGATTTTGTTTCACTTATTTGTAGAACCGGGATTGGTTCTGGGAATTTAGAGTAATGTAAAAAGACAAAACACACACAGACACCCCCCAAAAACTCCTCTTTTCCTTTTGTGCCTGCTTTCGTCGTCACCGAGTGTCATATCCAAAGGGCTTATTTTACCACCACTAAAGACTTCGAAAGGGTTTTTCTTTTTCAGAAAAGAAGCAAAAGGCTTTACTAACTATAGACAACTTTCAGAGAGATTTGGTTTTTGTATAAGGAAAGAAAAACGCGTAAGATAACTCACCTTTGTTAAACATTTCCACAACTTTTTATTGTGAAAGATTTCAAGTATATTCTAAAGTAAACTAGTATAACGAAACCCTGTATACCGTCACCCAACTTCAAAAATGATCAACTAATGTCCCATCTTGTTTCATTTGTAACAAGGATCCACAAATTGCCTGTGAAGAGCCAGAGACGAGGCGCAGTGGCTATCGCCTGTAATTCCAGAATTTTGGGAGGTCTAGGCGGGCGAATCCCTTGAACCCAGGAGATCAGCCTGGGCAACAGAATGAGACCCTGTCTCTGCAAAAGAAATTTTAATTAGCTTGGCGTGGTGGTGCACGCCTGTAGTTCCAGCTACTTAGAAGCTAAGGTGGGAGAATCGCTTGAACCTGGGAGTGAAGGTTGCAGTGAGCTCCGATGGCGCCACTGTACTCCAGCCTGGGCGACAGAGCGAGACACTGTCTCAAAAAATAAAAATAAAATAAAAAGAGCCAGACAATAAATGTTATAGGCTTTGCAGTCCATTCTGGTTGCAACTTGCTTAACGAAAATCAAAAGAACAATATTTTGAGATGTGAAAATTAGACGAAATTCAAATTCAAGTTTCAGTGTCCTAAAATTTTAGTGGAACACAACCATGCCCATTCCTTTAGTATTGCCTATAGCTGCTTTCACTCTACCATGGCAGAATTGAGAGTAGTTGCTTGCAAATTACACCTTCAATTTTTTATCCTGAAATTACATTTTACATTCAGCATTTCTCCTTGGTTGTCCATTAGGCATGTGAAATTTATATGTCAAAATTTTGGGGGGAAAATATGCTTTTCCTTTGGGATACCCTATTTTAGTACTTAGCAACTCTATTCTTGTACTTGCTCAGTACAAGAACCTAGGAAGTGTGCTTGCTGTCTTCCTCATGTACTTCACTTCCAATCTAATCTTTTCAGCTATATCTCCAAAATATACCTAACCATCTCTCCACACTTTCTTCCTTAAATGGATGGTGGTATAGTAGTAGTAACCACTATCTTTATTTCTTTTCCCTTTTTTTTTTTTAAATTAGAGGCAGGGGCTTCGTATGTCGCCCAGGCTGGTCTCGAACTCCTTGGCTCAAGGGAGCCTCCTGCCTCGGCCTTCTGAAGTGCTGGGACTCCAGGCGTCAGCCATTGCACCTAGCCGTGGCTACTGTCTTTAAAATGGTTTAAGTTATACAAAATACTTTCTAGTTTATTGTAATAGCCTTCCAACTTGTTTCCCTGACTCTGCCCGTGACTCTACCCCAAATCCGTGGATTATTCTCAACATAGCAAACACAGAGATCTTTTAACATGGAAGTAAGATGTCACTTCTCTGCTAAAAAGCCTCCAATGGCTTCCCATTCCACTTTAAAAGGCCTGCAAGGACCTACTTCATTTTCCTCCAACATTTTCCTCTCTGACTTCTCTAACTATTCTGGCCTTTCTTACCTTACTTGAGACATGACTTCTTTGCTGCTTTTCAAAGGCACAAAGCACACTCCAGCCTCAGGGATTTTCACATGCTAACCCTTCTACCTGGACATCTCTTTCCCCAGATGTCTGCACAAAATCTTTTTCTTTTTTTTTTTTGTTTTGAGACAGAGTCTCACTCTGTCACCTAGGCTGGAGTGCAGTGGTGTGATCTCGGCTCACTGCAACCTCCACCTCCCAGGTTCAAGCAATTCTCCTGCTTCAGCCTCCTGAGTAGCTGGGATTACAGGCGCCCACCACCACGCCTGGCTAATTTTTGTATTTTTAGTAGAGATGGGGTTTCACCATGTTGGCCAGGCTGGTCTCAAACTCCTGACCTCAGGTGATCTACCAGCCTTGGCCTCCCAAAGTGCTGGGATTACAGGTGTGAGCCACTGTGCCCGGGCTGCACAAAATCTTTAAGAACCACCTTATCCAGGCTGGGTGTAGTGGCACACACCTGTAATCCCAGCACTTCGGGAGGTTAAGGCAGGATTGCTTGAGGCCGGGAGTTCGAAACCAGACTGAGCACCACAGTGAGACCCCCACCTCTATAAAAAAATTAAGAAAAAAATTAGCCCAGTGTGGTGGTACTTGCCTGCAGCCCTACCTACTTGGGAGGCTGAGGCATGAGGATCACTTGAGATTAGTTCAAGGCTGCAGTGAGCTATGATCATGTCACTGCACTGCAGCTCGGGCAAAAGAGCAAGACCCTGTCTCTAAAAAAGTGAAATAAAATGAAAAGAATCACTGTATCCGTGAAGCATTCCTTGACCCTTCTTGCCAAAATAGCAACGTCTCTTCCTTCTCTTTCACTGTAGCACGTATCAGCTGATATTAATATATCATTTGTTTGTCCAGTGTGTGTTCCCCCTAATAAAATGTAAGCACCATGAAAACAGGGACTTGTTCACTGCTATATCTTCAGGTTCTTGAACAGTTCTGGAACACACAGTAGGAATTCAATAAATATTTCCAGACTAATATGAATGAAAGAAATTAGCTTTTTCACCATATGCCTCTATATCCTGAATCCATCCAGTTTTTCTATAAACTGTTAATTTACAGCATGTTGGACTCTTCAAAAGACTAGCACTATAAAACATAATTTGTAAACTAGAGCAAAAAGTAATAAATGTGTTGTCTATAAACAAAAGTTGATAATATGGTACAACTTGCTTCTCAAACTTTCACGTGCATACTGATAACCTGAGGATCTTGTTAAAATGCTGATTTTGATTTCGTAGGGCTGGGATTCAGTGGGTCAGCAGTCTATTAAGCTCCCAACCGATGCTAGTGCTGCTAATTCACAACCACACTTTGAAAGTTTCCTACAGTTAATACAGAATGCATTTGGTTGGTTTTGGAGGCAGTACTGATAGATTTGCATGGATTCATCCATCTATTCTTATTTTCTTCCCCTTGGGTCTGACTGGTGACACAGATTTGTAGAGGTATAATCTGTGGCTGTGACACAAAACCAAACCAATTGCTGCATATAGGCATTGAATCTCCAAGCATGACATTATTGCAGTTACAGCTAGAAAGACAGAAATACATTGTCTAAGATGCCACATGACAGTCCCTACTGGGACTCAAATGATAGCAGTATTTTGCTTTGGTGTCTATCATAGAGGCAGTCCTCAGCTTTGCCAGCAAATAGGAAGATTCCAGAGGACTGACCCTTAATAAACACACAAAGAACTAAAACATGTAACCTGTGTGTCCCTTCTTTCTGTCTCCTAGGAGATCTCAAGCTATGCATTGACAAGGAGAAACTCAGAAAACTTACCCGTATTGTCTCTAGGAGTCTACTAGTTGATTCTCTTTTCCGTATGATAATTCAACTAAGGCTGGTGCCCATCAAACTTCTGTGAACCAGGATTACCCCAGTTTAATATCTTCTTTCCCTTTTCCCTTAGACAAAATACCCAATGGATATTAGTAGAGAATTAAGTAGTTATTTTTCTGAAGGGTGCAAATGTTCCCTAAAGCTACAGAGAGTAAGGGGAGATGAGGAGTTATGCCTTTGTTTAGATAATTCTTTCCTTTGTACCACATACAAGGCAATAATTACAACACCACACTGCATGGGTTTAATAAGATGTCCCTCCTGGATAATCCCTAGTTTCTTGGTTCTCAGTTCGCCTGTGTCTCTTCCCCATAGTCCTGTCTTTAAACCATTCCCCTCTATAATGTCCGCATTATACTCACAGAATAAGAAAGGGTGGATCCCAGCCCCTTCTTAAGCCTGGCAAATTCTGCCGCATTTAGGTAACATCTAGGTGTCAGCTAGATGCCAACATTATTCCTCTGTTGAGGCTTCTGATGGCTCCCAGGAGTGGGGATAAGCTTTGGTTTCATGAGTGAGCCCCTCAACAACATTGAGATGTTTCTCTACCAATGAAACTACAGCTACTTTTTCTCCCAGTGTACCTTAAGATAAACACATTTACCGCCTTCAGAACATTTTCTTTCATAAGACTATATGACCCAGCAGCTTCTAAAATAGCCTGTCCTTTTATGTTAAAAGTATATATGTGGCCTGATTTTCATGAAAAAGGCCTCCACATTAATTTAAATGGTCTTGCACTCAGCGTCTCAGTTTATGTCAGAGCTATGAGTTTCAGTTCATCTCACCAGATATAACCTTAGAATGCCACTAAATTTATTAACAATGAAAAAATATACCTGCCAGCCGGGCATGGTGGCTTATGCCTGTAATCCCAGTACTTTGGGAGGCCGAGGCAGGTGGATCACTTGAGGACAGGGGTTCAAGACCAGCCTGGTCAACACGGTGAAACTCCATCTCTACTAAAAATACAAAAATTAGCCAGGCATGGTGGTGCACGCCTGTAAAATCCAGCTACTTGGGAGGCTGAAGCACGAGAATCTCTTGAACCCAGGAGGCAGAGGTTGCAGTGAGCCAAGAACTTGCCGCTACACTCCAGCCTGGTGACAGAGCAAGACTCTGTCTAAAAAAAAAAAAAAACAAAAAAAACAAAAAACCCTGGCAAGGCAATTGGACTATTCATATCTCTTGGTCAGGGCATTATCTCCCCATAGAAAAAAATGTATAGGGAAGTAAATTATATTCTCAGGGTTGCTTTTTCATCATGAGTCATAACAAGTACAACTAATTGGATTAATGTGATGGTAGTATCATCTTTTATAATAGCTTTCATGCAGCCATTTCCACTATGTGCAACCTGCCAATCGGAGCAGATACTTGGTTCTGCTAGATAGAGCAGTTTCCCTTGGGCAGATCTGGAGACATATGGTCAAGTTTTTGTTCTTTGACATTCCTTTCCTAAATCCCATCGAAGCTCTTTCTCTTCTATCCACACTTTCACACTTTTTTAGCTAGCCTGTCTATATGCATTCAGATTTTCTGATCTTTTCTAAAAAACACCTTTGGTTTTGCTGATTACCTTTATTAATTTCTTTTTTCAATTTCATTTATTTCTGCTCTAATTTTTGTTATTTCTTTTCTTCTGCTTACTTTGGATTTAATTTGCTCTTCTTTTTCTAGTTTCCTACAGTAGAAGCTTACTGACTTTAGATCTTTTTTTTTCTAATATTCAATGCTACAAAATTCCCTCTTGTTTTGGCTACATTCCTCAAATTTTCATCAGTTGTATTTTCATTTTCATTTATTTTAAAATATATTAAAATATCTCTTGAGTATCGGGGAACCTGCCCCCAATAGTCACATAGGTTCTTTTCTGTTTTCCCTAAGCGTCGGCCAGGTTGAGAAATAAAGGGACAGAGTACAAAAGAGGGAAATTTTAAAGCCGGGCATCCGGGGGAGACATCACATGTCGGTAGGTTCTGTGATGCCCCTGAGCCGTAAAACCAGCAAGTTTTTATTAGGGATTTTCAAAAGGGGAGGGAGTGTACGAATAGGGTGTGGGTCACAGAGATCACATACTTCACAAGGTAATAGAGTATCACAAGGCAAATGGAGGCAGGGCGAGATCACAGGACCATAGGACTGGGGCGAAATTAAAATTGCTAATGAAGTTTCGGGCACCATTGTCATTGATAACATCTTATCAGGAGACAGGGTTTGAGAGCAACCGGTCTGACCAAAATTTATTAGGCGGGAATTTCCTCGTCCTAATAAGCCTGGGAGCACTATGGGAGACTGGGGCTTATTTCATCCCTACAGTCTTGAACATAGAAAACGGCCACACCGAAGGGGGCCATTTTAGAGGCCCACCCTCAGGGGCGCATTCTCCTTCTCAGGGATGTTCCTTGCTGAGAAAAAGAATTCAGTGATATTTCTCCCATTTGCTTTTGAAAGAAGAGAAATATGGCTCTGTTCCGCCCGGCTCACTGGCAGTCAGAGTTTAAGGTTATCTCTCTTGTTCCCTGAACATTGCTGTCATCCTGTTCTTTTTTCAAGGTGCCCAGATTTCATATTGTTCAAACACACATGCTCTACAATTTGTGCAATTACTGCAATCATCACAGGGTCCTGAGGTGACGTACATCCTCCTCAGTTTACGAGATGACAGGATTAAGAGATTAAAGTAAAGACAGGCATAGGAAATCACAAGGTTATTGATTGGGGAAGTGATGTGTCCATGAAATCCTCACAATTTATGTTTAGAGATTGCAGTAAAGACAGGCATAAAAAATTATAAAAGTATTAATTTGGGGAACTAATAAATGTCCATGAAATCTTCACAATCCACATTCTTCTGCCATGGCTTCAGCCGGTCCCTCCGTTCGGGGTCCCTGACTTCCCACAACACTTGAGGTTTCTTATTTGACCCATGTATTATTTAAAAGTATGTTGTGTCAGCTGGGTGCAGTGGCTCACACCTGTAATCCCAGCACTTTGGGAGGCTGAGGGGGGTGGATCACTTGAGGTCAGGAGTTTCAAACCAGCCTGGCAAATATGGTGAAACCCTATCTCTACTAAAAAATACAAAAATTAGCCAGGTGTGGTAGCACACGCCTGTAGTCCCAGCTATTCGGGAGGCTGAGGCACAAGAATCTCTTAAACTCAGGAGGCGGAGGTTGCAGTGAGCTGAGATCACCCTATTGCACTCCAGCCTGGGGGACAGAGCAAGACTCCGTCTCAAAAACAAACAAAAAAAGGCTGGGCATGGTGGCTCATGCCTATCATTCCAGCACTTTGGGAAGCCGTGGCGGGCAGATCACGAGGTCAAGAGTTCGAGACCAGTCTGGCCAACATAGTGAAACCCCGTCTCTACTAAAAATACAAAAAGCCAGTGTGGTGGTGTGCGCCTGTAATCCCAGCTACTTGGGAGGCTGAGGCAGGAGACTCTCATGAACCCGGGAGGCGGAGGTTGCAGTGAGCCGAATTCGCACCACTGTACTTTGGCCCAGGTGATAGTGAGAGACTCCATTTCAAAAAAAAAAAAAAAAGTGTTTTGTAATCTCCCAAGTATTTTGGGATTTTCCAGTTATCTTTCTGTTATGGATTTTTAGCTTAATTCTATTGAAGTCTGAGAGCAGACATTATATGACATATATTCTTCTAAATTTGTTAAGATATGTATTATGGGCCAGGCGCAGGCTCACACCTGTAATCCCAACATTTTGGGAGGCCGAGGCAGATGGATCCCCTGAGGTCAGGAGTTCGAGACCAGCCTGGCCAACATGGTGAAACCCCATGTGTACTAAAAATACAAAAAATTAGCTGGGCATGGTGGCAGGTGCCTGTAATCCCAGCTACTCGGGAGGCTGAGGCAGGAGGATCGCTTAAACCCAGGAGGTGAAGGTTGCCATCAGCTGAGGTCACATGCCATTGCACTCCAGCCTGGGCAAGAAGAACGAAACTCTTGTCTCAAAAAAAAAGAAAAAAAAAGATGTGTATTATGGCCCACAATGTGGTCTAGCTTGGTGAATAGCCCTTGTGAGCTTAAGAATGTGTATTCTGCTGTTGTTGGATAAGTAGTCGACAGATGTCGATGTTACTGTTCAATTCAACTATGTCCTTATGTCTGCTTGATGGATCTGTCCGTTTATATAATAGAGGGGTACTTAAGTCTCCAACTATAATAGTGGATTCATCCATTTCTCCTTGGAGTTCTATCAGTTTTTGCCTCACATATTTTGATATCTGTTGTTAGGGAAATATGTGTTAAGGATTGTTATGTCTTCTTGGAGAAATGACCCCTTTATCATTATGTAATGGTCCTCTTTATCACTGATAACTTTCCTTGTTCTGAAGTCTGCTCTGTCTGAAATTAATATGTTTACTTCCTCTTTCTTTTGATTAGTATTAACGTGGTATGTTTTTCTTTACCCATTTACTTTTAATCTATATGTGTTTTTATATTTAAAGTGGGTTTCTTGTAGATAATATATAATTGGGTCTTGTTTTTTGATCCATTATGTCTTTTAAATGACATATTTAGACCATTAACATATAAAGTGATTATTGACATAGTTGGATTGATGTATACCATATTCATTACTGTTTCCTATACATTGTACTTATTCTTTGTTCCTATTTTTGTCTTTCACTCTTTTTCTGCCTTTTACATATATATATATTTTTTTTTTAAATTTTTTTTTTTGAGACAGGGTCTTTGTTGCATAGGCTGGAATGCAGTGGCATGATCATGGCTCACTGCAATCTCAAACTCCTTGGCTCGAGTGATCTGCCCACCTCCACCTCCCAGGTATTTGGCACTGCAGGCACACTCCACCATGCCCAGTTAACTTTTGTATTTTTTGTAGAGACAGGGTCTTGCTATGTTGCTCAGGCTGGTCTTGAACTCCTGGATTCAAATGACCCTCCCACCTTGGCCTCCCAAAGTGGTGGGATTATAGGCATGAGCCATGGCACTCGGCCAGTGCCTTTTAAAATCTTAATTATTTAATATGATTCCATTTCCTCTACTTTTGTAGCATATCAGTTTTACCTTTTTTTTTTTTTTTGAGACGGAGTTTTGCTCTTGTCACCCAGGCTGGAGTGTGGTGGCGCGATCTCGGCTCACTGCAACCTCTGCCTCCCAGGTTCAAACAATTCTGCTTCAGCCTCCCAAGTAGCTGGGATTACAGGCGCCCACCACAATGCCCAGCTAATTTTTGTATTTTTAGTAGAGATGGGGTTTCCCCATGTTGGCCAGGCTGGTCTCGAACTCCTGACCTTAGGTGATCCACCCACCTTGGCCTCCCAAAGTGCTGGGATTACAGGTGTGAGCCACTGTGCCCGGCCCAGTTTTACTCTTTTTTTTTTTTCCTACCTTATTTAGTGGTTGTCCTAGAGTTTGCAGTATACATTTACAACTACTCCAAGTTCACTTTCCAATAGCACTATACCAATTCACAGATATTGCAAGAACCTTATCACAAAACATTCCTAATCATTCCTAATTCCTCTCTCCTGTTCCTTATGTCATTTCTGCCATTCACTTACACCTAAGCAATTGTGTGTATACACACACACACAATTACATTGTTGCCTAGTATTATTTTGAACAAACTGTTGTCTGTTAGATTAACTGAGAATAAGAAAAATAAGAGTTTATATTTTATATTCACTTATTATTTCTCTGATGCTCTTCATTTATTTATGCAGAGAGTTTCTGACCTATGTGTCATTTTCCTTCTTTCTCAAGAAGTTCTTTTAATTATTTCTTATAAGGAAGGTCTGTTGGCAACAAATTCCCTCAAATATTGTTCTGTTCATCTGAGAAAGTCTTTGTGTTTCACTTTTATATGATAATCTTATGGGATACAGAATTCTAGGCTGGTGTTTTTTTTTTTTCTCTCAATATGTTAAATGTTTTACTCCACTGTCTTCTTGATTGCATGATTTCTGATGAGAAGTTGGATATAATCCTTATCTTGCTCCTGCATAGAAAGCTGTTTGTTTTCCTCTGGCTTCCTTCAGGATTTTCTCTTTATCTTTGATTTTCTGTAATTTGAAAATGATAGCCTAGGTGTAGTTTTTTTAAACCACTTATCCTGCTTGGTGTTCTCTGTGCTTTCTGGATCTCTGGTTTGGTGTCTATTGCCAATTTGGGAAGATTCTCTGTCACTGTTGCTTGAAATATGCTTCGCTTCCTTTTTTTTCCTTCTGGTATTCCTATCACACACATTTATACCTTTTGTAGTTATTCCACAGTTCTTGGATGTTCTGAATCATTTTATTCTGTCTTTTTTCTCTTTGCTTTTCCATTTTGGAGGTTTCTATTGACATATTCTCAAACTCAGAAATGTTCTCTTAGCCATGTCCAGTTTACTAATGAGCTCATCTTCATTCAGTCTACTAAGGAGGATTCTTCATTTCTGTTATAGTGTTTTTGATCTGTAGCATTTTAAAAATTCTTTCTTAGAATTTACATCTCTGCTTACATTGCCCATCCGTTCTTGCATGCTGTCTGCTTTATCCATTAGAGCCCTTAGCATATTAATCATAGTTGTTTTAAATTCTCAGTCTGGTAATTTCAACATGCCTGTCTTATATGAATTTGGTTCTGATCTTTGCCTTATGTCTTCAGGTTGTTTTTTGCCTTTTAGGATGCTTTGTAATAATTTTTTCTTTTCTTTTTTTTGAGATGGAGTCTCACTCTGTAACCCAGGCTGGAGTGTAATGGCACAATCTTGGCTCACCGCAACCTCCGCCTCCCGTGCTCAAGCAATTCTCCTGCCTCAGCCTCCCGAGTAGTTGGGATTACAGGCACGTGCCACCGCACCCGGCTAATTTTTGTTTTTGTTTTTGTTTTTCAGTAGAGACAGGGTTTCACCATGTTGCCCAGGCTGGTCTCCAACTCCTGACCTCAGGTGATCCACCCACCTCTGCTGGGATTATAGGCGTGAGCCACTGGGCCCGGCCTGTAATTTTTTCTTGATAGCTGAACATGATGTACTAGGTAAACGGAACTGCAGTAAATAGGACTTTAGTAATGCAGTGGTAAAATGTGGAGGAAAGGGAGGCTTCCTATAGTCCTGTGATTAGATCTCAGTCTTTTAGTGAGCCTGTGCCTCTGAACTGTGCTTTTCAGTTTTTCCCCACCTTAGCTGGTACAGGATGATTAGTATGTGCTGCGGTTATTTCCCTTCTCCCATGTGGACGTCTAGAGCTGAATGGAGTTGGGTATCTCCCTTCGCCTAAGACGGTTAGGCTCTGGTAAGACAGTATCTCTTGAGGGCAGGCCTTGTTAAGAAAAATAGAATGGCTGGGTGTAGTGGCTCACACCTGTAATCATAGCACTTTTGGAGACCAAGGCGGGAGGATTACTTGAGCCCAGGAATTTCAGACCAGTTTGCGCAACATAGTGAGACACTGTCTCTATAAAAAAAAAAAAAAAGAAAGAAAGAAAAGAAAAAAAAAAGGCCAGGCGCGGTAGCTCACGCCTGTAATCCCAGCACTTTGGGAGGCCGGGGTGGGCGGATCTCCTGAGGTTAGGAGTTCGAGACCAGCCTGACCAACATGGTGAAACCCGTCTCTACTAAAAATACAAAATTAGCCTGGCATGGTGCTGCATGCCTGTAATCCCAGCCACTTGGGAGGCTGCGGCAGGAGAATCGCTTGAACCTGGGAGGTGGAGGTTGCAGTGAGCTGAGATCGCGCCATTGCACTCCAGCCTGGGCAACAAGAATGAAACTCCATCTCAAAAAACAAAAACAAAAACAGAATGCCCTGGGTTTTTTCTGTGTGTGTGTTTTGTTTGTTTGTTTTGTTTTTAGATGGAGTTTTGCTCTTGTTGCCCAGGCTGGAGTTCAGTGGGGTGATCTTGGCTCACTGCAACCTCCACCTCCTGGGTTCAAGCGATTCTCTTGCCTCAGCCTCCCAGTGCCTGGGATTATAGGAACCTGTTACCACACCTGGCTAATTTTGTATTTTTAGTAGACCGGGTTTCACCATGTTGGTCAGGCTGGTCTCGAACTCCTGACCTCAAGTGATCCACCTGCCTCGGCCTCCCAGAGTGCTGGGATTACAGGTGTGAGCCACCGCACCTGGCTGCCCTGGTTATTTTTAAGTGGGTCCTTTTTTTTCCTTCTACCTGCTGAAAACAAGGGGGAATTTTCCTGTAATAATTACCATAAGAACCTGGTCAAGTTCCTACAGGTAAAACTCACAGGAGTGTTGTGGCTTGCTCCATAACTAGCCCTCCCTCCCCCAAGAGCTTTTTACTCTCAGGCATGTCCACTCTGAGCCTCCAATAATTTGTCAGTTGCAGTTCAGGTTTGCCTGCCCTCATTCCAGTTCCTGTGGAGATTTATGCTCTCTCTCTATTTTTTTATGCTCTCTGTATTTTTACTCTCTCTCTCTCTCTCTCTCCAATTTTGGTGGCAAGGGTTTACCCTGTGACTTCATTTCTCTGGTGGATCTAGGAAGAATTGTTGATTTCTCCATTTGTTCAGCTTTTTATTTATTGGGATAGAGTCTTCCAAGCTCCTGGACACCAGAATTGCTGTCCATATGATACCACACAGTTGTCTAAGCTACAATGTCAGACATGCTCATGAAAACACTGTGATTATGATTACATTGACTGGAATGTGGGTGTTATCAGAACTCCTCAGTTACCCATTTACAGACTCTTTTATTAAAGTAGATTGTGAAGCCAGGTGTGGTGGCTCATGCCTGTCATCTCAATACTTTGGGAAGCGGAGGTGGGAGTCTCACTTGAGGCTGGGAGTTTGAGACCAGCCTGGCCAACATAGCAAGACTCTGCCCCTACGAAATAATAAAAAAATTAGCCAGGCATGGTGGCTTATTCCTGTAGTCCCAGCTACTTGGGAGGCTGAAGCAGGAGGATTGTTTGAACCCAGGTATTTGAGGCTGCAGTAATCCCTGATCATGCCACTGTACTCTATCCTGGGCAACATAGTGAGACTCTGTCTCAAAAAAACTAAAACTAAAATAGATTATGTATTCTTCTGTAGAATCACAGAGCTAAACAACTGAAAGTTACTGTAGAGATCATGTAATTTAGTGGCCCAATTTTAAATATTAAAAAATCAAGGCCTGAATCTGAATCTAACCAAGTCTCTAGACCAGTGCTGTCTGATAGAACTTTCTGCAGTGAAGGAAATGTTCCACATCTGTGCTGTTCAGTACAGTAGGCACTAGCCATATATAGCTATTAAACAATCGAAATGTGGCTTTTGCAACCAAGAAATAAATTTTTTGTTTTATTTAATTTTAATGTACATAGCCACATGAGGTTAATGGTTACTGTATTGGACAGTGAAACTCCAGAGCTAATTTGCATTGTAGAAAACACAGGGGATAGAGGATGGGGAGAGTTGAGAGATACCACCAAGTAATTCATATGCTTAGGAAAGCTTTCCAGTGGAGAGTGTATCTGAGCTAGGTCTTGAAGGAATGTTAGAATTCCAGTGTCCAGAAAGAAATAATAATTCTGAAAAGAGAATGCCTTGGGTAAAAGCTTGACTCCTGAGAAAATTCTCTTCTGTGTTTTGAGAAAACCATAATTTACTTGATGAGTCTATCTGGGGTAGAAGTAGCAAGGCAATCAGCTTGGTTGCAACCAACTCAGCATGGGTCCCTGAATACAGCTCAGTAATTTACATTTCACTTTGTGTAAAATTAAAGTTTTTAGGCAGGGATGTAATAAGATTAAGAATATATTTACTGTACTAGACCTTCTGATATCTTCCCCAGGGCAACATGTAACCATGCGTGTGTGCGCATGCACGCACGCACACACACACACACACACACACACGCACACACATAGAATACAGTAATTAAAATTAAGTTGAAACATGAAAGAAAACCACTTCACTTTCATTTGTAATAAACTTCCCATGCTGGCTGGGAAGTTAATTGAAAGTTAGGACTTCCACATTCTACAGTAGGAAAAATTCTTTAATCAAGAGAAAAAAATGAATTACTGGAAATTCTTGTTTAAAAATTAGCATTTTCTCATTTTAAATTCTTCTTTCCAAATGTGAAGAAAAGAAAAATTTGAGACTAGGGACATTTGTTCTCTTAAGAAAGCAGCTTTCAGCTGGGCGCGATGCTCACGCCTGTAATCCCAGCACTTTGGGAGGCCAAGGTAGGCAGATCACGAGGTCAAGAGATGGAGACCATCCTGGCCAACATGGTGAAACCTCATCTCTACTAAAAAAAAAAAAAAAAAAAAAAAAAAATAGCTGGGCGTGGTAGCGCACACCTGTAGTCCCAGCTGCTCAGGAGACTGAGGCAGGAGAATAGCTTGAACCCAGGAGGTGGAGGTTGCAGTGAGCCAAGATCGCACCACTGCACTCTAGCCTGGCATCAGAGCAAGACTCTGTCTCAAAAAAATAAATAAATAAATAAATAAAATTAAAATGAATTTAAAAAAAAAGCAGCTTTCTTGAAGTTCAACCATTCTAGTTCAAATTTAAGTTAATTGATATCTGAGATCTCTTGTTATGCATCAAGGAACATTTTTTTCCTTTCAGTATTATAATACTAAGATAATTAAAAAGAAAAAAAAACCCTGTTTAAAAAAAAAACACAAAAAAACCTTCGTGTAATTTCTACCACCGTACCTGCTCATCTCAATTAGTTTTTCCCTTTGCTTTCCATAGTAAGAGCAAATAATGCACATTATTTCTTGACATTAATCTATCAGCATTCCTAGGAATTACATCTGGCACTGTGTTTTCTTTCTTTCTTTTTTTTTTTTTGAGACAGAGTTTTGCTCTGTTGCCCAGGCTGGAGTCAGTGGTGCGATCTCAGCTCACTGCAACCTCCACCTCCCGGGTTCAAGCGATTCTCTGCCTCAGCCTCCCAAGTAGCTGGGACTACAGGCGCGCGCACCACCATGCCCAGCTAATTTTTTTGTATTTTTTAGTAGAGATGGAGTTTCACCATATTGGCCAGCCTAGTCTCAAACTCCTGACCTCAGGTGATCCACCCGCCTCAGCCTCCCAAAGTGCTGGGATTACAGGTGTGAGCCACCGAGCCCAGCCCCTAGTTTTTTAGATACTTGTTTTGACTTGTATATTCATTTGATTTATCAGGTAAGATAGTATCAGGTAAATATCTCCTTTTAGTTTTTCTGTTTGAGTAATAAAGCAATTAACAATTATCAATTTATTTGGAATTAAAATTACGAGATTTAGAATTTCTGTGGCAAATGGCTGTAACTATGACTCAGGGCTTTTTCATACTACATCAAAATTTTAACAGTAATAAAATAGGTAACACTTTTTTAAAAAGAATAGATCTGAGATCTAGTAGTTCCTACTTAAATTGACAGTTTGACACATATTAAGGCGGTCAACAGTGATTAAAATAGTAAATGTGCCACAATTTTTAAAAGACATCTCTGAACAAAGTTACATATTTTATTTCTTGTATTTTAGAGCCAGGATCTTGCTCTGTTGCTCAGGCTGAAGTGCAGTGACAGGATCACACCTCACTGCCATCACACCCAGCTGATTTTTAATTTTTTTCTAGAGATGGGGTCTTGCTATGGTTGCCTAGGCTGGTCTCAAACTCCTGGCCTCAAGCAATCCTCCTGCCTCAGCCTCCCAAAATGCTGGGATTACAGGCATTAGCCACCACACCTGGCCTCCTATTTTATTATAATGGATTTAACGTAGGGGAAAAGATCTTTGTTTATTATTACATTCCCATATTTATTTTCTGCCAAAAGGACCATTAGATTTTGTTTATCATATGATTCATCACCATAAACTAGATTAGTAGGTCAAGAAGATTATGGTTTTTCAGCTGTGAATAATCAGATGAAAAATGGTGCCCTAAAGAAATAACAAATGGGGCCAGGTGCAGTGGCTCACACCTATAATCCCAGCACTTTGGGAGGCCAAGGCGGGCAGATCACGAGGTCAGATCGAGACAATCCTGGCCAACATGGTGAAACCCCGTCTCTACTAAAAAAAAATACAAAAAATTAGCCAGGTGTGGTGGCGCGCTCCTGTAGTCCCAGCTACTCAGGAGGCTGAGGCAGGAGAATCGTTTGAACCCGGGAGGCAGAGGCTGCAGTGAGCTGAGATCGCGCCACTGCCCTCCAGCCTGGGTGACAGAACGAGACTCTGTCTCAAAAAAAAAAAAAAAAGAAAGAAATAACAAATGAGGCTGTGGAGAAAAGAGAATGCTTATACACTGTTGGTAGGAATGTAAACTAGTTCAGCCACTGTGGAGAACTGTTTGGAGATTTCTCAAAGAACTTAAAACAGAACTAACATTCAACCCAGCAATTCCATTACTGGGCATCTATTCAAAAGAAAATAAATCGTTCTACCAAAAAGACACATGCACCCATTATGTTCACCGCAGCACTACTTACAATAGCAAAGACATGCCCATCACGGTGGACTGGATAAAGAAAATGTGGTACATATATACAATGGAATACTACATAGCCATAAAAAAGAAGGAAATCATGTCCTTTGTAGCAACATGGATGCAGCTGGACACCATTATCCTAAGTGAATTAACATAGAACACCAAATAATGCATGTTGTCATTTATAAGTGGGAGCTAAACATTGGGTACTCGTTGACATAAAGATGGCAACAATAGACACTGGAGTCTACTAGAGTGGGGAGGGTGGGATAGGGGAAAATGCTGAAAAACTATTGGGAACTATGCTCACTTCCTGTGGGACCAGATCATTCGTATCCCAAACCTCAGTATCACTCGATATACCTACGTAACAAACTGCACTTGTACCACCTGAATCTGAAATAAAAGTTGAGGGCAGGCCTTGGTGGCTCAAGCCTGTCATCCCAGCACTTTGGGAAGACAGCTTGAGTTCAGGAGTTTGAAACCAGCCTGGGCAACATAGTGAGACTCTGTCTCTACAAAAAATAAAAAATAAGAAATTTAGCTGGGTATGGTGGTACACATCTGTAGTCTCAGCTACTCAGGAAGATGAGGTGGAAGATCCCTTGAGTCCAGGAGGTAGAGGCTGCGGTGAGCGATGATCACGCCACTGGACTCCAGTCTGGGCAACAGAGTGAGAGCCTGTGTTGTAAAAAGAAAAGAAAAGTTGAAATTGTAAGAAAAATAAATATGAATGAACCAAAAGCTTGTTTCAGTGTACATTTAGAAGGAAAAGGATAGAACATTTAAGAAAAAAATTGTTTTTTTTAAACTTGTTTTTTAAGTTTCCCAATGAGAAATCAAACAGCCTCTGTAAAGGACATGTCCTTATTTGAATATTTTTTAGAAATAAAAATAACATCACAAAAGCCTAGTTTCCCAATTATATCTTTTTGTGTTTGCAGTTATCCACTCTTATCCTATTAAAAGATTTCTGATGTTATAGTGGATATTGAAAGATCACTTTATTTAGAAAAAGAGAACCACTGGGGTGGAGGTAGAATGGGGAGTTATTGTTTAATGCATAAAGAGTTTCAGTTTAGGATGAAAAAATTCAGGAAGTGGATAGTGGTGATGGTTGCACAACAGTGTGAATGTACTGAATATCAATGAACTGTATACTTAAAACTTTTTTTTTTTTTTTAGACGGCGTCTTGCTCTGTCACCCAGGCTGGAGTACAGTGGTGCAATCTCAGCTCACTGCAACCTCTGCCTCCCAGGTTCAAGCAATTCTTCTGCCTCAGCCTCCTGAGTAGCTGGGACTATAGGCACGCACCACCATGCCTGACTAATTTTTGTATTTTTTAGTAGAGATGGGGTTTCACCATATTGGCCAGCCTGGTCTCAAACTCCTGACCTCAAGTGATCCACCCACCTCAGCCTCCCAAAGTACTAGGATTACAGGTGTGAACCACTGCACCTGGCCTTAAAACTTTTTAAAACCGAATGTTTAATACATTTGTAGGGATAAAAAGAATGCAACAAGAATTAGAATTTTGTAATTACATTAGACATTTATATAGAAGATGTTTCAACAGGGCTTGGTGGCTCACCTGCGTAATCCCAGCACTTTAGGAGGTCAAGGCAGGAGGATCACTTAAGTCCAGGAGTTCCAAACCAGCCTGGGCAACATGTTGAAACCCTGCCTCTACAAAAAATATAAAAAGTAGCCAGGTGCAGTGGCATATCCAGCTACTCAAGAGGCTGAGGCAGGAGGATCACTTGAGTTGAGGAGGTAAAGGCTGTAGCGAGCTGTGTTTGTTCCACTATAGCCTGGGTGGCAAAGCAAGACACTGTCTCAAAAATTAAAAAAAAAATAAAATAAAAATAGTAAAAGTTTAATAATTACTACTCTTATGGACAAGTGGCTTCATTGTGTTAGATGGTAATTATATCTTTATGTTTCACATCATTACCACCCCCCAAAACTCCACCCTTCATTTCACTGCACAGACTCACTGCACTGTTTCACAGTAAAACTCTGCTCCACTCCAATTAGAAGAGCCCAAATAAATTAGAGCAAACAGTAGTCAAATTCATAGGCACAAATGACAGAGGACCAAAGATTTTAAAGTACTGATTTAGTAACAAGAGCATCTACTGGCACAAACCTTCTATTTAATAATATTACTAAAACAGCAATAATAGAAATGAAAGCTACCTTAATGAAAAGGGAATTCAGGAGTGAAGTCATTAAATATAACTAACAACACTTTAAATATGGATTCCATCAATTTCATGATTAGTATCAGGTAAATATCTAATCCATCAATCCTGAATTCTGGTCTCAGAGAAAAAGGTCAGAGAGGATTACAAACAAGGTGCTTCATATTATCAAGTCCTTTTTTTTTTTTTTTTTTTGAAACAGGGTCTTGCTCTGTTGCCCAGACGGAAGTGCAGTGGTGTGATCTCTGCTCACTGCAACCTTGGCCTCCTGGGCTCAAGCAATCCTCCCACCTCAGCCTCCCGAGTTACTGGGACCACAGGTGTGCCGCACTACATCCATTAATTTTTGTATTTTTTGTAGAGATGGGGTCTCATCATGCTGGCCAGGTTGGTCTCGAACTTCTGGCCTCAAGTGATCACCTGCCTTGGCTTCCCTTGATATGGTTTGGCTGTGTCCCCACCCAAATCTCATCTTGAATGGTAACTCCCACAATTCCCACATGTTGTGGGGGGAATCCAGTGGGAGGTAATTGAATCATGGGGGTGGGTCTTTCCTGAGCTATTCTCGTGATAGTAAATAAGTCTCACCAGATCTGATGGTTTAAAAAAACGGGAATTTCCTTGCACAAGCTCTCTCTTTTTGCCTGCCACCATCCAAATAAGATGTGACTTGCTCCTCCTTGCCTTCTGCCATAATTGTGAGGCCTCCCCAGGGTAAGTCCATTAAACCTCTTTTTCTTATATATTGCCTAGTTTCAGGTATGTCTTTATCAGCAGCATGAAAACGAACTAATACACTTCTGAAGTGCTGGGATTACAGGTGTGAGCCACCATGCCGGCAATCAGGTCCATTTTTAAAATGATGAAATCCTCTAGGAAAATCACTTTAGTCTTTTTATCAGAGATGTCTGTTGGCCCTTTTGTTGGTAATCCATTTATGTCTGCATCCTTATAGTCTACTTTGCCATTGGATTCCTGCATAGCTTTTCTAGGCCATAAATGATGAACAAAAGGAGAAATCAGAGAGTATGTGGATGGCTCCAGGAATTTTTTGTAGATCCAGAGCAGGGCTAGAATGATGATTCAAAGGATGCACACCACTGTCCCAGGCTTGAGCTCCTAGACATGAGAGCCCAAGCTCTCCATGTGATAAAACTACTCTCCATGTGGGAAAAAAATAGAGAAAGAAATTTGACCCCCTCTGACACTAAAGTAGAAGGCGGGACTCAACTCTGGACCAGATTGAAGACTGGCTGACACAGGGAAGAGGCGAAAACACTTCTCCATAAAACACAGCCAACAGTGCCATGACAGTTACTCATTCCATGGCAATGACCTGGAATTTACCACCCTTTTTCTAGAAATTTCTGACTAACCTGCCCCTTAATTTGCATGTAATTAAAAGTGAGTATAAATGTGACTTCAGAACTGCCCCTGAGCTGCTACTTTTCACACAATGCCTATAGGGTGGCCCTTGAATTCCTTCCTAGGCAAAGCCAAGAACCTCCCCAGGCAGAGCCCCGATTTTGGGGCCCACCTGCCATGCAAAACCATATGCAGGAAACCACTCCAAGTAGACAGTAGACCGTTAATAAGAAAGGCAAAACCGTAAAGATTTAGCAGATCATATCTGCATGATCTCTGGGTAGGAAATTTTTTTTTAATTGTAAAATACATAACATAAAATTTGCAGCCCATGCGGTAGCTTATAATTCCAACACTGTGGGAGGCTGAGGTGGGAGGATCCCTTCAGGCCGGTAGCTCAAGGACAGCCTGGGCAACATAGGGAGACCCATGTCTCTACAAACATTAAAAAAAAAATTATTGGCCAGGCGCAGTGGCTCACACCTGTAATCCCAACACTTTGGGAGGCTGAGGCAGGCAGATCACTTGAGGTCAGGAGTTCAAGCCAGCCTGGCCAACATGGTGAAACCCTGTCTCTACTAAAAATACAAAAATTAGCCAGGCGCAGGGGCAGGCGCCTGTAATTCCAGCTACTTGGGAGGCTGAGGCACGAGAGTCGCTTGAACATAGGAGATGGAGGTTGCAGTGAGCCAAGATCACGCCACTGCACTCCAGCCTAGGTGACAGAGCAAGATTCAGTCTATAAATAAATACATAATGTATTCTTCCTTATGATGCATTTTAATAGTTCATGAATTGTTAGAGTTAAATCTGGTTATAACATGGTCTATGGAATAAAAAGTCTCGGGTTCAGATCCTAGGTTCCTGGCTTTCTAGATATATGATCTTGGGCAAGGTATTTAATCTTTTTGAATTTATTTGCTTTTATATAAAATTGGGGTAATAATATTCAGGCCAGATGTGAGGATTAAGTTATAAAGCATCTGGCACTCAAAAAATGTTATCTAGCTGGGCATGGTGGCTGACACCTGTAATCCCTGCACTTTGGGAGGTCAAGGTGGGAGGATCACCTGAGGCCAGGAGTTGGATGCCAGCCTGGGCAACACAGTGAGAGACCTGTCTCTACACAAAATTTTAAAAAGCAGGTTAAGGGCCGGGCGCAGTGGCTCCTGCCTGTAATCTCAGCACTTCGGGAGACCGAAGTGGGCAGATCACCTGAGGTCAGGAGTTCGAGACCAGCCTGGCCAATATGGTGAAATTCCGACTCTAATAAAAATACAAAATTAGTCGGGTGCGGTGGCACATGCCTGTAATCCCAGCTACTCGGGAGGCTGAGGCAGGAGAATCACTTGAACCCAGGAGGCGGAGGTTGCAGTGAGCCATGACCGCACCACTGCACTCCAGGCTGGGCAACAGAGCGAGACTCCATCTCAGAAAATATACGTAAAAAATAAAATAAATAAAAAGCAGGTTAAGGTGAGAGGATAGCTTGACTTTAGGAATTTGAGGCTGCAGCGAGCCATGATCGCCCCACTGCACTCCAGACTGGGAGACAGAGTGAGACTCTGAATTTTTTTCTAAAAAACGGAGAAGTTATCTATTATTTTATGGAACTATGTAAGTTATATATGTTAAATGAAGAACATCTTTACTTTACAGCATTGTTGACAGTCCAAATGCTGCTAAGCTTAGGGAAGGGTAGGCAAGTTAAAAGGAAAGTGCATGTTGCTGGGTAGCAAGTCATTAGGTAATTCTTTTTGTTGTTGTTGAGATGCAGTCTCGCTCTGTTGCCCAGGCTGGAGTGCAGTGGTGCGATCTCGGCTCACTGCAACCTCCGCCTCCCGGGTTCAAGCAATTCTCTGCCTCAGCCTCCTCAGTAGCTGGGATTACAGGCGCCCGCCACCATGCCTGGCTAGGTAATTCTTTTTAAACAACTTTTTGAAACACTGAGGTTTGTATTGTAGGTTTTTTTTTTTTTTTTTTTTTGAGACGGAGTCTCACTCTGTCGCCCAGGCTGGAGTGCAGTGGCGCAATCTCGACTCACTGCAAGCTCCGCCTCCCGGATTCATGCCATTCTCCTGCCTCAGCCTCCCAAGTAGCTGCGACTACAGGTGCCCGCCACCATGCCCGGATAATTTTTTTGTATTTTTTTTTTTTTTTTTTTTACTAGAGACGGGGTTTCACCGTGTTAGCCAGGATGGTCTCCATCTCCTAACCTCGTGATCCGCCCGCCTTGGCCTCCCAAAGTGCTGGAATTACAGGCGTGAGCCACCGCCCCTGGCTGTATTGTAGGTTTTACATGTTACTGAAAAAATAAATCATTAAATATATTGTCATTTGCTGTGTAATTTCATGTCTATGTACAAAGTCCATGCAATATTTCAGAAGTTAAAATAATTCCCTTTTTATAACAAGTCATTCTGTGCATTTCTGCTCATTTTCTCTTAAAATAAATGTCTTCAATCCTTTATTATGAGCAGAATTATTTCAAATCTAGGCCAAGTAATTTAAGAATCTAAGATATAATGGTTGTGGCTTAATCTCAAATATAAAAATTACTCACCTAAGTATTAGTAGTAGCTGTCTGATACTATCTGCAAGTTCTTATGTCTATATAACTTCAACTCCTAATTATTTATACATGTAATACTAATAAACATGTCACTTATTCCCTACAATTAAGTGTCTTCAGCTATTAAATAAGAAAATAATATTTACACTTGGCTCTATCCACAGAAATTTTGTGAAGAAAAATTGAGCAACATGTGAATACACTTTGAAATAAAGTAACAAATCCTATCTTATGAGAAAAATACAAAACTCAAATGATGTATAGTATATATAACAGGTTTTTCTACAAACCACGCTTCAATGCTGTCATGGCATACCAGCTGATAAACTGCTCTGCTAGTTTTCTAGGACTGAAGGCCATTTCATATCTGCCCTGGAGAATACAATAGCTAGTTTTAACTATTAGTACAGCAGTAAAAACACACAAGGTTTTCCTTGCATGCCACTCTGGATTTGATTCAACTTCTCAAAAATCTTACGTCCTTAGTTCACCTTTTTAGAAGTTCTTCAACTCATCCCAATATTGCTAACGTAGTACTTCACAAATGCTGTCTTATTCATTGGCTTGATATCTCTGAATTTTAACTACTCGATTCAACTGCTGTAATTTGAATTATTTTGCTCTGTCTTTTCAGTTTAATATTCTAATGTTTTAAGTCTAAATGTTTCCCAAAGTGCCCTGGCACTGAGAGTTAAGAGGAGAAAAAAGGGAAAAGATATTATTCCACTGAAATTTGTATTAGCAACTAGCTGGCTTCCTCAGAGTTCCTCCTAAAATTCATTAACCATCGACATCATTCAAACAAATGAATCCATGCTGCTCACCCTAAAGCACAATGCATGGATTTGCCTGTGTGAAGCCACATGATCACAAATCAGCATCTTCCCTGTGACCTTCAATTTGGTGTTCCTATGTGAACCCACTTATTTCAGTCCTTTTTTTTTTTTTTTTTTAAAGACGGAGTCTCGCTCTGTCGCCCAGGCTGGAGTGCAGTGGTGTGATCTTGGCTCACTGCAACCTCCGCCTCCTGGGTTCAAGCAATTCTCCTGTCTCAGCCTCCTGAGTAGCTGGGATTACAGGCGCATGCCATGACGCCCGGCCAGTTTTTGTATTTTTAGTAGAGACAGGATTTCACCATATTGGTCAGGCTGGTCTTGAACTCCTCATCTCAGGTGATCCACCCGCCTCGGCCTCCCAAAGTGTTGGGATTACAGGCATGAGCCACCGCGCCCGGCCAGTTCTTTATCTTAATGCATGATATGTGTCTCTGAATAGTTCTTTATTATACAGGGGTATCTGAATTTTAGCTGCTCTGGAAGATGGCTATCTTTTTGATGTGGCTCTTTGAACTTCCTAAAGTGGATTTTCATGTGAACCACAAAATCTACAAGTTGGATCATCATAAACATATGCCCCTAAGTTTGGTGAACATTTTTGGTCATTTTTGTATGATTCAGTAATAGAGACTTGATTTAACTTAAATTGATCAACTCAAGGGAAACTTACCTTGTGTTTGGCGATCCAGATTTAAACTTAATGTCATTGTCTTGTCTAATGTCATAACTATATTTTCTTCTGTGTTCCATTTAATTTTCAATTTTCATATCAGAACAAATTATTTGATAATGTCAGGTACATTTGAAGTCATTGGGTAATTACATGTGACGCAATAGTGACACTAAGTAAACGTCTTTTTAAGACTTTGGAGTCAGACAATTCTGCCCTTTCCAGATGACCTGGGGAAAATTATTTACCACTTTGGACCTCTTCATCTAAAAAAAATGGGACACAAAATCTCCAATTCCTTACAACCTGCCTACTCCTTTCAAAGGTGAATTAAAAAAGTGAAAAATTCATTCCATTGTGTTGGGAGTTAGGTTTCTATTGGAAGAGAGGGGGAAAAAACCCATCATATTGGGAGAGTTGGTTAATTGAAAAAATATCTACTTAAACTTATCCTCTGCAACAAAATAATTTCACTATACTAAAAACAACACATAAGAAAGCTATAGGAAATTTTAGATAAATGTTTATCTTCTATCTAGTTGGAGGAGAATTGTTTAAGCACAGAAGTCATCAAAATTAAAAGGCAAACTACAAACCAGGAAAAGTAACAGAGAGTTGATACACTTAATATATAAAACATGTTGCACTTCACACAATAGCCTTGAAGAAAAATGAGATGAACCTAGTATAGTGTGACATGGTAACAAATCTCAGACTAAAGTAGGTGTCCACAATTAAAACAACAAAACTATGCATTACACTGCTATATAATAAATAATTTGACTTTCCTTTATCTGTGGTTCCTGATAGTGAATCTTGGAATTTCCCAAGTACTAGGAGTGTATTTGTTATTCATGAGCGCCTTGAATCACACCTGAGTATATGCAATGAGATGACACATAGTGGGTCCCTAGATAGCTTCAGGATGGGAGCTAGTCATGCTATAAAGACCAAACATCTAATTAGAGGGTTGGGTTGGGGCTTTGAGCCAATGATATCAACTCAGCCTTCTGTCCTCCAGGAAAGACAGGAGGACTGAAGAATTAGTCCAATCATGGGCCAATGATTGAACCAATCATGCCTATGTAATAAAACCCCCTGAAAACTCTGGACATGAAACTCAGTAGATCTTCCTGGTTGGTGAATACATTGATATGAAAAGTGAATAACATGTCCTGATTCTACGAGAGGGCACAGAGGTTCTGCATTCAGGACCCTCACAGACCTCATCTTACGTATCTGTTCATTTGGTCATTTCTGGTTTGTATCCTTTCTAATAAAACTGTGGTTGTAAGTATAGTACTTTCCTGAGTTCTGTGAGTTGTTCTAGCAAATTATCAAACCTAAAAGGGGATGTGAGAACCTCTCAGATTTGTAGTCAGTTGAAAGTGCAGGTGGAGCTGGGAGTGGTGGCTCACGCCTGTAATCCCAGCACCAGCACTTAGGGAGGCGGGCAGATTACCTGAGATCAGGAGTTCGGAGACCAGCCTGGCCAACATGGTGAAACCCCATCTCTACTAAAAAATACAAAAATTAGCTGGGTGTGGTGGCACATGCCTGTAATCCCAGCACTTTGGGGGGCCAAGGTGAGTGGATCACCTGAGATCAGGAGTTCGAGAGCAGCCTGGCCAACATGGTGAAACCTCGTCTCTACTAATAATACAAAAATTAGCCAGGTGTGGTGGTGGGCACCTGTAATCCCAGCTACTCGGGAGGCTGAGGCAGGAGAATTGTATGAACCTGGGAGTTGGAGGCTGCAGTGAGCCAAGATCATGCCATTGCACACTAGCCTGGGCGACAAGAGTGAAACTGCATCTCAAAAAAAAAAAAAAAAAAAAAAAAAAGAAAACAATTTAAAAGTGGGTGAGCTATGATGCTGGCTGTGGTTAAAAAAAAAGAATAAAAAACAAATAAGAAAACAAAAATAAAAGTGGGCAAGGCTGGGCACGATGGCTCATGCCTGTAATCCCAGCACTGTGGGAGGCCAAGGTGGGTGGATTGCTTGAGCCCAGGAGTTTGAGACTAGCCTGGGTAACATGGTGAAACCCCGTCTCTACAAAAAATTAGCCAGGCATGGTGCGCATGACTGTAATCCTATCTACTAGGGAGGCTGAGGCAGGAGAGTTGCTTGAGCCTGGGAGGTGGAGGTTGCAGTGACCTGAGATCACACCACTACACTCCAGCCTGGGTGACAGAGCAAGACCTGGTCTTAAAAAAAAAAAAAAAAAGTGGGCAAAAGATTCAGACACATCAATAAAGAAGATATAGAGATAAAGATGGCAAATACAACATGAAAAGATGCTCAATAGTGGTTATTAGAGAAATGGAAATTAAAACCACAGTAAGATACTACTACCCACCTATTAAAATCTCTAAAACCTAAAAACTGTTCATAACAAGTGTTGGCTAGGATATAGAGAAGCTGGAACTTTCATACACTGTTGGTGGGAATATAAATTGTTACAACTACTTTGGAAAATCTTTTGGCAGTTGGTTAAAAAGTTAAATATATACCTAACATATGACCCAGGCATTCTACTCCTAGATGTTTACCCAAGAGAAATGAAAGCATAAGTCTGTACAAAGACTTGTACATAGATGTTCATGGAAACTTTATTCATAATAGCCTAGAACTATTAATGTCCATCATCAAAAGAATAAACAAATTGATATATTCATAAAATGCAGTTCTACTCAGCAGCAGATAAATGATTTATTCATAAATGCAACAATATAGACAAATCACAAAATTACTATGCTAAGTGACAAAAGCTAGACCAAAAAAGGTTCATATTATGTGATTTCATTTGTAGCAAACTGATCATAAAGAAAGCAGATCAGTGGTCTGGTGATGGTGGGGTGGCAAGGAGGATTAAGTAAGAAGGGATCACAAAGAGGTACTATGAAACTTTGAGAGTGATGAATATGTTCATTACCTTGCTTATGCTGATGATTTCATGGCTGTATGCATATGACAAAACTTATCATATTGGGTACTTTAAATATGTACAGTTTATTGTATTTCAATTATACCTCAATAAAGATATTTAAAAATAAAATCCCTCCTGGTACATGATTCACACCCTGTACTCTGGTTTTAGTATTCTTATACCCAAATCACATTACCAAAGGTTTTCCATATTAACCATACACATTATTTTTCTCAGGAATCACTTTAGCATCCATTAATAAATGTGTTTTTTCTATTCCCAAAGTTTTAAGAATTCAGTCAGCAATGAATACTTGTATTATTCAACAGTAAAATTTATACATAACATGTATGTGGCAAAAATATACTAAGGCTTTGTCCTTATGACTAAGTTAATTAAGTAGAATGACAGATTTTTAGATATTAAAACAGTGTATCATTTAAGATGTTTGATGTCTAAGCCAGCTGATGGAGAAGAACCAATGCAGTATCCCTTCTGGAGAGATTAAGATTTTCAAGGTCCTCAAAAATAGGTACAGAGTGGAATAAAGTTTAAAAAAAAGCAAAGAGGGAAAAAATTAATAATCCCTTCTCTTTTGATCACATACTTTGTCATTACTCCTAAAATATAAAGCTATACTTGAAAATGTCATGGTGCCAAAACATCGGGGGGCTGGGGGTGGGTGGGCGTGGAGAATTACTTATTACACACATTGTTTTAAAATGTTGATGCTTGGCTGAGTTGCAGGGTATTAAATGCATATATGTCTCCCCAAAATGTAATGCTAACAGGAGTTACTTGTAGTTATGCTTAAAACTTTCAGGTTCCAAATTGGACATAAATCTCTGGCCAAAATTCTCGGGTATTCAAGTGTTTATTCAGCATCTTCAAGATGAACAAAATTGCCACTATCTCTAAGAAAAATATAAAAAGAAAACTAACAAGTATAAAAAAAAAGCAGGATTTTTAATGAAAAAAATACATGGTAACAAGGACACTATACATCAAGTTGCTATATATATATATATATATATATATATATATATATATATACGCACAGACATTTTTTAAACCTCTTTTTTTAAACCTGGTACAAGTTAAACAACATCTTTCTCATACCCACATGATTAAGTATGTATTCTGACAGGATATAAAGAAGATGAAACACAAGCTGGTGGGTCTCAGAATTAGAAACTCTAATGCAGGACCAGATCCCAAAAGCTATGTTTTCTATCACTTTTGTGACATTTAGGAAACATTTACCTTGCATAAAATATAAAAGCTTTTCCTTTTAATTATACTAACTGTTTGTACAAAAAATCACTATTGAGGGAAAGGTCCACCATGGCTGTATTTATCTATAATTCACTGTAGTATATATAAAGTTCACTTGGAAGTTGGAAATGTGGAAACTATAATGAATAAACAAGCTGAGCTGTAATTGTGAATTTTTTACTGCTAATTTAGAATGTCCAACTCACTCCTACAGATATTACAACTTACAATACATGACACACACAAAAAACATGTCAAACTTTGCTGTAGAGCTGTTAGAGAAAGCCAATATAGATACTGAAAATTTTAGAAGCTTGTATTTAATACCCTATACATTTCAAAATAATTAAACATTTTAAATATGTAAACATAGTTTTCAAAAAGTGATGCTGAGCACCTTTAAACACAATACTGATACATTGTGACTAAACATGCATTTAGATGACAATGAATTTTTAAAATCTAATTTAGAAACCATTTTTAAAGAGCTACTCCTTGAAATACTTACATGAAAATATTGATAGCTCCAGTTTCTACCTAAAAACCAAAAGAGTATATAATTAGGGATTTAAACTTTTCTTCATGCTCTTGGTTTTTGTGGGGTTTTGTTTTATTGGTTTGTTTGTGGGAAAGTTGCTCTGTAACTTTCTGATTAAAAAACAGTATCAGAAGAGACATTCACACAGAATCAAGTGAGAAAAATATTATTTTTCTAACTATACCAAAGTCTGAGTCCTCTGACACATCTCATCCTCACAGGTAACTGACTAGAGTTTGTATATTAACAAGCATTTCTCCTTTGCAAATCAACATCAAAAAAGAAAGGAATGTCTCCAAAAGAATGTAGTTCAATTGGTGAAACAGCTAATAATAAACCATTACCACTATTACCACTATTGAGACGTAACGATTTATTATTTAGAATCTTGAAAGAAAAGGATTCCATAAAAACTAGAAATAACAAAAGAATATTACCTATAGTGCAACACTAAACTATAAATTAATTTGGACTTATTCCTTTTATGTACACACAGATTAAGAGAAATCTGGATTTGAGGTAATTAAGTGCTGTGTTTAACTTAGTGTAACATAATTAAATTTGGCAACCTGCCTGTATAAAATGCCAACATCAAATGTTTTAAATTCATAGGAAAAAGTAAAGTAATTTTTATTAAAAATCATACATATAACTAAATATTAGCTTTGCATTAAAAAGGGTATAAATAATAAACTTTATATTAAATAAAATATAAATCTAAAGAGCAGGGAATATTAGAATTCCACCTACCTCTACTATAACAGTACTTTATATTTAGATACATGTCATGTACCTGAAACCAAGTCAATTAAGAATGGGAGGCTGGACTTAGAAAAGCCAAAAGTGACTCATATTCATGTAAAGTATTAAGGTTAAATTTGATATTATATTGTGCATGTTTTGAATATTAAACATTGATATCCATTTAAAATCTTTATTTTTAAAATATAAAATATACCCACAAATGGTCTCTGGAGAAACAAAAGCCTTTAGGTTAATTTCCTGACAATTATAGTTGATATTTCTAGTTTACCAATCTTTTTTTTTTTTTTGAGATGGAGTTTTTCTCTTGTCACCCAGGCTGGAGTGCAATGGCGCGATCTCGGCTCATTGCAACCTCCGCCTCCGGTGTTCAAGCGATTCTCCTGCCTTAGCCTCCCAAGTAGCTGGGATTACAGGTGCCCACCACCACACCCAGCTAATTTTTGTATTTTTAGTAGAAACAGGGTTTCACCACGTTGGCCAGGCTGGTCTCGAACTCCTGACCTCAGGTTATCTACCCACCTCAGCCTCCCAAAGTATTGTGATTACAGGTGTGAGCCACCATGTCCAGCCTAGTACCAATCTTTAGACAACAGATGCTTATAATCAATATACTGCTTAGTAGTAATTTGGTATTTGAAGTTAATATACTTACTTAACAAAAAAATCCCAGATCAGATGTTTTAAAGTTTTAAATATAAACTAAATTTTAAACTATAAATACTTACCTTAAAATACTAGAAATCCTAATATCATCAATTCAGTAAGAGCTCTGGCATAGAAAAATGTAACTACAAATCAAATTATTTTTTAACCAGTGCTGGATCTTCATTACAAAATAAGGGGGAAAAAATCCTCTGCTGTCATCAAAAAGTTTTCCAAATTATCTGTAAACACCAAGGAATTCTATTATTCTTTTTCAATTCTCTTAATTTCTACATCTTTCTGCCTATAGTGTTTTACTTCCAATATAGCACAAATCCATGCTACATATGTTGATTTCTGTTGCTTATCTGATTAATTCAAGTAAAAATTCTCAGTACTTACCAAGACACTTTAAATTTCTATTAGATAACCATTAGTATACTACTGGTTTGTAGTTAAAAGTACAAAAATTGGAAGGGAAGAGGCTAAAATGCAACTGCACAGTTTCCACAGATGTAGCTGCTGGACTTTGTGTTATGATGTAAAATCTAATACTTCATCTTTCTTAATGAGATAGATTATAAACATTTTCTTACCTGTCTGGCAATTAACAATTTCTTCACAACTTTAAGGAGAGAACAAGTTCTTTTTCAGAACTTAAAAAAAAAATTCATGATATACATACACACATACAAACATACATTCACACAATGTTTTTGTTGCTGTTGTTCTTTTCTGTTTTGTAATAACCAAAATTGAATATTTCCAAGGATAAGTTAAGTAAACTATTTGTGTTCAGACTATATTACTGTGGATAAATTCAGAACAGCTTTTGAAATACTGGCCTTATTAGATAATCAAAGAGCATAAAAATTATACAAAATAAGAAGAGTAAAACATCTCTTAAGGAAGGTAAAAATATGGAACTGGCAACAAATATATCAGTTTTAAATAAAAGCTTCTCATCAAACTGGTCTTCAGTCCAATTATCTCAATGCCACGCTTTGACTATATTCACCTTCCTTTCTAAGACATCAGAAGTCACCAGAGTTGTAAATTCTGAAAAGCTTCAATAATTTATGTAGCAGATAATTTCTTATAGTCCACAGTTTTTTTTGCTTCCATAGACAATGCTGGTTCTTTGGGTTCTTGTTTAACTTGGCTCACAGAAATGGTACTTTCTGGATTTTCTTCAACTTTAAAAACAAACAGAAAAATCCTAAAAGTTAATCTATTTCATGACACTGGAAGAGAGGGGAAAAATATTTTATATTCTAAAAATAACTTCTGTGAAAACTTTTGTTCTTCAAAGCAAACTGCAAATCTTTTCCCACAAAAGTGCCCAATCCAGAACAATTCATGTGCAAAGAAGTAACAGATAAAGTAGGAGTTAACAGAGTTTACTTCTATGTTGACAGAGATTAGTAATAAAGTGAAGGTAAGAAGGTCTTGGGCTAAACCTAAATGCCCAAGTCTTACTAGTTCCCTTTCAACTCAACATTTATTTTGTAATTCCAAATCTTCCTTTTGGCCAGGTGCAGTGGCTCACTGCGTGAGGAGTGGGAGGCTGAGGTGGGAGGATTGCTTGAGCCCAGGAGTTCAAGACCAGCCTGCGCAACAGGCTGGTTTAAAAAAAAAAAATTAAAGAATTTGCCCAGTATGGTGGCATGTGCCTGTGGTCCCAGCTACTTGGGAAGCTGAGGTGGGAAGATCGCTTGAACCAAGGAGGTCAAGGCTGCAGTGACCTGTGATTGCATCATTGTACTCCAGCCTGGGTGACAGAATGAGACTCTGTCTCAAAACAACAAAAAACCAAAAATGAAAATCTTCCTTTTAACCTTCATATATGCCTACTTCTTTCATTTTTCTTTGTGTATGTGTGCATACATCAATTCTTCCATAATAACCTTTGCATGAAAATATTTTTCCTTGTTTAATTTTTTCCTATTAATTTTTTCATGTACTCTAAAATGACCTTCCTGGTTTCACATTACCACAGATTTTCCATGGAAAACAGGTAATTAGGGAATAAGTAATTTCTACGGTACTAAATAATTAGAAATAAGAAGAAGAAAATTTAAGGTTAAAAGTTCTGAAACGCAGGGTAATGAAATCTCCTCCTTCTCTCTCATAATTTTGCTTCATTTACATAATATCATAGACCCACTGGGTAGAAATAATAGTTTTATCTATAGTATAATATAGTGATGATAATCCACAAAGGTTACAACAATAACATCATAAATTGATTTCAACTTACTAAGAGCTGAGTGGTTGTCTATAATCTGTATTGGAATAGTCTGCACATCTCCCAACAGAATCCGATGAACAGTTCCTTCCAGATTCCCTGTATCCTCAACATCTCCAACTTCTACCAGCTCGTCCATTGCAACTAGATTTTGATCTGGTTCTGGAAGGTTACCCATGGTGGAGGCAGTACTATTGTTTTGGGTTAAGCATGTATCTCTTTGAAGGCTATGACTTTGACCAAGCAGTAGAGAATTATTATTCATTACAGCACTTCCTATTGTATCCAGAAGTCCTGAAGGACTAGAGGACGGCTGGTTATTTACTGATACCACAGCTGGTGATTCATCAGGAGAGGTGTACCTTGGTTGTAACTGCAAACCCTTTTAAACCAAAAAGAGTACATCAAAATGTTTGAATTTCCTATGTATGATATTCTCATAGGATATACAATTCTTTTGACAAAAAATCCGAACAAATAAAAAGAGTATGGTTAAAAATAATTATTAAATGAAGAAAGAAACAAGAATCAAGGGAAAAGTAGTACAACTAAATTTACTGCATTCATAGTCAACTTTAAACTTTTAAAAAACATACTGTTTGAATTATCTTAAATCAAGAAACAAAAAGATCAGGAAATTAACAATGAAAACATATTTCATCATTATTATAATTCTGTAACAATTCTCTAAAATCCCTAGGAGAAGAAGAGGTAAATGGAGGAATAAAGAGAAGGACCTCAAATTTGGATATTTTACTGGATACCTACCTGTAGTTGTGTAAATATTTTGGGCTGAAATGAGGAGAGTGAGGAGAGCAAGTGGGTTGGCTCAGGAGACAAAGAACCCCTGGTCTGATTTGTTTCCACTTTGGTGGTAATTGATTCTCCTGGTGAATTTCCTAAATTATATTAAAGAAACTATTAAAATAATTTTTATGGCTTCTATGAAGTCATAAAAATACTTTATTACAACCCTTTCTGTCAGAACTAAAATAGGAAATACTTTCAAAGTTTTGCAAAGGACTTCAATAAGTCATCTAGCCCAAGGGTCCCTGACCCTACCAGTCTGTGCCTTGTTAGGAACTGGGCTGCACAGCAGGAGGTGAGCATGGGGCAAGCAAGCCTTACTGCATGAGGAAGCCTTACCGCGTGAGCTCTACCTCGTGTTAGATCAGCAGAAACATTAGATTCTTGGATCTAAGTTGCACACTCCTTATGAGAATCTAATGCCTGATGATCTGAGGTGGAACAGTTTAATCCCAAAACCATCCCCCCAACTCTCCACCCTGGGTCTGTGGAAAAATTGTGTTCCACAAAACCGGTCCTTGATGCCAAAAAGGCTGGGGACTGCTGATGTAGCCCACTATTTGCAGAACCTGGCAGATAATAAGAATCTCTAAGGGATGTTTAAGAAAACATAGATTCCTAGGTTTAACCTCCATTAATTTTAATTCGGTAGATCTAGAATGGGATTGTCCCTCCATATCCATGGAAGACTGGTTCCAGGACCTCCATCAGAAATAAAAATCTACAGATGCTCAGTTCCTGATATAAAATGGCATCGTATTTGCATAAAATCTAAGCATATCCTCCCACAAACTTTAAATCCTCTCTGGATTACCTATAATACACAATACAATGTAGAAGTCTTCCAATATACTTTAAATCATCTCTAGATTATAATAGGGAAAAAATATGTACATGTTTGGTATACATCCAATTAAAAATATATTTTTGGTCAGCAGTTTGTTGAAGCCATGGATACAGAACCCATAGATACAGAGGCACAACTATATATATATATATATATATATATATATATATATATATATATATACTTGAAAGACGCTATATCTGTAACTCGAATCTAGTGTGTTCTCCGTACTATAATGCTGGACTATACTAAACTTCTCTAGAAGTGTGAAATCTAAGGAGCTTCTCAATTAACACCAAACTTAATTCACCTTTTGTAGCCCTAGTAACTAGGACAATACCTGGAAAAATTGGTCTTTAATGATAACAGCATTAAATTTATTTCAATAACTCATTTTGGTATAAATGAATAAAAATAAAAACTCTATTTTCTTAGTATCTCAAATTTAAACTAATTGTAGGGAATTTGAATCATTCTCATGTAATTCTTATACGTTAACCCAAATATATTCATCTCTTTAAGTCAGTGAAGAACTAATTATCGGCCAGGCGAAGTGGCTCACGCTTGTAATCTCAGCACTTTAGGAGGCCAGAGCAGATGGATAACTTGAGACCAGGAGTTTGAGACCAGCCTGGGCAACACGGTGAAACCTTGCCTCTAGTAAAAATACACAAATTAGCCAGGCGTGGTGGCATGTGCCTGTAGTCCCAGCTACTTGGGGGGCTAAGGTGGGAGGATCACTGGAGCCCAGGAGGCAGAGGATACAATGAGCCAAGATCGTCCCACTGTACTCAACCATGGGTGACAGAGTGAAACCCTGTCTCAAAACAGAAAGAGAAAACCTAATTATCAATGAACATTTATTGCTTCCATAATACAACTGACTGATTTTAAAATGGCCAGAGTATCAGAGAAGAATGGATTTAAGCACTGGCTTTCTGTGTCACCTTCAATACGCTATATAACTCAGTTTCTTTTCTTTTCTTTCTTTTTTTTTTTTTGAGACAGTCTTGCTCTGTTGCCCAGGCTGGAGTGCAGTGACGCAATCTCGGCTCATTGCAACCTCTGCCTCCCAGGTTCAAGTGATTCTCCTGCCTCAGCCTCCTGAGTAGCTGGGACTACAGGTGTGTGACACCATGCCCAGCTAATTTTTGTATTTTTAGTAGAGACAGGGTTTCACCATGTTGTCCAGGCCAGTCTCGAACTTCTGACCTCAGGTGATCCACCTGCCTTGGCCTCCCAAAGTGCTGGGATTACAGGCGTTGAGTCACTGCACCCATCCTATAACTTAGTTTCTAAACTTCAGCTTCCTCATCTGTAAAATCAGCTTAAGAGTCCTTTCTCAATGGACCACTGAGAGGACTAAACAGCAATCATGCATTTCTTGGTTTCTTCGTTATTAATGTCCTTTTACTTCACTGCTGTAGTCACCCACCACTATCATCATACTCTGGATGATCCTACCTCTAAAATCTCAAGTTCAAACATCTCATTCTCTGATCACAACCTCTTATTCTTATTTTTAGATTTTTATTCTTTTTTTGAGATGGAGTCTTGCTCTGTCATCCAGGCTAGAGTGCAGTGGCATGATCTCAGCTCACTGCAACCTCTGCCTCCCAGGTTCAAGCGATTCTCCTGCCTCAGCCTCCTGAGTAGCTGGGATTACAGGCATGTGCCACCATGCCCAGCTAGTTTTTGTATTTTTAGCAGAGACCAGGTTTCACCATGTTGGCCAGGCTGGTCTCAAACTCCTGACCTCAAATGATCCACCTACCTTGGCCTCCCAAAGTGCTGGGATTACAGGTGTGAGCCACCGTGCCCAGCTACAACCTCTTATTCTTCCAGAGATTTTGCTCATGTATTTCACTACAATTGTTCTTCAACCTCATGTGAACCTCCAGTCAATTAATCCCTCAGTTTTCTTCAGATCCATCAACCTCTTTCTTAATAAAATTCTTCCCCCATCCAGCTTACAGTCCTAGGTCTATAAAATTTCAGTCACTCTTTTACAAGTACCTAAACTCTCTTGCCTCTCTGTCCTTTGGTCATATCCCTCCAGTAAAACCCTAACTCTGCATAAAAATGGCTTTCCTGCACCAATACATGGGAAGCTGAGTGCCACTGAAAAAGAAACTCACTAATTCTACTAATACCAATTCACTATTAACTTTGATTGGACCTTCACCTGTATCTGGCAATGTTTCACTCTCTATCCAGGATAATTTCTAATTTGCATTTCCCTCAAATCCATGCCACCCTTCTTGAAACCTTTCCTTATCCTTA
Source organism: Homo sapiens (assembly GCF_000001405.40). Lineage (NCBI taxonomy): Eukaryota > Metazoa > Chordata > Mammalia > Primates > Hominidae > Homo > Homo sapiens. Next base: position 202,978,516 of record NC_000002.12, on the reverse strand, counting down.
GCACTCTTACAGAGAAAAGGAAAGCCAACAGAAGTTTCTTCAACTTCCCATCACCATCTTCATCTATCTTTTCAGTTCTCTACTCTTAAAATACGTTCCCTCAACCCCATTTGCCATTGCAAAATTCCTGAAAAAGTGGTACACTTTTTAAGGAGTCCCTACTCCTTCCTCATCTCCCATTCACACTTCAATCACCCCAATATGGCTTCCTCCCAATCCACGCCACTGAAATGGCTCAGATACTCAACTTTACAAATCTAGTAAGTCCTTTATTCTCTCTCCTGTCCTACCAATGCTCTATTCTTTTGCCAGTGTTGCTGAGCTCAGTAAATGCTATCAGTCAGATGCTCATTATAGAAATTCAGAGGTTTGGCCGGGTGCAGTGGCTCACGCCTGTAATCCCACCACTTTGGGAGGCCAAGGTGGGTGGATCACCTGAGGTCAGGAGTTTGAGATCAGATTGGCCAGCATGCCAAAACCCTGTCTCTACTAAAAATACAAAAATTAGCCAGGTATGGTGGCGTGCGCCTGTGATCCCAGCTACTCGGGAGGCTGAGGCTGAAGAACCACTTGAACCCGGGAGGCTGAGGTTTCAGTGAGCCGAGAACGCACCACTGCACTCCAGTCTGGGTGACAGAGTGAGACCGTCTCAAAAACAAAAAAAGAAATTCAGAGGTTTAACTTTATATAGGGGGTGAAGTTATGAATGTACTTAAAAGAGATTACAATTTGAGTACTAAGAGGAGTTTGCCATGCATAAGAAAAAAGACATTTCCAGAACAGAGAAGAAATGCAAAAGGGTGGAAATAAGTTTGGAATATTGAAAGGGCCCAGCAGTAAGAACACATGAGAAAAAGCAACCGTAAAAAATGGACCATAGTTCCCAGATCAGGGCATCTTAGGGTTATTACTACTGGAATTAGCCAGACTTAGTGAATTAGCTACAGTTAACTGTGCTAGTTATCAGCTTCAAAATGTCAGTCATAAAAAAGCATTAAAAACAAAGTATAAGAGGAAATTAAAATAGTAGGAAGTATGTTGATAAACCATAACATAGCTGCTCCTACGTCTTTGGATCCTGGTTTCCTTATCTATAAAATTTGATTAGATGAGATAATATCTTAAGTTCCTTCCAGTTAAACACCATTTGAATTTATATTTTAAAGGTATTCAAGAAAACCTACCTTCTGCAAATGTAACTGTCATGGTCTCTTTGAGAATATTCCCACTGTCTGTAGTCCATTGAAGCTGAAATGGGAACATTTATTTCAGTAAAAATAAAGCTCTTATATTGAAAAATATCTTAAGACGTCATTACGACTGTCATATTTTATTCACAGTATGTGATTTATTCTGCAACTACTCTCTTCACTTGTTCATATTCTTCAAGCACAAGTATACTTTACTATACAAATACATTAAATTCCTGAGTTCAGATAGCAAGGATTTAGACAACAGTGTAGATGACAAGGACTACTTCTAACATTTAGATAGTGAATAATTAAGAGTTATTGGGCTGGGTACAGTGGGTCATGCCCGTAAGGCTTGGGAAGCCAAGGCTGGAGAGGTGCTTGAGGCCAGGAGTTTGAGACCAGCCTGGGCAACAAAGTGAGACTCAGTCTCTACAAAAACTTAAAAAATTAGCTGGGTGTAATGGCTGGTGCCTGTAGTCCCAGCTGCCAGGAGGCTAAGGTGGGAGGACTGCTTGAGTCTTGGAGGTCGTGGCTGCAGTGAGCCGTGATTGTGTGAATGCACTCTGGCTGGGTGACAGTGAAACTCTATCTCAAAAAAAAAAAAAAAGACAAAGAGTTATGGATTGTAAGAAATAGTTTTGGCTTTTAAAATATCCATATTTTTTCAGATACTGCATTTGGATAACAAGTTAGGAAAGCAAAATATACTACATCTCAGATTTTAATGGCATAATCACTGGCTGTATTGTAATTAGTTGTTTCTGGGTAATTAATCTCTTCAGAGTAGGCAAAATTTTCACAGAGATGACTAATATTCAGGGAGAAACTACCATATCAAACTATGAGTTAAGGTCGGGTGTGGTGGCTCACGCCTGTAATCCCAACACTCTGGGAGGCCAAGGAGGGCAGATCACGTGAGGTCAGGAGTTTGAGACCAGCCTGGCCAACATGGTGAAACCCGTCTCTAATAAAAACAAAAAAATTAGCCGGGCATGGTGGCTGAAACCTGTAATCCCAGCTACTTGGGAGGCTGAGGCAGGAGAATAGCTTGAACCTGGGAGATGGAGGTTGCACTGAGCCAGGATCATGCCACGGCAATCCAGCCTGAGCAAGAGAGAGAGAGACTGTCTCAAAAAAAAAAAAGTATGAGTTAAACTGATATCCACAGATGGCATATGGAACCAACATTATCACTTTGGGCAATCAAGTATGAAGAACTGTATGTATGTATGTATGTATGGATGGATGGATGGATAGATGGATATATATTTATTTATTGAGATGGAGTTTTGCTGCTGTCACCCAGGCTGGAGTGCAACGGCATGATCATGGCTCACTGCAACCTCCGCCTCCCGGATTCAAGTGATTCTCCTGCCTCAGCCTGCCAAGTAGCTGGGACTATAGGCACCTGCCACCGCGCCCGGCTAATTTTTGTATTTTTGGTAGAAATGGGGTTTCACTGTGTTGGCCAGGCTGGTCTCGAACTCCTGATCTCAGGTGATCCACTTGCCTCAGCCTCCTAAAGTGCTAGGATTATAGGCATGAGCCAACGCGCCCAGCCCAAACAACTGTATTTAAATTTGCCCATTTATTAAAAAAGGGAGGGGAAATATATACAATAGTACTCAATAAATGTCTGTTAAATGAGTAAGAATAATTTTTACAGAGAAAATACATGTTGATTTAAAAATAAAGATTAGTGGTTTTTTGTTGTTGTTTTTCAGATGAAGTCTCAGTCTCCCAGGCTGGAGTGCAGTGGCGCTATCTCAGCTCACTGCAACCTCCGCCTCCCAGGTTCAAGCGATTCCTACCTCACCCTCCCGAGTAGCTGGGATTACAGGCGCACGCCACCACACCCAGCTAATTTTTTTTTCTTTTTTTAGACGGAGTCTCGCTCTGTTGCCCAGGCTGGAGTGCAGTGGCACGATCTTGGCTCACCGCAAGCTCCGCCTCCCGGGTTCACACCATTCTCCTGCCTCAGCCTCCAGAGTAGCTGGGACTACAGGCACCTGCCACCATGCCCGGCTAATTTTTCGTATTCTTAGTAGAGATGTGTTAGCCAGGATGGTCTTTATCTTCTGACCTTGTGATCTGCCCATCTCAGCCTCCCAAAGTGCTGGGATTACAGGCGTGAGCCACTGAGCCCGGCCACACCCAGCTATTTTTTGTATTTTTAGTAGAGATGGGGTTTTGCCATGTTGGTTAGGCTGGTCTCGAACTCCTGACCTCAGGTGATCTGCCCGCCTCGGCCTCCCACAGTGCTGGGATTACAGGCACAAGCCACTGTGCCTGGCCAGTGTTTTTATTATGGAGTTGGGAATTCACTGATTTTTCTTCTTGTGAAAGTAATAAAAAACTTTTAGTCATTTTCTAAACATTGAGTATTTACATTTTAAGAAAAAGATGCTATATATATATATTTTTTGAGATGGAGTCTCGCTGAGTCTCCCAGGCTGGAGTACAGTGGTGCAGTCTCAGCTCACTGCAAACTCCGCCTCCTGAGTTCAAGTGATTCTCCTGCCTCAGCCTCCCAAGTAGCTGGGATTACAGGCACCCACCATCACGCCCACCCAATCTTTGTATTTTTAGTAGAGATGGGGTTTCACCGTGTTGGCCAGGCTGATCTCAAACTTCTGACCGCAGGTGATCCACCCGTCTCGGCCTCCCAAAGTGTTGGGATTACAGGCATGAGCCACCACGCCCGGCCTATTGTATTTGCTTATATTGCAGTTATTCAGATGGCCTAACACTAGCCATTCTTATTAGACTAAATATTAATAGAAGCTGAGAAAGACTCTGTAATAAGGAATTATGGTTGTAATCATACCGTTGCTGGAATAATCTCTGAGTTATATACCGTATCTCCATTTCTCAAGGATTTCTGTACCTCATGGATGTGATTTTTTATATCATTTACAGTTGGAAAAAAAGATAAATTATGTCTTTCAGGTACCTCATCGGGTTTGAACAGTTCCCTTTCCACAAATTTTCTGTAAAGAATACAAAATGGAATAAAGACATAAACCATTTAGCAATATGCCTTTAGATCAAAAGACAGAAAGGTTCTCTTTCAGTATAAACTTCTATAAAGTATGGTTTATAGCTCTGTAAGTAATTTATATTTTCCTATTTAAACTTTTTCCATACAACATAGAATTATTGCAGACTATAGAAATGTAATATTTTCATTGGTAAAACATCTAAATATATTAGAGTGAGTTTTGTTATTATTTTTTGAGATGGAGTCTCGCTCTGTCGCCCAGGCTGGAGTGCAGTGGTGTGATCTCGGCTCACTGCAACCTCTGCCTCCCGGGTTCAAGCGATTCTCCTGCCTCAGCCTCCCGAGTAGCTGGGACTACAGGAGTGTGCCACCACGCCCGGCTAATTTTTTGTATTTTTAGTAGAGACAGGGTTTCACTATGTTTCACTAGGCTGGTCTCGATCTCCTAACCTCGCGATCCGCCCGCCTCGGCCTCCTAAAGTGCTGGGATTACAGGCGTGAGCCACCACGCCCAGCTGAGCTTTGATATTTTTATGAATTTAAAGAAATCATTATTTTCAGTTTAAGTATAATAATGTTTTTAATGCTATGTCAGGCACTGTATGGAACACTTCACATCAAATATCTCCTTTAACCCTTAATGATCAACGACATACGTACAATTATCATTCCCACTTTACAGATGATAGAACTAAGGACTGTAGAAGTGAAATAATTTGCCCAAAATCATACACCTACCTAGTAAATAAGAGAGCTTGGGCCTATACCCAGGTTATGTGCGTAAACATCATGTTACATTGCTTCCAAAAGTATCAATTAATATTATATGAAATATGATGGGCTTGAATTTTACACGGAGACAAAAGAAGATAGAAATAGAAGGCAGCACTGTTATTTAATTGTATAAAAAATCAATATATAAAAGAAATGATAAAATTTAACATATATATGCTTATTACATTTGGTGGACCAAATCGCAGAACTGTATTATACTTCCATTGTTAAGATTCAGGTTTAGTAAATAGTGAATGGCTTTACCAAATTTTTGCCTTATGCTAATGATGCCCCAGTGGAAATAAATATAAAATGTCTAAGAAAACTGCTAAATAGAAAAGTCATGTATTAATTAGGAAATAATTCTAGGAATTACAGTAAGCTCTCAGTTAACATCATTGTTAGGCTCCTGGAAACTGAGACCTTAAGTGAAAGGACATACAACAAAACCAAATTATTTTCTCCAATGCTATAAGAAAACACCGAATCAGGTGCAGTGGCTTGCTTCTGCAATCCCATCTTCTTGGGTGCATCACTTGAGGCCAGGACTTCAAGACCAGCCTGGGCAACATAGCAAGACCCCTGCTTCTTTTACAAAAAAAGTTAAAAAAAACAACAAAAGAAAAGACGTTGAACAGAACGATATAACTCAAGGACCTGCTGTATTTCCTTTTGGTTAAAGTAGCAGTTTTCGAGAACCTATTCATGCCTTTAAGAGGGGGCTTACTATATTTATTTTGTTATTCAGATCAGATTACACAATAATCAGTAAGAGCAAGGCTAAGTATCATAAATCACGGTAATAGGCACAGGCTATATAGCGTTAGGCCTAAATTTCAGTTCTGCCACTGCCTTTTTTTTTTTTTTTTTTTTTAGACGGAGTCTCGCTCTGTAGCCAGGGTAGAGTGCAGTGGCGCGATCTCGGCTCACTGCAACCTCCACCTCTCGGGTTCAAGCAATTCTCTTGCCTCAGCCTCCCGAGAAGCTGGGACTACAGGTGCGTGCCACCATGCCCAGCTAGTTTTTGTATTTTTAGTAGAGACGGGGTTTCACCATGTTGGCCAGGATGGTCTCGATCTCCTGACCTCATGATCTGCCCTCCTCGGACTCCCAAAGTGCTGGGATTACAGGCGTGAGCCACTGCGCCTGACTCTGCCACTGCCTCTTAAGCCAATTATTTAACCACTCTGAGACTCCAGTTTCTCATGTGTAGAATTGGGATAAATATACCAACTTAATAGTGCTATTGTAAGACTAAATGAGATCATACATGTAAAAAGCCTAGCACAGTACCTGGCACACACAAAATAAGTAATTATATAATTACTTATATAATTATTATTATTTCCTGAGGATCAAAAAACTTAGACCAGAGTACTACAAATAAAATTTCATTAGACAAAGAACTATCCAAATTATTGTGTTGTAATAAAATTTAACTGCATTTCAAATAGTATCTTGGCCTGGGTTTTAAAATCTTTGGTGCTACAAAGGTTTTCTTCTCTAAAAGTATTTATTAACTATTTAATTTTATACATCATTTAGACATAGTCCAATTTGCCAAATCCAAATATAGAATGTCTCAAGTGAGTAATCAGAATTATAATAAACCATATTACACCATTGCTTGCCAAGCATTTGTTAGAAAATGATCAGTTTATAAATAAGATTATTTTAATAAATTAATAAACTATATTCCTTATCTACCCTGATAGCATATATTTTGGAAAATATCTCCAATGTTCACTGTATTATTTAAAGCAACAAACAAAACTGAAAAATGTAAAAGAACAATGCTCTTCTATTGTACCTTAGCTGTTTCCTTACTGCATACACTTGTTCTATTCCCTGTGATACTAATTCTTGAATCTTATGTGCTACTTGAGGATGTAAACGTGAGGGTAATGCACAATTCTCATCTCTAACTGCAGTTTCCTCTTCTTCAAGAGAAGACACAGGAAAAGGAGAAGGTGACAAAGTGAGGCAGGGAGTCTCTAATTCATGATACTGATGAGCTTGCTGTGTAGGTAACTGTACATACCACCTGGTAAGAGAAAATATTTAAAATTACTAAAATTTAAACATTAAAATTATTTAATATTATTAGACCAAAGTAGGAATCATAATTACTTAGGTTAATACTCATAAAGGAAAGGATTAATCCTTTAAGAAAAAATTATATATGGTTATTTCATATCAAATAAAATTTAAAATGATCTCTTAACTCTTCTAAGATTTGCTTTATATCCAATTAAATTAAAATATTTGTAAATATTTATAGACTTTCACTGTGGTCCTACAGTTGAGGGAGATACAGGGATTTTAAGTATATATGAAAATGGCATTTTAAATTTCATATTAATTGTATTATTTTGGGTTCATGAGAAAATTCATATTAAGTACATTTTACCTCAAAATAAAGAGAAGACATTGTAAATCATCATCTTTTGAACTGTGTATTTTCCCATTCATCAAACATTCGTCCCAAATTACACTTCTCTGTTACACCTACCATCCTTCCAACCAAAGATAGAACCTGTCAAGACTGAACTTTATGGTTGATTCTTTCCTCACAGGAGCTCAACATACTGCCTCTACAGCACTCCCAGCTCCTGCTGGCCAAGTGAGCAAGAGAATTAACTAAAGGTGAATGCAGATCTCTTGGAGAGCCATGAAAAAAAAAAAAAAAGAAAAGTAGACGGTAGGAAAATGAACTAATCTGGTAGGATACTGCTTTAATTGATATTTCTGTATAAAATTATTACAATAACTGACAATGCCTACTTAAAAATTATATGCAATGCTCTTCAAACTGCAGGATCTAATTTTTTTAGTGATATTTTTGACTTTCATTGAAGGATCTAATTGTTGACTCAATTTATTTTTCACATACCTAAAAGTTTTTTTTAAAGATCACACGAAAACGATATTCCATACACTTAAATCCATTATACAATAACAAATTATTCACCCAGACTGACACATAAAGGAAAGTAAAAAAGAATGCTAATATTTCACATTTAAAACCTAAAGCATAAAAGGTGTGAAATGGAATTTTATTTACGGCTTGGAATTCATTTCTGGCTGCCGTAAGTAATCAAAGATTAGTTTTAAAAAAATGACAGGCGGCTGAAGTTTCTGCTCATAGTAAGTAGCTAAAACAAAGTACTAAATATATAATAAAGTGTATTAAGTATGTCTTTGTCATTTTGAGAAAAAGCTTTTACATGGTATATGGTATACAGAGTATATGCTATACAGTATGGAATAATTCTTTGGTCTGAATTATCTACAACTTGGGGCTAAGAAACTCAATGGCTTACACAGTGGCAAATCAATTTAATACCTAGGGAACTATTGATATCTCTACCTTATAAAACCGTTACTTAATGAAATAGTTGGAAAACTATAATTTCCCTTACAAAATAATTCTTGCAAATTGAGCTAATTAATTTGTAAAATAAAAGAACTATAAAAATGTCATACCTAAGAACACCACCAGCATCTACCAAGTTCTTCTTTAGCATGTTAAAAGCTTTCTCCTGCTCCATTCTGATAATTTTCTTGTCAATTTTGGGGTCTGTAGGAACTCTATATTCAGGAAACTTCTGTACCTTTTTAATGTAAATCCTTTATACAAGATAAAGAAGAATTTGTTTCATTATATTATAATCTCAAGATAATCTATCTTATCAACCAGAAGTCTACTTTAAGCATTTAAGCTTAGAGAAAATTCAATTTATCTGTAAAGTATTCAGAGGCTTATGTAAAATATATGCCATATTCTCAGTTGTATTAATACTTAGCAAATTAAAAGTAAACATTATTTAAAAATATCTAAGTACTTACAGATTTTACTATTTTTTTCCCGTAGATTTGCCTTCTCTTCATTCTCCTGGAAGGCATAATCACCTCATGCCTGGATTACTTATTTATTTATTTATTTATTTATTTATTTATTTATTTATTTTTTGAGATGGAGTTTTGCTCTTGTTGCCCAGGCTGGAGTGCAATGGCATGATCTCAGCTCACCACAACCTCCACCTCCCAGATTCCAGTGATTCTCCTGCCTCAGCCTCTCAAGTAGCTGGGATTACAGGCATGTGCCACCACTCCCGGCTAATTTTGTATTTTTAGTAGAGACAGGGTTTTTCCATGTTGGTCAGGCTGATCTGGAACTCCCAACCTCAGGTGATCCACCCACCTCGGCCTCCTGAAGTGCTGGGATTACAGGCATGAGCTGCCATGCCTGGCCCTGGATTACTTTAATAGCCTCCTTCCAGGCCTGTGCCTCCAATCTTTCATTACTTAAATCCACTTGATAATTCAATGTCACAGGTGATTCTCCTGCCTCAGCCTCCCCCAGTAGCTGGGATTACAGGCATGTGTCACTATGCCTGGCTAATTTTTTTTGTATTTTTAGTAGAGACGGGGTTTCACCATGTTGGTCAGGCTGGTCTCAAACTCCTCACCTCAAGTGATCCGCCCACCACAGCCTCCCAAAGTTCTGGGATTATAGGCGTGAGCCACCACACCTGGCCTCTATAGCTTTATTTATATGGTTCTCCTAACCTACAATATCATCCCTCTAACTCTCTACCCACCCAAATTCAATTTAAACTTCAACATCCAGTTTAAATTGTACTTTCTTTCCTGCCATGAATTTGTATGGATATATTCCTTCTTTAAATACCTAAATAGGTAGTTAAATCATATATTTCACACTATATTCTATACTATCATGTTGTCTACTAGTTTTTGTTTCCTGATCCGTTCCCTGGGATTAAGTAAAATTTTATTCCTCTTTTGGTTTCCCTCCTTCCTATGGCACCCAATGTAGTTTCTGGGCACAGAGTAGACAGTCAAAAAGTACTTGTAGAATGATGGAAAATAAAATTATTTCTTCACATGTAGAGGTTTTCTCCCAAGTTATACCTAAAGTTTTTATAATGCTTATATTTAAGAAGCAGTTGATAAGTTTCAAGTCAAGGCTAAATGGAAAAAAAAAAGCAACTGAAAGTTTGTTTCACAGTCAGGTTTAAATATTACCTAAAGTTAATATTGCAGGATTAAATATGAAAAGCCTTGTAAATGGGCTTTAAAAACTTCTTGAGAATGCTAAGGTATTTATTTTATTTTATTTTTTTGAGACAGAGTCTTGCTCTGTTGCCCAGGCTGGAGTGCAGTGGCGCAGTCTCGGCTCACTGCAACCTCCGTTTCCTGGATTCAAGCGATTCTCCTGCCTCAGCCTCCCGAGTAGCTGGGATTACAGGGGCCCGCCACCACGGCTGGCTAATTTTTTGTATTTTTAGTAGAGATGGGGTTTCACCAGTTGGCCAGGCTTGTCTTGAACTCCTGACCTTGTAATCCGCCCACCTCGGCCTCCCAAAGTGCTGGGATTACAGGCGTTAGCCACCATGCTCGGCCAAGAATGCTAAGGTATTTATAATGTGAGATGTGATGCTAAAAGTGTTTCAAAGATCAACTAAGTCCAACCACTACATATTATCTTTTAAATTTTTTATTTTACTTAATAGTTTAAAACACTTTCAATATATTTTAAGTCTTAAAATACTTTCAATGTCTAAAAAATTTACATTCATAAAGGACATTGTAAAATCTTTCATTGGTTCACATTTTTCATTCTTACCAAGAGCAATGACTACTCTGTAGTCCTAATCTATCTAAAACTTACTACATTGGTCTCATAATTTGCTGCTAAATTGATAAAATCGCTCTAAAAAGCAACTTTGCAATATTTGTCAACATTTTTAAAAGATACAGCCTTTGCCCTAGCAATTTCATTTCTAGGAATTTTTCCTACTGAAACACTTGTAGGAGTGCACAAATATGTACAATGTTAATAACTGCAGCTTTGTATAATACTAATAAGGAATACCTTTCACAGCTTACATGAATTAAATAATTCATCCATAAATGGAATATTATATGGCTATTAAAAAATAGTACTTTTATGTACATCTATGGAGTCAGCTTTGAGATACACTGAGAATGAAAAAAAGGAAAGTATGTCATTACATTCACACTAGTATGTAACATATCTGTGCAGCAGATAACCACAATAGGCATTCAGATTGAGAATAAATCTATGTGAATTCATATCAAGAAAAAAGGTACACTACTATGTAAGTTTAAGGAAAGAAAATATTAGTGAGCTTTACTGAGATTTTCAACAACATTTATAGGGGTAAAGAAGGAGATCTCTGTCTCTCTGCCTTTATATGCATCCATATACACAGAATATCTTTGGAAGATGACTCAAAAAACTAGTAAGAGTTGTTGCTTTAAAGACAGAACAAATGTGGGTAAGAGAAAACTTAGAATTCACTGTATACTTTTTGGTACTGTATAAACCTAATAAAAATATGTGTATTAGCTATTCAAAAATAAGTTCTTAATAGAAAACAAATAAAAGAAAATAAAGCTTACCGAGCTGGACAAGTGGCTTTGTAGAGCTGACAAGACCTGCTTTCCTGCTCACTGACTTTTTTTAACTGGAAACCTTTTCTTCTTGGCCCATACTGACACTCCATTACCACAGCTCTACTCCCTGTGGGCCAAAACCAACTATTGATATTAATTCAAGTGTCCATCTATTCTAGACACTAGATTAAAAGTAACTTGGTGGTGGCAATGTCAAAATCTTTCAAATATACAGCTTTAAGGAAAGAAAACATTAGTAAGTCTTACTTACATATACAAACATATAAATTTAAAAGTTTATTTTAAAATTTACCAAAGGTACCATAATTATGGTAAGAAAATTAGTGAATATCACATTTACTGAGTGTCTACTGGCATATAATTTTTTTTTTTTTGAGACGGAGTCTCACTCTGTCACCCAGGCTGGAGCACAGTGGCGCAATCTTGGCTCACTGCAACCTCCACCTCCTGGGTTCAAGCAGTTCTCCTGCCTCAGCCTCCCAAGTAGCTGGGACTATAGGCGTGTGCCACCACGCCAGGCTAATTTTTGTATTTTTAGTAGACAGAGTTTTGTCTTGTTGTCCAGGCTGGTTTTGAACTCCTAAACTCAAGTGAACCGCCTGCCTTGGCCTCCCAAAGGGCTGTGATTTAGAGGCATGAGCCACTGCATCCCACCTGACATATGGTTTTTATACCATTTTATAAATAGTGAGCAAATGTTACATTTGGTTAATAAATATTGGTATCATTTAAATTTTTATTTCCTTTTATAATTATTTTCTTGTTTTTATTTGGGCTGTTAATACAGCAGCCAGCCCTAAGATGGCCCCCAGTAATCCATGCCTTCTAGCATTCATGTCCTTGAGTAATCCCCTCCCCTTGAATATGGGCTAGACTTACTAACTTACGTTTAATAAATATGGCCAAAGTGGTAGGAAGTAATTTTTGATATTAGGCTGCAAAAAGACTGTAACTATCATTTGGGTACTCTCTCTTACTCTTGCTTGAATTGCTCTCTCTGGAGGTAATCATCTGCCAAGTGGTAAGGGAGCTCTGTGGAAAGGCCCACGTGGCAAGGAATAAGGCCTGCTGACAGCCACAAGAGTGAATCTGAAAGTAGACCCTCCCTCAGTCAAGTCATGAGACAACTGCAGCAGAACCACTTTGCTGAGTCACTCTTGGATTCCTGACTCACAGAAACTGTGAGATAATTAACGTTTGTCGTTTTCAGCCACTACGTTTGGGATAATTTGTTACACAGCAATAGATAATACAAATAAGTAGATGTGAAAATTATATAACTTAAGATTTTAAGTTGAATATCTTACACTACTGTAGGATACAACAAACTTTTAAAATATAAAATAAAAACACCAATTACTAATACAAATGTTAATAAAGCTGACATTAAAATATAAAAACTTCTGTTTAAAAGACACCATAAGTAAATATAAAAGTAATAGTGTGAGAAATAGCATTTTATAAGATATATAACATAGTAATTGCCCATGTAGAATTACTATGTAGACTACAAACAATCATAAATAATTAATAAACAACCACTCAGAAAAATGTGCAAAGGCTATGAATAGCCAAGTCAGAAAGAAAAAAAAGGTAGTAAATGAACAAAGAAAAAGATGTTCAACTTTAAGTAAACAGGGAAATGCAAATTAAAACAATAGTAAAATACTATTTCATACTCCTTGGAATGGCAAAAATAAAAACATTCCATAATACTCTATAAAAACTGAATCCACTGATCAATCTGAACACCACAAACAGAGAGACACATACAGATGGCAATAAGTACACAGCACACCGAGGAGGTATTCTTGCAAAAATCAAATCTGCATTTAATCAAGGCTCTAGACCTGTTTACAGAAAATACAAGAGATAAAGAACAAAAACTACATCACACAGATGGAATAAGCAAAACCCAGAATATGGCAAATATTACAGAACAAACTACCTAGAAGAGGAGAGAAATCTTCAAATGAAAAGAAGTTTAAGAGATTTATTAACTAAATGCAGTCTGTGGACCCTGTTTGGATTTGAATTTCAACAACCTTTGAGGAGAGGAAAAAAAACCTGTGAGGTAAGTGGGAAAATGTAAATGCTGAACATTTTATAACATTACAAAGTTACTGTTAATTTTCTTATTAAGTGTGATCACAGGATTCTCATATATGTATGTGTGTGTGTGTATATATATATATATATACACATATATGTATATATATATATAAGGAGTCCTTATCTTTTAGAGATATATACTTTAGTATACACCATATACTTTAGTAATTACAGATGGAATGATATATCTGAAATGTGCTATAAAACCATCTAGGGAATGAGGAAGTGTAAGGGGTATGAGACAAGATTGACCATATACTGATAGTTGTTGAAGCTGGAAGATAGATACCTAGAGTCATGGGGTTTCTTATATTATTATCTCTACTTTGATTCACATGTAAAAATTTCCATAATGTAAAGGTTTTTTAAGGCTTTAAAAAACCTTTTTAAGGTGTGGGCACAGTGGCTCATGCCTGTAATACCAGCACTTTGGGAGGCTGAAGTGGGCAGATTGCTTGAGTGTAGGAGTTTGAGACCAGCCGAGGCAACATGGCAAAACCTCATCTCTCCAAAAAAATACAAAAATTAGCTGAGCATGGTGGCATATACCTGTAGTCCCAGCTACTCATGAAGCTGAGGCAGGAGGATCTCTTGAGCCAAGGAGATTGAGATTGCAGTGAGCTGAGATCACACCACTGTACTCCAGCCTGGGTGACAGAGTGAGACCCCGACTCAAAAAAACAAACAAACAAACAAACAAAGATTTTTAAACATCTGGCAATGCTAAGTCATGAAGTAAAAGTGGGGAAATGAAATTTTCACACACTGCTGACAGGAGTGAAAATTGGTACAAGCTATCAAACCCTTATGTACAAATCTGAAATCCAAAAAGCTCAGAAAACGGTTTTTTCAGGACTCACTTGGCTGCGAAACCAGGCCTGAGCTGTGTGAGGTTATAGTCTTTATTTGTTTCTCTTGGTGTGGCTATCTATCTAATAAAGAATTGGTGTTTGATTATGTGATATTGGCTATAACAGGGGTCTCTAACCTCCAGACTGGACCACTACCAGTCTGTAGCCTGATAGGAACCAGGCCGCACAGCAGGAGGTGAGCAGTGGGCAAGCCAGCAAAGCTTCATCTGTATTTACAGCCACTCCCTATCACTTGCATTACCTCCTGAGCTCTGCCTCCTGTCAGATCAGTGGCAGCATTAGATTCTCATAGAAACACGAACCCTATTATGAACTGCACATGCAAGGGATCTAGGTTGCTGGCTCCCTATCAGAATCTAATGCCTGATGATCTCTCACTGTCTCCGATCACCTCCAGCTCAGACCTGCTAGTTGCAGGAAAACAAGCTCAGGGCTCCCACTGACTCTACATTCTGGTGAGTTGTGTAACTATTTCATTACATATTACAATGTAGTAATAATAGAAATAAAGTGCACAATAAATGTAATGTGCTTGAATCATCCCGAAACCATCCCCCATCCCCCATCCTGGTCCGTGGAAAAACTGTCTTCCACAAAACCAGTCCCTGGTGCCAAAAATATTGGGGACTGCTGGTCTATAGAATACCTGCTAGGAGTATTCCATAATGTTACCATATTACATTCAAAAAATTCAGAATTCTGAAATATACCTGGTCCAAAAAAATTCAAAGGGATTCTGGACCTGTACAATCACTTTTGAGAGCAATTTTTTTTTTTTTTTTTTGAGACGGAGTCTCGCTGTCGCCCAGGCTGGAGTGCAGTGGCATGATCTCGGCTCACTGCAAGCTCCGCCTCCTGGGTTCACGCCATTCTCCTGCCTCAGCCTCCCGCGTAGCTGGGACTAGAGGCACCCGCCACCTCGCCCGGCTAATTTTTTGTATTTTTAGTAGAGATGGGGTTTCACCGTGTTAGCCAGGATGGTCTCGATCTCCTGACCTCGTGATCCACCCGCCTCGGCCTCCCAAAGTGCTGGGATTACAGGCGTGAGCCACTGCGCCCGGCCTTGAGAGCAATTTTAAGATAATCTTGTAAAGATGAAATGGGCATAATTCACAACCAGCAATTCTACTTTAAGGCATATACTCTAGAAAAACTAATTACAGCTTTTCATTAAAGTATATATAGTGTGGAGGTTTGACTACAGCATTCTTTGTAATAATGAAAAGTTGGAAACAACCTAAATGATGATCAATAGAAAAATACTTGTGGTTTGGTCACATGCTGGAATATTATACAATGATTAAATTGGATTAACTAGGATTTATAACTATCAATACCAATAAATGTAAAAAAAAGGGTGAATGAAAATATTTGCAAAACAATATCTACATTTTACTATTTATACATTTTTTAAAAATCCAAAACAATAAAATGTATTATTGTAGATACAATATGTAAGGTAAAGTATAAAAATACAGACTAGAACGATACACATGAAATTCATGTAGTAGCTACCTATGGAGGGTTAAGGAGATTAAAACTAGGATGGGAAAAAGGAAGACTATAGGATTTCAAGTTCATTTTATTATTTGTTAATTTTTTTTTTTTAAAGACAGGGTCTTACTCTGTCACCCAGGCTGAAGTTCAGTGGCATGATCACGGTTCACTGCAGCCTCGACCTCCAAGGGTCAAGTGATCCTTCCACCTCAGCTTCCCAAATAGCTGGGACTACAGCCCCATGCCACCATGTCCAGGTAATTTATTATTTTTTGTAAAGATGAGGTCTCCCTGTTTTGCCCAGGTGGGTCTCAAACTCGTGAGCTCAAGCAATCCTCTCGCCTTGGCCTCCCAAAGTGCTGAGATTAGAGGCATGAGCCTCCACGTTTAAAATAAATAAATAAATATATAAATAACCCAGCTCATTTATTTTTAATGCTGCATTTCTTTTATAGAATACTGATGAAACTCAGGCAGAAGTGGTTACATTTATCTCATCTTAAGTATATCTCATTAACCTCAGAGGTCCAGGATGAAACTGCAACTCTTTCAGCTAAATTAGTGCCCTCATAGTCCTAAAATAAATCGCTTAGTTTTAGATTCTTTGGGGCTCTAACTAGTCTAAGAGATTTGCTTGAAACTCTACTCCCTTAGTAAACAACTAACCCAGTGTCTGAGAATACTGTATATAACATACCTAATGCTTGAGAACTTTAGTATCAGAATTCTATAACTCTAGATTGTATACAAATTCTATACAGTAACTCCAGAGTTACAAGCTACATAAAATAGACATAAATTTCTCCCACAATACAAATTAAGAGAGAAGGCTAAAATATTTAATCTGAAGGGGAAAAACACAGCTGATGTACATATTTAAAATAAAATTGCTCTTTTAACATTTTATTAAATAGGTTTAATGGAAACTTCGATATTTTATTTTTCAGTATAATATATGAAAGAAGTCTTATTTATTCATTGATATATTAAAATGCAATATTATAAAGTAATTGATTATATTTTCTATAAGTTTTTTCAATTTAATATGCATTTTAATCAATTAGCATTCAATTGTCAGCTACCAAAATAAAAATGTTATCACCTTAGGAAAATCACATTTTGACAATGGACTATGGCTGCTGCTGAACCTTTTAAAATAATTCTTTAAAAAAGTACCTGCATTAACAAATGGGATTCCATCATATGGAACATACTGGGATTTCCACATCAAGCGTGTAGCAGGCTTGGCTGGGCTTGGAGACTGACGGGTCCCCCAAACACTCTGTGTTTGCTGCTTGTGAAATGTTAGGACACTTTCTAATTCAGTCTCACTTACACAGTAGCCACGGTATGAATCTCCAATTTTCTGCATGTGGTAGAAATTAAACAAAATTACTAGCAATACACTTCATTGCATAATAAATGTAATGAGATGGTTGTCCAAAATGGAAGACTCATCACCTTTCACAAGAGAATGTCATTTGTGCCCTCAGATCAATGGTCTATTACAATCAGTGGGTCTGATTTGAGTTCAACCAGGTGTTTGTTAGGGAATATAATGCCAAACTCATTGCCATACTATCTTTATCAACGTCTTGTTTGAGACAAAGAATATTTAGAAAAGATAACTTGCAAGAACATATAATGTATATCAATTCTTTCAGATATTTAAAACTTTACCCTGGATCAATCCAGATCAGCGTAAAACTAGCCACAAAGTACTCATTTCCTATGGGGCCTCCTTTACTGAAACTGATTTTTTTTGGTGGAGTGAGGTTGGAAGGAGAAAGGAAAGAGGAGGGAAGGAAGGAGGGAGGGAGGGAAGGAGGGAAGGAGAGAAGGAGGGAAGGCAGGAAGGCGGGAAGGCGGGAAGGTGGGAAGGCGGGAAGGCGGGAAGGTGGGAAGGCAGGAAGGCAGGAAGGCCTGAGATTAATTTTGATAGGATGCCATGCATCTGTTAGAAACCCAATGAAAACTGTGAGTGATTGATAAAAAGGCTGTAGAAAAATTTGCTCATTATATCAACATTCTTTTTATGAAGATCCTTCTCTGAGGCCGGGCACAGTGGCTCATGTCTGTAATCCCAGCACTTTGGGAGGCCAGGGTGGGCAGATCACCTGAGGTCAAGAGTTCGAAACCAGCCTGGCCAATATGGTGAAACCCCATCAGTACGAAAAATACAAAAATTAGCTGGGCGTGGCGGCACTTGCCTGTAGTCCTAGCTACCTGGGAGGTTGAGGCACAAGAATCCCTTGAACCTGGGAGACGGAGGTTGCAGTGAGTTGAGATTGTGCCATTGCGCTCCAGCCTGGGCAACAGAGCAAGACTCTGTCTAAAAAAAAAAAGAAGATCCTTCTCTGAGAGAAATTTCTGTCTGGTCTTAGTACCAAAAATAGTTAATGGTTTGCTTTTATCTTATGGAAATTAGCATAATTTTTAAATCTAAAAGGCACAGAATTTAGTAACTATGCTTCCCCTTTTGAAAAGCATATACCTAGATTATAGACAAGTACATGTATACATGCACACACACACAGTTGGTTAAGACATGTATTTTCTTACTTCCATTTATGTTCCCATCCTTGTCTTTCTTTATTGTTTAGCTCCCACTTTTAATTTCTACCTTGCTAATATATTTTACGTATTTTTTGTAAGCTCTCTTAAATTCCTTCTAAAACAAGGAAAGGTGTAAATAAATAATGTAAATTAATTGATATTATCTATATACAACCATTTGAGTATCCTCGTACTAGAGGAGAAACTTTTTCTTTTCTTTTTTTTTTTTTTGTTTTTGAGATGGAGTTTCACTCTTGTTGCCCAGGTTGGAGTGCAATGGCACTATCTCATCTCACTGCAACCTTCATCTCCCGGGTTCAGATGATTCTCCTGCGTCAGCCTCCCAAGTAGCTGGGATTACAGGCGTGCATCACCATGCCTGGTATTTTTAGTAGAGACAGGGTTTCGCCATGTTGACCAGGCTGGTCTCAAACTCCTGATCTCAGGTGATCTGCCTGCCTCAGCCTCCCAAAGTGATGGGATTACAGGCATGAGCCACTGCACCCAGCTGGGGAGAAACTTTTTTTTCAATACCAACAGAAAAAACATGTTAACTGTGATCTCTTACAATGAAATGCAGAGACCTAGAATTGACTCCATGTATGTTTCCCCCTTAGAGGAAATAAGAACAGAGATGTGGGCAGAAAGGAAGAATACATTTAACAAATAGAAAGGTATCAAAATACTGTTGTGGCTGTACTTTTCGTTATAATAGTTAAGAGATAATCTGATGCCAAACAATACATTATCTGCAATTTCCTCTAAAATAATGAAAATGCTTATAATTTTTCTGCTAACCTAGACAACTCTATCAAAATATTCACCACAAATAAATGGATATAAATTTTAGCTATACTATAATTTACTTATAAATAAAATTAGAATATATGTCAATAAAGAAAAAATCAGTATAATATAATCAGAACTATATATACTTATAAATAGGCTTACAGATAACATTTTAATACAGTATTGACATTTGTCCAGTTAATACACTTTAGTCAAATCTGAAAAAAATGCCTATAGTAAAACATCATTAAATGAGAAATTCAAAAAATAAAAGATTACTAAACAATATTTTGAACCAAAATGCAGAAAATATTTCCTCAGCCATTAACCCAATTTTTTTTTTTTTTTTTTTTTGAGACGGAGTCTCCCTCTGTCACCAGGCTGGAGTACAGTGGTATGATCTCAGCTCACTGCAACCTCCACCTCCTGGGTTCAAGCGATTCTCCTGCCTCAGCCTCCCGAGTAGCTGGGACTACAGGCATGCGCCACCATGCCAGATTAATTTTTGTATTTTTAGTAGAGACAGGGTTTTACCATGTTGGCCAGGATGGTCTCAATCTCTTGACCTCGTGATCCACCCGCCTCAACCTCCTAAAGTACTGACAGACGTGAGCCACCGCACCCAGCCAACTCAAAAATTTTTTTATCACTGATACAGCTTGGGAGAGGAGAAAGAACCCCTCACTGGGAAAGAAGTGGTTCATCTTGGACAACCATACTCAAGTCTGTTGGACAGGAGTACTCAGTTTCTTACAAGATATACGATGATTTTAGGTAAGCCACACAATGCACTATAGTTGTAACATAAGGTGATTTGGTTGCATGATTGTTTTAATAAATGCTCTAATATCCATAGCATTCCATGAGGCTTGTAATAATGATTTTTAAAACCCTCATCAAACAATCACAACAGTAACTTTAGGAAACCACTGAAAAACCATGACTAACAAAAGGTAGGGGGACAAAAAGCTAAAACTACACACACACACACACACACACACACACACATATATGTATATACATACATGTACTCTACTTAGAAAAGCAACAACAATAATGTCCTAACAAATGTAATATATATAGCACAAGGTTTTTTATGAGAAATTTTCTCAAATTATTAAAATAGAATATTTTTTCTTTCCCACATTTTAAGATTTGTTTAAAACAATGAAGCATTCTGATAGTTAAATATTCACTACCATCTATGGTTTGTATATAGAGTAGGCATGGTCCCTTTCCTCAAAAAGTCTAATTTTTATGTAACAGTGAACAACCCACGCTAGTAAATAATTTTATTTTTTAATTTTTTTTTTTGAGATGGAGTCTTGCTCTGTCACGGACTGGAATGCAGTGGCGTGATGTTGGCTCACTGCAACCTCCATCTCCTAAAATCAAGCGATTCTCCTGCCTCAGCAGCTGGGACTACAGGTGCCCACTACCATGCCCGGCTAATTTTTGTATTTTTAGCAGAGATGGGGTTTCGCCACGTTGGCCAGGCTGCTCTCGAACTCCTGACCTCAAGTGATCTGCCCGCTTTGGCTTCCCAAAGTGCTAAAATTAGAGGAGTGAGCCACCGCACCCGGCCTAAGCTAGTAAATAATTAAGAATGACAATTAATACTAAAGAATTTAAAGAGAGAAATAGATAAAGGCTAAAATAATCATTAGATAATTTATAGAAAAGACATGTAGGACTTGCATTGGGATTTGAAGAATAGTTAGAAATGGTAAGTAGAAGAAAAAAGTAACATATAGGAAAAGGAAATAAAAATGGGTAAAGGGAGAGCTAAAGAAAAATTCTGGAGTATCTGTCAAAAGTAGGAGGACTAGGCTAGCAAGAATGAAGATGAGTTTGAGAAAAGTAGGAAATAAAGTAGGACAACGTAGGATGATACCAGATTATGAAAGGCCTTTGAAGCTAGCTACAGTGGCTAAATAATGTGGAAAAAATAACATGACTTATTGGGCACTGAGAAAAGACAATTAAAACAATCTTCAAATACAAGTAGCCTTAGAAAAATATACATTAGGGACCAGAAATGGGAGGGTCAAAGATGTTAGGGGGCAGGCTATTCCTGTAATCAAGCACAAGAGGACAAAGGCCTATTGAAAAATGGGCCAAAAAGAAAAAGATACTTTAAAGGAAAAACTAAAAGAATCTGGTGACTACTTCTGGGCGCGGTGGCTCATGCCTGTAATCCCAGCACTTTGGGAGGCTGAGGCGGGAGGATCACCTGAGGTCGGGAGTTCGAGACCAGCCTGACAAACATAGCAAAACCCTGTCTCTACTAAAAATACAAAAATTAGCTGAGCGTGGTGGCACGCGCAAGTAGTCTCAGCTACTCAAGAGGCTGAGGCAGCAGAATCGCTTGAACCTGGGAGGTGGAGGTTGCAGTGACCTGAGACAGCGCCACTGCACTCCAGCCTGCGTGACAGAGCGAGACTCCATCTCAAAAAAATAAAAAAGAAAAAGAATCTGGTGACTACCTAAATGTGGGAAAGCAAGAAATTAGTACAAAACTTTATGCCTGGGTGTCTAAGGAAACGGTATTTGTCATTACACAGACATGGAATTTTGGAAGTGGAGCTAGTTGTTGCATGGTAGATGATTTCAGTATGGGATATGGTGAATTTGAGGTGAAATTCAAATAAACCTTCAAGCAAGTAGCCAGATATCTGGGACAAGAGGAAGGCAGAATTCAAAATCTGGCCTGGCGCAGTGGTTCACACCTGTAATCCCAGCACTTTGGGAGCCTGAGGTGGGTAGATCACCTCAGGAGTTTGAGACCAGTCTGGCCAACATGGTGTAATCCCATCTCTGCTAAAAATACAAAAATTAGCCAGGTGTGGTGGCACATGCCTGTAGTCCCAGCTACTCAGGAGGCCGAGGCACAAGAATCGCTTGAACCCAGGAGGCAGAAGTTGCAGTGAGCTGAAATTGCACCACTACACTACAGCCTGGGGGACAGAGGGAGACTCTGTCTCAATAAATAAATAAATAAATACATAAATACATAAATAAATAAACTGGTGATACGGACTTGAAAATCATTTTTGTAGATGTCAGTTGAAAGTCAACAAAGTAGGTAAGTGCTCCAAAAGACAAAATATAGAGAAAAAAGACAAAGTCAGAAAGTGAGCCTTGAAGAATTTTCTACTGATAATATGAAAAAAAAAAAATAAGTGCAAGCAAAGAAAGAAAATAAATGGTTGAAAAGTAAATAGTAGAGAAACATGATAGTGAAGTTTCATGGACTACGAGGGAAGAGAGTTGCAAGAGAAGAAATAATAGTGAAATGTAAAGAGATATATATAACCTCTGCTTTAACAGAGCTTAGAATCTCTAAGAATTCAACAATAGATGAGATCAGATTTAACATAAACACAAACAAAATACTGTAACTATAGACTATATTAGTTGTACTCAAAAGTGGCATTTGGGGATGACCTGTGGTTATAATCAGTTAAGTAATTCTAGGTAATGATTATTTATAACTCACCTCACAGCTCCTAAGACGGCAGGCCCATATAGGTGTATTAGAAGAAAGTGGCTGAAGAGGCCCCAGAAGGGGTTCTTCCAGCATTCTGGGATAGGAGAGGAATATATATAAATATGCAGTTCAATGAACACACAAAATGCATTCAACTGCTTTATCCTCTTAGTATCAAAGACAAATATTGAAGTCATCAATAACAAATTTTAACAATAACTACAGATTGATCTGATGGGTGCATTAGTTATTATTTTCTTTAACCACTGCTATTTTATTAACTGCTAAGTCAAAGACCTAAATTTCTTCTTCCAGATACACGTAGTCCCAACAACTTTAAGTGTTTCATATATCTCTCCCAAAGCTTATTTTGTGCTCTTATTATATAACTGTTTTCATTTATCAAAAAAATGATAAATTTGACTAGTTTGAAGTAACATTATGTGTCACTTCTTGGACTTTTGGCTAAGATCAAGTGAAAAGCAACATTATTAAGGTCTGAAATTAAATGTCAAAAATAATGTCTTAATTCAAAAATACTTTTATGGAACAATTAAAATAACATAAACAATACATAAGCCATGTACATATTTCCCTAAAATATCATAGTATTATTTTAAAACAAAAACAAAAACTGAAATAAAAGTTAGCAAAAAGCATTTTAAACATTTTGCCACAGAGGAATTCTATGCATAAAAATGTGATAAAACAAATTTAAAAATTTAGGAACTATAATGAATTTTTTTTTTTTTTCGAGACAGCGTCTCGCTCTGTCACCCAGGCTGGAGTACAGTGGCACAATCTCGGCTCACTGCAAGCCCTGCCTCCCAGGTTCACGCCATTCTCCTGCCTCAGCCTCCCAAGTGGCTGGGACTACAGGCGCCGGCCACCACGCCCGGCTAATTTTTTTTTTTGTATTTTTAGTAGAGACGGGGTTTTACCGTGTTAGCCAGGATGGTCTCAATCTCCTGACCTCGTGATCCGCCTGCCTTGGCATTCTAAAGTGTTGGGATTACAGGTATAAGCCACTGTGCCCAGTCTTTTTTTTTTTTTTTTTAAATGATGTCTCGCTCTGTCACCCAGGCTGGAGTGCAGTGGTGCAATCTCAGCTCACTGCAACCTCCGCCTCCCGGGTTCAAGCAATTCTCTGCCTCAGCCTCCCAAGTAGCTGGGATTATAGGTGCCCACCACCACACCCAGCTAATTTTTGTATTTTTAGTAGAGATGGGGTTTCACCATCTTGGCCAGGCTGGTCTTGAACTCCTGACCTCGTGATCTACCTGCCTTGTCCTCCCAAAGTGCTGGGATTACAGGAGTGAGCCACCGCACCTGGCCATGAATGTTTCTTTATTCTGAAAAGTCTGTTAATGTCAGACTAAATAAACTAATAAAATTTTCATACTGTTTCAAAAGATAACAGATGTCACTGAGGAAAAGTGGCACTTTTGACATTTATAGCTTCCAGAATAGCCGCCTTATGACCAAGATGCCTTAAAATAACTAAAGATATATTCAATGATAGTTCCTTCTATCTTCTGATTTTCTCTATAGTCTGCCAGCTTTAAATGTGTAATTTGTAAAAAGATTTCCATGGTGATATTAAAAGATGAGCTTCTCTTTCCCGTGGACTCACCCGGTCACTGACTTTTTGGGCAATGGGAAGGATGTTTGAGGATGAAGAATGTAATTGCTGGTATTGTCTGCTAGAGTATCCACTCTTACAGTTGGTAAGTTTCTGTTACTGGGTTTCTCTTCAGGGACATCTTAACAACAAAAACAAGAACAAAGTAACATCAATATCTTGAATAAGACCATAAGAATATACCTAACTAAAACTTATGTATTTGTAATAGGTAAAGAAAATTTATGCTTTATTGAGAGTAAAGGAATAATGCTTTATTGAGAATTTCTCTGATACTTGTTTACTTTAAATTATAATACTGACTACTGTAATTTTATAATTTTTAGAATTTATATTGAACAGCCAGGATATAAAAGTGGTAGAAATAATTGTATATTAAGAGTTCTGCAATATATAGG
This sequence comes from Homo sapiens, assembly GCF_000001405.40. NCBI lineage: Eukaryota > Metazoa > Chordata > Mammalia > Primates > Hominidae > Homo > Homo sapiens. The sequence goes on along the minus strand of NC_000002.12, from coordinate 202,953,727 downwards.
AAAATGTAAAACTAATTTTGTTTATATACTGTGCTCATAATGTTTTCTGCAATCTATGTTTTTCTCTTAATGTCTTAATGACTATTAACAAAGAATGATAACACTAAGGTAAAAATATCTGCCCTAAACCATTAGCTATGAAGAAGCAACATAACAGTATAGCTATGAGGTTGGAAAAGAGATTCAAATAGAGGGAAAAGGGAGGAAAGCAAAAAAAAAAAAAAAAAAACAACAAAAAAAGAGTAATAGGCATATTACCAAACAGGTAAAGAAAGACTATACAAGGAGAAATAGGGAGCATGATTCTCTTTTCTGAATCTGAAGGAGCCAAGGAAAGAGGAAAAGAGCAAGAGGATAAAAAAAAAAAGTAATGAGTCACATGGCTAATAAAAATATTGATAAAGATATAAATGGCTGGGCGAAGTGGCTCACGTGCATAATCCCAGCACTTTGGGAGGCGGAGGCAGGTGGATCACCCAAGGTCAGGAGTTCAAGACCAGTCTGGCCAACATGGTGAAGCCTCGTCTCTACTAAAAATATAAAAATTAGGCATGGTTGCAGGCGCCTGTAATCCCTGCTACTCAGGAGGCTGAGGCAGGAGAATTGCTTGAACCTGGGAGTCAGAGGTTGCAGTAAGCCGAGATCATGCCACCAATGTACTCCAGCCTGGGGGATAGAGCGAGACTCTGCCTCCAAAAAAAAAGATATAAATAAAAACTTCTGAAGCTATTAACATTATATTCTTGCTATTGTTGCTGTTATTATTACTGTTATCATTAATAATAATTTATTTTATGCTCATTGGTCATTTGGGAGGAAGCAGGAGTCAATCAGCTTCATAGAATTCTTAAATGAAATAGCTAACCTAGACAGGAGTTGAAAAATGAACTTTGAATTTATTTGGGCAAAGAGCTGTTTTCTAATTATTTAATTCATAATCTTTTACCTAAAGAAATCAACTTTAGCACTGACTTTCATAAGGTGATTTTTCTAAAATATTTATGTTTTTAAAACACTCTCAAATCCCCTATATCCCGTTGTTACTCACCCCGAGGACTATTCACATCCACAAGTTGCCCCTGAGGTATAATCACTTGTGCCATTCCTGTCTGGGTAGGTGGAATTACACGAAGTACCTGTCCATTTTCTGTTGGGCTGGCAACGATCATCTTGGAAGCATTAAAAAAAAAAAATCAAATGCATATGCCTAGACTGATTTAACAAAAATTATTAATTAAATAAATTATTAAACACATACCTAGCTCTATGATGGATTCTATGATTTCCCCCATTTTATAGATGAAAACATTGAGGCACATAAACATTTTTTTCCAAGGTCTCACAACTTATAAGTGGTGAAGCCAGGATTAAAAACAGGCAATTTGACCCTAATCCTAGGGTCTTAACCACCAATGGTCTTAATCATTACACATGGATGAAGTCTAATTACTTGGTAATCTGAACAAGTCTGTCTGGATGTAATACATTTACCTTTTGCCACTTACTGTATTATTCATACATGTTTCACCTATTTGTGTGGCAACCATTTGTCTTATATTTAAAGTCATCTTCCTTCGTTTAAAAATGGTAACATGTTGGTCAGGCATGGTGGCTCATACCTGTAATCCTAGCACTTTGGGAGGCCAAGGAAGGCAGATCACGAGGTCAGGAGTTCGAGACCAGCCTGATCAACATGGTGAAACCCTGTCTCCACTAAAAATACAAAAATTAGCTGGACATGGTGGCACGCGCCTGTAATCCCAGGTACTCAGGAGGCTGAGGCAGGAGAATCACTTGAATCTGGGAGGCAGAGGTTGCAGTGAGCCGAGATCGCGCCACTATACTCCAGCCTGGGCGACAGAGCGAGACTCTGTCTCAAAAAAAAAAAAAAGGTAACTTGATAAATGTCTAATTAAATAGGATTTATTTTGGTATCTCAGCATTTATATATAGTCTCTATGGTTCATAAAGAACGGTACTACAAAGTGCCTCAAAAGTCTGAAAACACAGGGAAAATAGTATATTTATTGTACTTTTTTTCAGTTTAACAACTAAACCTACTCTATCAAATTTAGAGCAATATCAACTAAAAAGACATATGAAGTTGAAGAAAAACTTTTGGACCTATCATTTGGAAGTATAGCTAATACAGTATTTGAATTTAAGTCTATCTGATGCTTCCAGACTTCCAAAAAGTCTGGAAGCATCAGACTTCCATCAGCACCACATAAATTTTATTACTTAACATACTACTCTCCTATTACCTCTTTAGTGCAGGTAACAATCCTTAATCATTCCAACCCACGTTCCCAGACTCCTCTTTTGCTAGGTAAAACATGAAAATATTGCTGATGCTTGACAGGGACTGTATTCCAACTTTTAAGGGAGTTACTTGAGGCCAGATACAGTGGCTCATGCCTGTAATCCCAGTACTTTGGGAGGCCAAGGTGAGAGGATCACTTGAACCCAGGAGTTTGAGCTTGGGCTACCTGTCTCTACAAAAAATTTTAAAAATTAGCTGAGTGTGATGGCATGTGCCTGTAGTACCAGCTACTCTGGGGGTTCAGGTGGGAGGATCACTTGAGGCTGGGAGGTCAAGGCTGCAGTGAGCCGTGATCATGCTGCTGTACTCCAGCCTGGGTGACAGAGCAAAACCTTGTCTCAAAAAAAAAGGGCCATTTGAAAAAATGCAAATATAAATTTGAAAAAAATTTTTTAAAAAATTTAATGTTAGGGGAAAAACTTCAACAAACTAGAATGCTTTAAATATTAATATAATCATAGATAGTTCCCAAAATTAAGAATGGGAATTGTTTCCTTCCTTCCCCAATGTTCAACAAGTTTCTTGAGATAAAAATGTCCTGCCATAACTCTTATCACTTTAGCATGAAACAGCAACTGCAAACTGATGACAACTGCTTACACGTGCTCAGTTCATAGGAAGTGGCAGCACTTCAGATGTATTACCTCATTTAATCCTCATCACGTGTATCTCAAGTATATACATTTTATAAATGAGGAAACTGTCACACAGAGGTTACAAAACTCATAGAAGGTTACACAGAGCTATTTAGTGGTAGGCTATAATTGAAACTCAAGCAATCTGACTCCTTCAAACTACCACTCTGTACTAGCTCCCAATATTTGACAATGTTACTTAACCTAAGAAAAGACAAAAGCAAAACAATATAAAAAACCCTGCTGGACATTAAAAGGCAACAGTAATAATATTGTTTTAAATTCTTTACCCCTTATAATAAGATTAAATATCTGTGAAAAAAATATGTATATACAAATTTTCTAACTTTTAGGAATGGGGGTATGAAAAGTGTTCTATTCATTCTTAGAAAATAAGTGCTGTGGTTATTTTTAAATCAAAATTAAACACAAATAAGTTTTTATAAGTTATTCAATCATATACAAGTTTCATAATTAAGACTGATCTGTGGAATATCCTCTTAATTTTGAAACTATGTTTCCCAAGCATAGTAGATAAAAGTCTCATTTATTTTCTCCCTTCTTAGCTAAGTCCCCCTGGTACCTAAAAAACTATTTACAATTCATATAATCTGACAATGACAATGTTAATATTACTTTTCCTATTTAAAGAAAACCCAGCTAATTACCTAAAATCTTTGCTATGAAAGCAAACATGGTTTTGAAGAGTCATGTGCTACAACACATTCTATTTCAGGCAGACCATGAAAATTATCAGAAAACTTTAGCTGAGTGGTCTTTTACCTACTAGGCCCTTTGTGTACAATATTTCTAATAAATTCAAAAGACCAATTCAGCTTCACTCCAAAACATCTTCATCCATTGCAGATTCACCCACTACAGAATCTTTACTAATAACTTTTATATAAAAAGTCATATTGGGCCAGGCACGATGGCTCACGCCTGTAATCCCAGCACTTTGGGAGGCCAAGGTGGGTGGATCACCTGAGGTCAGGAGTTTGAGACTAGCCTAGCCAACATGATGAAACCCGTCTCTACTAAAAATACTAAAATTACCTGGGCTTGGTGGCAGGCACCTGCAATCCCAGCTACTCGGGAGGCTGAGGCAGGAAAATCGCTTGAACCCAGGAGGTGGGGGTTGCAGTGAGCTGAGATCACGCAACTGCACTCCAGCCTGGGCAACAGAGTGAGGCTTTGTCTCAAAATAATAATAATAATAATAATAATAATAATAATAATAATAATAATAATAAATAAATAACAAAAAGTCATATTGAAAAAAAGGAAGGTATATTTCTTTAAAAAGCTCCATTTGGCTGATGGCAGTGGCACACCCCTGTAGTTCTAGCTACTCTGGAGGCTATGATCATGCCACTGCAGTTAAGCCTAGGTGACAGAGTGAGACATATCTCTTTTTTTTTTTTTTTGAGATGGAGTCTTGCTCTGTTGCCCAGGCTGGAGTGCATGGAGTGCAGTGGCACGACCTTGGCTCACCACAACCTCTGCCTCCTGGGTTCAAGTGATTCTCCTGCCTCAGCCTCCTGAGTAGATGGCATTACAGGTATGCACCACCATGCCTGGCTAATTTTCATATTTTTAGTAGAAATGGGGTTTTACTATGTTGACCAGTCTAGTCTCGGACTCCTGACCTCGTGATCTGCCCACCTCAGCCTCCCAAAGTGCTGGGATTACAGGCGTAAGCCACCAGGCCCAGCTGAGACATTTCTCTTAAAAAATAAATTATTTAATTAAAATAAATTAAGAAAAACAAGATGCTTAGCTAACAAACCCACAGCCAACATCATAGTAAATAGGCAAAAGCCAGAAGCATTCTCCTTGAAAACCAGCACAAGAAAAGGATGCCCTCTCTCACCACTCCTATTCAACATAGTATTGGAAGTCCCGGCCAAAGCAATCAGGCAAGAGAAAGAAATAAAGGGCATCCAGATAGGAAGAGAGGAAGTTGGACTATCCTTGTTTGCAGACGACATGATCCTACATTTAGAAAACCCCATATTCTCCGTCCAAAAGCTCTTCCAGAAGATAAACAACTTCAGCAAAGTTTCAGTATACAAAATCAATGTTTAAAAATCACTAGCATTCCAATATACCAACAACAACCAAGACAAGGGCCAAACTAGGAAGGCAATCCTATTCACAATTGCCAGAAAAAGAATAAAATACCTAGGATTACAAGAAGGTGAAAGATCTCTACCATAAGAATTACAAAAGACTGCTCAAATAAATCAGAGAAGATACGAACAAATGGAAAAAAAAATCCATGCTCATGGACAGAAAGAATCAATATCATTAAAATGGCCACACTGCGCAAAGCAATTCACAGATTCAATGCTATTCCTATCAAACTGCCAATGGCATTCTTCACAGAACCAGAAAAAAACTATTTTAAAACTCATATAGAACCAAAAAAAGGCCAAATAGCCAAGGCAATCCTAAGCAAAAAGTAGAAAGCTGGAGGCATTATGTTACCTGACTTCAAACTATACTACAAGGCTACAGTAACCAAAACAGCATGGTACTGGTATGAAAACAGACATATAGACCAATGGAACAGAAGAGAGAGCCCAGAAACAAGGCTGCACACCTGCAACCATTTCATCTTCAACAAAGCTGACAAAAACAAGCATTAGGGAGACAACTCCCTGCTAAGTAAATGGTGCCAGGATTACAGGTTAGCCACATGCAGAAGACAGAAGCTGGACCCCTTCCTCACACCATATACAAAAATAAACTCAAGATAGACTAAAGATTTAAATATAAAACCCAAAACTATAAAAACCTGGAAGACAGCCTAGGCAATACCATCCTGGACAAGGGAATGGGCAAAGATTTCATGACAAAGACACTAAAAGCAATCACAACAAAAGCAAAAATTGGAAAATGGAATCTAAATAAACTTAAGAGCTTCTATACAGCAAAAGAAACTATCAACACAGTAAACAAACAACCTGAAGAATGGGAGAAAATATCTGCAAACTATACATCTGACAAAGGTCTATTATCCAGCATCTATATCGAACTTAAAACAAATTTACAAAAGAAAAACAACACCATTGAAAAGTGGGCAAAGGACACAAACAGACATTTCTGGTTTTTTGTTTTTTGTTTTACTTTAAGTTCTGGGACACATATGCTGAACGTGCAAGTTTGTTACATATGTATACATGTGCCATGGTGGTTTGCTGCACCTATCAACTCATCATCTAGGTTTTAAGCCCCTCATGCATTAGGTATTTGTCCTATTGCTCTCCATCCTCTTTCCCCCTACCCCCCCGACAGGCCCTGGTGTATGATGTTCTCCTCCCTGTGTCCATGTGTTCCCATTGTTCAAATCCCATTTATGAGTGAGAACATTAGGTGTTTGGTTTTCTGTTCCTGTGTTAGATTGCTGAGGATGATGGTTTCCAGCTTCAGCCATGTCCCTGCAAAGGACATGAACTCATTCTTTTTTATGGCTACATAGTGTTCCATGGTATATATGTGCCACATTTTCTTTATCCAGTCTATCATTGATGGGCATTTGGGGTAGTTCCAAGACTTTGCTATTGTAAACAGTGCTTCAATAAACATACATGTCCATGTGTCTTTATAGAAGAATGATTTATAATCCTTTGGGTATACACAAAGTAATGAGATTGCTGGGTCAAATGGTATTTCTGGTTCTAGATCCTTGAGGAATCATCACACTGTCTTCCACAATGGCCAAACTAATTTACACTACCACCAACAGTGTAAAAGCGTTCCTATTTCTCCACAGCCTCGCCAGCATCTGTTGTTTCCAGACTTCTTAATAATCGCCATTCTAACCGGCGTGTGATGATATCTCATCGTGGTTTTGATTTGCGTTCCTCTAATGACCGATGATGATGAACTTTTATGTTTGTTGGCCACATAAATGTCTTCTTTGGAAAAGTGTCTTTTCATATCCTTTGCCCACTTTTTGATGGATTTTCTTGTAAATTTGTTTAACTTCCTTGTAGATTCTGGATATTAGACCTTTGTCAGATAGATAGCTTGCAAAAATTTTCTCCCATTCTGTAGGTTGCCTGTTCACTCTGATAGTTTCTTTTGCTGAGCAGAAGCTCTTTAATTAGATCCCATTTGTCAACTTTAGCTTCTGTTGCAATTGCTTTTGGTGTTTTAGTCATGAAGTCTTTGCCCATGCCTATGTCCTGAATGGCATTGCCTAGGTTTTCTTCTAGGGTTTTTATAGTTTTAGGTTTTACGTTTAAGCCTTTAATCCATCTTGAATTAATTTTTTGTATAAGGTGTAAGGAAGGGGTCCAGTTTCTGTTTTCTGCATACGGCTAGCCAGTTTTCCCAGCACCATTTATTAAATAGAGAATCCTTTCCCCATTTCTTGTTTTTGTCAGGTTTGTCAAAGATCAGATGGTTGTAGATGTGTCGTGTTATTTCTGAGGCCTCTGTTCTGTTCCATTGGTCTGTATATCTGTTTTGATACCAGTACCATGCTGTTTGGGTTACTGTAGCCTTGTAGTATAGTTTGAAGTCAAGTAACATGATGCCTCTAGCTTTGTTCTTTTTGCTTAGGATTGTCTTGGCTATACAGGCTCTTTTTTGGTTCCATATGAAATTTAAAGTAGTTTTATCTAGTTTCAACATAAACTTTTCAAAAAGAAGACATACATGCAGTCAACAAGCATATGAAAAAAAGCTCAATATAACTAATCATTAGAGAAATGCAAATCAAAACCACAATGAGATACTATCTCACACCAGTCAGAATGGCCATTATTAAAAAGTCAAAAGATAACAGATGCTAGTGAGGTTGTGGAGAAAAGAGAACACTTATATACTTTCTGGTGGGAGTGTAAATTTGTTCAACCATTGTAGAAAGCAGTATGGTGATTCCTCAAAGAGATAAAAACAGAACCACCATTCAACCCAGCAATCCTATTACTGGATATATACCCAGAGGAATATAAATCATTCTTCCATAAAGACACATGCACATGAATGTTCATTAATGCCCTACTCACAATAGCAAATAAATGGATCAACCTAAATGCCCATCATTGACAGATTAGATAAAGAAAATGTGGTACATATACACCACGGAATACTATGCAGCCATAAAAAAGAACAAGATCATGTCTTTTGTGGGAACGCAGATGGAGCTGGAGGCTACTATCCTTAGCAAACTACACTGGAACAAAAAACCAAATACTGCATGTTCTCACTTACAAGGGGGAGCTAAATGATAAAAACTTATGAACACAAAGAAGGGAACAACAGACAATGGGGTCTACTTGAGAGTGGAGGGTGGGAGGGAGAGGAGCTGAAAAAATAACTATTGGGTACTAGGCCTAATGCATGGGTGGATGAAATAACTTGTACAATCTGAGTGTACCTACATAACAAACCTTCGCATGTACCTTCGAACCTAAAGTAAAAGTTAAAAGTAAATAAAACAAAAACAATAAAACAAAAAAACACCAAATAGCTCCATTTGGTAGGAGATGTTGATAAAGGGGGATACTGTAGCACGTGCAGGTACAGGAAGTATATATATATGAAAATCTGTGTACCTTCTGCTCACTTTGGTCATGAACCTAAAGTTGCTCTAAAAAATACAGTCCACTGAAACAAACAAAACCAAAAGTTCCACTAAGTTTCCCGGAATATTCTCTCTCTGATCTTCAGTTCTTTGAAGAAAATTCTTTCTTATAATCTGTTTCTCACATTTTTTTTCCATGCTTCATACCATGTTTCCTATTTCATGGTTTCAAATAACCTTCTGTGTCATCGCCTACCTAAACAATGTAAAACCACCTTTGTACTTACTTTGTATAGAAAGTTTAATCCAATTACAAAGAGTGTTAATTAACTTTTTTTTGGACTCAAATAAACAATTTTGCTCGGAAAGGTACCCTAGGTAAAATGACAACCCTTTTACACATTCAGACTCCTTGATCTTCCTTTGGAAAAAAAAAAACACAAACTTTCTAAATGTTCTGATAGAAACTAGAATAAATGTCAAATAAAGGGGAAACTACAGAAGTATTTCATTCTGGACATGAAAAATTAAAATGTAGTTGGTTAACATTTAAATTATTTGTTGAATATTAACCTCTGCCGGTGATGCAGTATGGTTCTGGGCATAGGCCCAGAAAACCTGAACATAAACAAAAAGGATTCCCCTGCACACAGTCACCTCTCAACCAATTACTGTTAACCCTAGAATTTAGAAAACTCAATTTGGCTGGATCATAAAGGAGCAAAATGGCACAGATTAACTCTAGAATGCTCTAGATTATGAACAGAAACAAGGGTTAATTCTAGGTAAAATGTTTACCTGTGGTATAATTTATAATTAAAGTTATTATGCTTTTAAAATTATTAATTTTATTATGAAAGTAATAAAATATTTATTGTAGAAAATTCAGAAAATTCAAGTAAACAAGAAACACATTATCCTTCACAGTATTACTTATGTTAAGTATATTCTAAATAACCAGAGAGCAACTTAGAGGCTTAGTAATTTTCCATATGTCAGTCAAAACAATCTTTCACCTCTTTGGCTCAAACTATGAACTTGGTCAAAAATACTTTTAGCCAACAGTT